>NC_000003.12:117038907-117341937 GCF_000001405.40 Homo sapiens | reverse complement strand
ACCAAAATCGTGAATTTTGAGCACTAAAATATAAAATATTCAAGATAGCAGTAGCCACTGAGAGAAATTTTCTGCCATAAAATTATCATCTGGAAAAAAGTATTTATCCACTTCTCCAATAATTATTACCAAATGTCTTAACACAAGCTTGAAAATAAACCTTCTCCTACTGGCTTAAAATGCATAACTATTTATTTACCCTGAAAGTATAGAAATAAATTTTGATATTATGTGTTTTTCAAAGTTAGGGAAGGACAGAATGATCCTTATCTCTCTCCCCACCAACAAATACATGTACCAATTACTGTATGTCGCTCAAGACTAAATAACATTCAAATAACCGTAGTTTTTAAGAATCAGGCATACACAGACATGTAAGTAAATAACTAATTTAACTGTATGAACTAAAAATGAAATCGCTACTCATGGCCCTGATGGCTCTGAGTTAGACTTTCACTTATGATCTAGGAATTTCACAGCAGGTGAAGCCCTTGCTAACCAACAGAAAAACTGCATGATGTTGTTACTAAAACAATGCGCTTTCAGTATTTTAGACTGAAAAGAAATGTCATGTGTTTACAGTCTCATAGAGAGATAATTACGTGAATAGATCTGCCGTACCGCACCTCCCAGTCACTAACCTGGAGTGATGTACCTGTAATTGCAAAAGGACTGTTTAATAAGACTGCAGAAATCTCTGTTGTCAGTTCCTATAAGATGGCAGGGGTACTTGGAGGTTTGCCCTACTGATTGACTATAACAAATGTCAGGTGACGACTTCGACGTTAAAAAAAAAAAGAATATTTGTTAAAATGTTATGTAGTGAATTTTAAAAATCATGCCAAAATACTTTTGAAAACATTCCTAAAAACGAATATAGAAAATACTCAGGATTAAAAGAAAAGCACTGTGTCGACGTGTACTCAGTTACTAGATTAGGCATCCAAAGTCCTAGGTATTCTCCTAGCCCTGCCCACATTCATTTACGCAATGCATTTTGCTATGTCCTGGGCTTTGATTATAAATTAGTAATACATATGTTTTCTGGGATTAAAAAATATGTTTGGGGATTTAGTCCTTATTTTAATACTCACTCAACTGTAGTTCAGAAAAAGAGGGTCTTTATGGGGGTAGGGGTTAGCCACTTGCACCAGTTACTATGTTAATATGAAGTGATGTGAAAGGTAAGCATATGTATATCCCCGGAACACCTAGAAATTTAGGTCAGTTTGAAGAAACAAGAAAAAAGTAGCCTGTAACTTTTCTGTATGCATTTCTGATTCTTCTCTTACTTCTTTGCCCAGTAGAAGAGGGAATTTAGGAAGAGATAAGTCCCTCTAGGTGGAGGGAATGAAAGAGAACATGGAAATTTAATATAAACATAAAATATAAAAATGTATGAGGTTGCCTCAGTCTCCCTGCAAAAGATAGGACAAAGCTGGTAACAACTGTCTAGGTGGCTAGGAAATTCCACATATGCTTCTAGCAGCAAAACTTCCATAAACTGACCTCACATCATATGATCTCTTTAGAGGTGAAACTCAATTCTTTGTTCCTTTTTCTCCCTTCATCCACTTTGGGGAAACAGGGAACCCTGTCAGCGGACTTAAAGGTTTATACTTGTCTAGCCTATTACAATGGTAAGAGAGTACAGAGACTTGATTAACAAACAAAACAAAAAGTCCTGGAATGACCACTCCAAGCTTGTAGGGAGATTATTTCTTTCCCTGTCATCTGCATATTGCCTGGGTTTTTAAAACAATTTGATGATCTTTATGGCTGATGCCCAGTACACCAATATTTTTAAAATGTATGTAATGTGAAGTCACTTTTCAATTTCTCAGGGACTAAGAGGTAACATTAAAATCATGTAATTTCCTTATGAATTGTGCTAATATGAAGGGCTCTGTTACACACCTTATATAACATAAACACTCGATTCCTGTGTATTTTATCCTTTCGTGCGATAAAGGTAATAACAACTTAAAGAAGTTTATTTTCCCCCTTTCTCCTTTACTGACTTACTCCTATGTAGGTGGTCTGTGCTCACTTTTTGTCATCTTAGAATCCATTTAAAAATGTCTTCACTATTATCCTTTCTTATTTATTGTTTTAATATCTTCTCCTTTTTTTCCTCTTTTTTCTTCTAGGTAAGTCTTGCTGCTTTCTAAATCTCATCAGAATGTCTTTTAACAAAATGGTAAAATGGTAAGTCAATTCATTCTGTAATATGGCTTTATTTTCCTAGTGCAAAGAAAGTCTTTTTTTTTTTTAAGCTGGATTTCATATCGGCCAATTTCTTG
Organism: Homo sapiens; assembly: GCF_000001405.40. Taxonomy (NCBI): domain Eukaryota; kingdom Metazoa; phylum Chordata; class Mammalia; order Primates; family Hominidae; genus Homo; species Homo sapiens. The sequence goes on along the minus strand of NC_000003.12, from coordinate 117,339,634 downwards.
GCCTTTATCCATTATCACTAAAAAATATTGGTCATGAGCCATGAGTGAGGTGGAAATTTTGTTTGATACATTGATGGATTTTTTCCTACTTTGGGTTTTCAGAGTGTTGTTCTTAAGACACCCCAAAGAATTGAGAGTCTGCTGGTGGGTGTATTAGAGAGAAGCTGTTCAGCTTCTCATAGATGTTGAGCTTTGGCCGGTCACAGATTACAGATGGCATATGACTGGTTTGGGGAGTTAAAGGAGCTTTCATTTTTGAACATCACATTTTAGAACCTTGCAGGTAAATATGATTCCAGCGATGTTAGATACTAAAACCTTTTCTTAAGGTATTCCATGCCAAAGCTGCCAAAGGAAATGTGAAAAGTCATAGTGAAAATAAGCAGCAAAAGTTCACAAAACCTGCCTGTTTTGTTTAGTGCTTCAGAAGGAGGGATATTGGGATTGCAGTCTTCATCTGCTGGAATTAGCTGCATGGTCCATTAAAGGAAGGATAAATTTAGCTTTGTATATTGCAGTCCTTCATATTCAGAAATGACGCAAGTTGCAAAGAATTTTGATTCATCTTCCTTAAGATGAGAGTGTGTATAACAAGCTGAAATTATGACTTCTTAGTGTTGTCAGCTATTTTATTTTATGTCCTTGGTTCCACTGCTGTGTTGTACATAATTATACTCATACTAGAATCATATTCTGTGTTGTTTCAGGAGACCATTTCAAAAGATTTTCTCATGAGGTTGAACCTTCATTTGATGGCATCAAAACAAAATAACAAGCACATAAAGGATATTTGGTTGAGGCCATGAGAAACAGAATAAGAGAGATTTCAATGCACAAACTTTTAGCTAGAATTCTTTTTTAAAAAGAGTTTTTAAAATCTTAGCATTTAGATGCTAGGCCATGGTATCCATATTACATGTAATTATGTCATCAAGTCACATATATTTTGTTATAACAGCTTCCAGTAATGCAATTAAATAAAAATCACCAGATGATGTATATATTTCTCTACATGAAACTTTGAGTAGGAAAATCAAAAATTCACTGGAATGTTTGTTCTGTTTTTTAGCTCTCTTGAATTCTTATAAAATTGTCTGCTTACATCCATGATAAGATAATCTCTTCCTCAGATATATATATATTTTTTCAGTACTATTTAGGCCTCTTTCTGGTTCAAGTAACAGAAAATTCGATGCAAACTGGTTCAAGCAAAAGGGGGATGTGTGGGGTCATGTAACTAAAAAGTCTAGGGATAGGCCTGGCTTCAGGCACAACTTTAGGCAAATGCTCAAATAACTCATCAGGACCTGGTTACTTTGTCTCAACCTCTCAAATGTGTGGCTTCTGAGTTGGTCTCTTAGTTTCTATAAACTCATTCTCAAATGCCCTGGAAAAAGCAAAATGAGAATCACTCTGGTGGTAGTTCCAGCTAAAGATCCATTGCATCTCACTGGCTGTGTTTCTGTCACGTACTTGTCTCTAGGGAGAATGCAATGAACTAATAAACTTAGGTCTAAGATAGATGCTTTACTTCTAGTATCAGGGGGTAAGTGGAGCCCACCCAAATTCAGGGATAAAAATGAAAAGGGGTAGAATCCTCAAACGTCTGGTACTTGAACTAGGGTGATAGATGCTGATAAGCCAAGAAATAAATTGATAAAAATCTACCTCATCTTGTTAATTATAATATATATATATAATATATATAGTGTGTGTGTGTGTGTGTGTATACACACGTATTTATGTGTATGTTGAAAGTGATTCTCTTTCCCTTCCTTGGAATGGTTTAATGAACTTGGCTCATTCTGTCCCATAACTAACCACCATGGCCAAGAGTCTTTTATGTCAACCCTTCCAGGAGACGTTGAGATGGGGCTATGGCAGCTGCTACTATTTCTTCTGTTAGATCCAAATTACCTGAGCTAACAAACTTATTACTAGAAATGGTACATAAAAGTATCATATTATCATCATTTTTATGCCTCTCTTCTGCCCCTGTCTATATTTTGTATGTTCATTAAGTATAACTGAAGAACAGTACTGAGACTGTGTTTTATTTCTGATGTCATTTTTGTTTTAAAGATGAAATGATTAAATGTAAGAAAACCGTGCATGAAGATAGAGCATCTAAAGGTGGTTTATTTCACATGTGAAAGCCAATTTCAAAGAATAACTTTCTTGTGAAAACACAGCAATTATTAAACCATGAATTGTTCACTTTAACATGTTTAAATAATTATCACTTTCCTTTCCTTCCCTACTTCTATTAACAGTTTGTATCCAGGAAATTGAATGGAAATTGTTGTGTTGATGGAAATTGTTTTTTCAAGGTAAAAAAGAAATGTGTTATTTTAATTTTTTTTTAATTTATGGAGATTAGAAAATGTGCTTAGTGCCCCCTGGAGTGGTGTAGCAAAAAATCTCAAAGCCAATAAACAGGATCCCCAGGTTTTAATTCAAAAGCGTTCAAGGTTGCCACTGCGAAAAACAAAGTTTGTTGTTTCTTTTAAAATGTAAACCTCCACTGCTTAGAGAATTAAGCTGTTTTGTCTTTTGTTGCCATTGCTTTTGGTGTTTTAGACATGAAGTCCTTGCCCATGCCTATGTCCTGAGTGGTAATGCCTAGGTTTTCTTCTAGGGTTTTTATGGTTTTAGGTCTAACGTTTAAGTCTTTAATCCATTTTGAATTGGTTTTTGTGTAATGTGTAAGGAAGGGATCCAGTTTCAGCTTTCTACATATGGCTAGCCAGTTTTCCCAGCACCATTTATTAAATAGGGAATCCTTTCCCCATTGCTTGTTTTTCTCAGGTTTGTCAAAGATCAGATAGTTGTAGATATGCGGCGTTATTTCTGAGGGCTCTGTTCTGTTCCATTGATCTATATCTCTGTTTTGGTAGCAGTACCATGCTGTTTTGGTTACTGTAGCCTTGTAGTATAGTTTGAAGTCAGGTAGTATGATGCCTCCAGCTTTGTTCTTTTGGCTTAGGATTGACTTGGCGATGCGGGCTCTTTTTTGGTTCCATATGAACTTTAAAGTAGTTTTTTTCCAATTCTGTGAAGAAAGGCATTGGTAGCTTGATGGGGATGACATTGAATCTATAAATTACCTTGGGCAGTATGGCCATTTTCACGATATTGATTCTTCCTACCCATGAGCATGGAATGTTCTTCGATTTGTTTGTATCCTCTTTTATTTCCTTGAGCAGTGGTTTGTAGTTCTCCTTGAAGAGGTCCTTCACGTCCCTTGTAAGTTGGATTCCTAGGTATTTTATTCTCCTTGAAGCAATTGTGAATGGGAGTTCACTCATGATTTGGCTCTCTGTTTGTCTGTTGTTGGTGTATAAGAATGCTTGTGATTTTTGTACATTGATTTTGTATCCTGAGACTTTGCTGAAGTTGCTTACCAGCTTAAGGAGATTTTGGGCTGAGACAATGGGGTTTTCTAGATATACAATCATGTTGTCTGCAAACAGGGACAATTTGACTTCCTCTTTTCGAATTGAATAAAGCAATGGCAACAAAAGACAAAATTGACAAATGGGATCTAATTAAACTAAAGAGCTTCTGCACAGCAAAAGAAACTACCATCAGAGTGAACAGGCAACCTACAAAATGGGAGAAAATTTTTGCAACGTACTCATCTGGCAAAGGGCTAATATCCAGAATCTACAATGAACTCAAACAAATTTACAAGAAAAAAACAAACAACCCCATCAAAAAGTGGGCGAAGGACATGAACAGACACTTCTCAAAAGAAGATATTTATGCAGCCAAAAAACACATGAAAAATGCTCATCATCACCGGCCATCACAGAAATGCATATCAAAACCACAATGAGATATCATCTCACACCAGTTAGAATGGCAATCATTAAAAAGTCAGGAAACAACAGGTGCCGGAGAGGATGTGGAGAAATAGGAACACTTTTACACTGTTGGTGGGACTGTAAACTAGTTCAACCATTGTGGAAGTCAGTGTGGCGATTCCTCAGGGATCTGGAACTAGAAATACCATTTGACCCAGCCATCCCATTACTGGGTATATACCCAAAGGACTATAAATCATGCTGCTATAAAGACACATGCACACGTATGTTTATTGCGGCATTATTCACAATAGCAAAGACTTGGAACCAACCCAAATGTCCAACAATGATAGACTGGATTAAGAAAATGTGGCACATATACACCATGGAATACTATGCAGCCGTAAAAAATGATGAGTTCATGTCCTTTGTAGGGACATGGATGAAATTGGAAATCATCATTCTCAGTAAACTATCGCAAGAACAAAAAACCAGACACTGCATATTCTCACTCATAGGTGGGAATTGAACAATGAGAACACATGGACACAGGAAGGGGAACATCACACTCTGGGGACTGTTGTGGGGTGGGGGGAGGAGGGAGGGATAGCATTGGGAGATATACCTAATGCTAGATGACGAGTTAGTGGGTGCAGAGCACCAGCATGGCACATGTATACATATGTAACTAACCTGCACAATGTGCACATGTACCCTAAAACTTAAACTATAATAATAATAATAAAAAAAAGAAAATGAAAGAAAAAAAAAGAGAATTAAGCTGTAACAGATTCCTGAAGATGTTATGTAGGCCTTGTTAGATAGCAGTCATTTCTAGATTCTCACAGATGAGTTGGGTGAAATCAGATATTTTTATACCATATTTGAATGTCATTCTCTTCGAAAAAGCCAAGCTGCGCACACTTCACTGAAAGCCCTAAATAGTCAAGAACCATTTACTTCCTTAGATCTAGATAAGTTCATTTTTGTTTAATCTTTGTTAATATTTGTTAGTATTTTTTAATTATACCAAGAATAATAATGTAAACATTAGGCTAGCAACGTTAAAACTGATTTACTGCATTAATATTTTTCTCCTTTTAAGGTGATCTATAATGTATTTTTTAAAAGAAAAAACCTTATAAGACAAAAAATACATGTCTTATGTTTCTCATTAGGTATATAATTCTTAAAATATATCAGCAATAAAGATTTTGCTTGAAAACTATTCATCTTTTCATTCCCCAATGTACTTAAAGCTGTGCACATAATAGGTACTCTGGATTCTTGATTGGTAAATAAATAAAGAATGAATAAATGAATGGCTTTTTTGAAAGATGTATTTTCGTAAATCTAGTGATATAAGAAAATTTGAAAATATAAATAAAAACATGTTTTGTGTTATGTTTCTTCTAATCATCAAAAATGATAACACATTTAAATTACGAGAATCAGCAACAACTCTTTTTGAAAAAAGATAATAAAAAATATAGGGAGAATATAATAACATAAAACTGCTATAAAACAGCTGATAAAATTAAAAGCAGCTAGGAAAAATCAGAAGACTAAATCCTATTAGACGCATGTTTTCTCTCTTTAAAGCTTATATTGGTCACAAGCCCATACCCTTCTCTAGTTTCAAGGGATCATTTTTCCTGCATTCAGTTTCAAGATCCATTTATAGAAATTGGTAGGAGTGCAAAGTATTTCTAATATGCTCTAGAAAGTAACAAAACTTCCTGAGAGACAGACTTGAATTGGACATGTATCTCTTCAAGTATCCCTTTCAAAGCCACTGGCACATAAGCATGTAGTAAAATTAGATGTTTAAAAATCCTAGCTTAAATTCCAGTTATAGCTTCAACGTACAAGGAGCTTGGAAATGGTCACTTCCATTATTTTAACAACAAAACAAAGCTGGACAAAATGAAAATCAATGACTTTTCTTGGACGGATTAGAAAACTGAGTTTGCAGGATAAATTTCCACTCCAACAATTGGAAAGACAGGAGAATCCAGAGAGATATAATTGAGATCTGTTTACGTGGAGCAGAAGCCACTGCAGCCATTAACTGATAGGAACAATTAAATGGGAATTTTGACAAATTTCTAGAGGTTGAATGTGCATTACTACCACAGTGAGAAAGTCCTAGGGGCTGTAGTCTTAGGAAGACACTCTGTCTTTCACAGAATTTACCCCAGCAAACCGCCAGATTCTCACAATAAAGAGTTAAGAAAGACCCCCTTTGTGGCTCTGGTAGGGGGAGGAAAAGAGTAATCCTTGAGAAATGACCCCGAAGCCTTCTCCATAAAAATGGCTTCCTCTAGAGTAGGAAGACTACCAGAGTTTTATCCCAAAGGTGTGAGGGGAAATTATTCCTCTCACTACAGTCCTCTCCATATGTAAGGCGGAGTGGAGAAGAAGCTATACAGGAAGAAACACTTGTGTAAGTCATAGGGCAGAAATACGGCCTTCTAAAAGACTGAGACTATGGGATGTGCCCCATTCCCCACCTCACCACCACACCAAGAGGCTATGGCATTCTAATAATGAGTTATAGTAATTACGCCAGAAGAGCTATGAGACACAAACTTTCTGAGGAGGAATATTAATTTTAGTAAGCCCAAAATCAAAAGGGAAAACAAAAACAAGGTCATCAGAGGAATTTGAAACCTCTGGATCCTACAGCTATAGAAAACATTAAAAAAATCTCAACTCCTAGCCAGATTAACATCAATACTCACACTAGAGACCTGTTTACATCAATCTCTATTGTGCAATGTGTCTGGCTTTCAACAAACAAATTACAAGGTATGCAAAGATCAAGAAAAAAAACACAGCCTAACAAGACAAAGCAAGTTTCAGAACCAGAGTTATATATGACATATGTGTTGAAATAATTGTGCAGAGAGTTTTAAATAATTGTGATTAATATGTTAAGGTAGCTAATGGAGAAAGCAGGCAAAATCCAAGAACATATAGGTAATGTAATCAGAGAGACTGCAATTCTGAAAAAGAATCAAAAGGAAATACTAGAAATAAAAAACACTGGGAGAGAAATGAAGAATATTTTTGATGAACACATTAGTAGACTTGTGTGACTGAGGAAAGATTTAGAGAGCTTGAGGATTTCCAAAGAGAAATGTAAAGAAAAGGATGGGAAAATAAAATAAAACAAAACAACACAACAGAACATCCAAGACTATGGGACAGTATAAAAAATACATGCAATTGGACAACTGGAGGGATAAGAAAGCATGAATGAAGCAGAAGAAATATTTAAAGTAATAATGACTAAGAGCTTTCAAAAATTTATCATAGACACCAAACCACAGATCCAGAAGCCCAGAGAACCCCAGGCAGAATAAATTTCTAAAATCAACCCTGAGGCCTAGCATATTTAAACTTCATAAAATCAAAGAAAAGAGAAAATATTGAAATAATACAGAGAAAGATAAAACAACATATACAAATTATAAGGAACAAGCATAAGAATTACAGTACATTTCTAATCAGACACCATGCAAATAAGATCACAGAGGGAAATATCTAAAATATTGAAAGAAAAGAACATCAACCTAGAATTCTATATCCAGTGAAAATATTCATTAAAAGTGAAAGAAAGTACATACTTTTCCTTGTTTTTTTTTTTGGTTTTTTTGTTTTTTTTTTTTTCTTTTGAGACAGAGTCTCCTTCTTTTGCCCACACTGGAATGCAGTGGCACAGTCATGGCTCACTGAAGCCTTGACCTCCCAGATCTCAAGCAATCTTCACATGCCACCATGCCCAGCTAACCTTTTAAAAAAAATATTTTGTAGAGATGGGGTCTCCCTATGTTACCCAGGCTGGTCTTGAACTCCTGGCTCAAGCAATCCTCCAACCTTGGCTTCAGTTGCTGGAATTACAGGTATAAGCCACCATGCCTGGCCTATTTTTTCAAACAAACAAAAACAGAAAATTCATTGCCAGTTCTTTACAAGAAATGCTAAAAGATTTTCTTCAGGCAGAACAAAAAGGATGTAGGTTAGAAACTTGGATAGACATAAAGAAAAGAAGAACATTAGAGAAGGAATAAATGAAGACAAAATGAAATTATTTATTTTTTCTTATTTTAATTGATCTAAAAGGTAACTTTAAAGTAATAATACTAATAATATGTTGGGTGATTATAGCATATGGATTATAGCGTATGGATTATAGCATATGGATAACTGCTTAAAGTAATAATACTAATAATGTATTGGGTGATTATAGCATATGGATAAGTGAAATGTATGATAGCAGTGTCACAAAAGATGAGAAGGAGGAACTGGAGCTATAAGCAGAATAATGTTGTTTGAAGGTAAAATTAAAGTAGTTAGAAATGTATGTTGTAAACTCTAGGGAAACCACTAAAAATCTTTTTTTTTTTTAAGTATAACTGAAATTAAAACCAGAGGTATCACGAGGGAAAAATTATCTGGCAATAAATGAAAACAATTACAAGAATAGTTCATATTAATCCAAATGCATCAATAATTGGCTGGCCATGGTGCCTCATGCCTGTAATCTCAACGCTTTGGGAGGCCAAGGTGGGAGGATCGCTTATGCCCAGGATTTCAAGCACAGCCTGGGCAACAAAGTGGGACCCTGTCTCTACAAAATAATAATCATAATAATAATGAAATAATAATAAAAATGAAAAAAAAACAGCTGAGTGTGGTGGCACATGTCTCTTGTCCCAGCTACGTGGGAGGCTAAGGCAGAAGGATTGCTTGAGCCCAGGTCAAGATTACAGTGAGCCATGTTTGCACCATGGCACTCTAGGTTAGTAACAGAGCGAGACCCTGTCCCTCCCCACCAAAAACAACAACGACAGCAACAAAAACAAAACAAAACAGAAAACAAATATATCAATAATTACTTGAAATGTCAATGGTCTGTATAAACCAATTAAAAGACAGATATTTTCAGAGTAGACAAACAAATAAGACCCAACTGTATGTTGTCTACAAAATCCCACTTTAAAAATAAAGTTTCTAATAGGTTAAAAATAAAGGGATAGATAAAGCAACCATGCTAGCATTCATTGAAAGGAAACTGGAGTAGCCATATTAATTTCAGACAAACCAGACTTTGGAAGGAGACAAATTACTAGTAATAAAGGAGTATATCATTAATAATAATGGCAAACGGGTCAATTCTCCAAGAAGAAATATCAAGCCTAAATATGTATGCAGGCAGAAACAACACATAAAAATACACAAGACCAAAACTGATAGAACTGAAAGGAAAAACACACAAATCCACGAATAGAGTTGAAGATTTCAACATTCCCTGACAGTAATTAATAGATCAAGCAGGAAGAAAGTGAGAAAGAATATAGTTGACCTAAACAACACTAAAAATCAACTTGATCTCATTAATATTTGTTGACTAGTTCATTCAACAATAGAATAATCACACTCCTCTAGTTCACATGGAACATTCACCAACATAAATCACATTTTGGGTGATAAAATACACCTTAACAAATGCAAAATAATAGAAATCAAATAAAGTATGTTCTTGGATCATAATGGAATTGAACTAAAATTAATTGAAAATCCCCATACATTTGGAAATTAAACAACAAACTTTGAAATAACACATAATCTAAAGAGGTGATCTCAAGAGAAATTTTAAAAACAATTGAATTCAATTTATATGAAAATATAAATTATGAAAGTTTGTGATATTCACTAAGAAGGATATTTATAGAATTAAATGACTGTATTAAAAAACAAGAAAGATCTAAAATCAATACTTTAAGTTTCCACTTTAGAAAACTGGGGAAAAATTTGTAATTTAAACCTAAAGCAAGCAGAATAAAAGATATCAATATGTCTAGAACATCAATATGTATTAGAACAGAAATCAATAAAATCAGAAACAGGAAAACAGTAAGAAAATCAGTGAAATCTAAAGCTGTTTCTTTTAAAAGCTTAATAAATTTGATAAGCCTCTAACCATGCTAACCAAAAAGATATATATTTATGTGTATATATGTGTGTTTTTATGTGTATATTACATATATATTATATATATAACATATATAATATATATAACATATACATAACATATATGTTATGTACATATATGTACATATATGTATAACATATACATAATATATATAACATATTATACATATATAATATATGTATATATAACATATATACATATATAATATATACATATATATGTATATATTATATATATGTTATATATAACATATATATGTATATATTATATATAACACATATATGTATATATTATATATATATATGTTATATATATAATATATATATATAAAAATACAAATTACTGATACCAGGAATAAAAAAGAAGTCATCATTGCTGATCCTATGGGCATTAGAAAAGGCAATAAACAAATACTATGAGCAACTCTATGCCCCCAAATTTGGCAATTTAGATGAAATGGGCCAAGTCTTTGAAAGCTATGAACTACTAAAACTCACACAAGGAGAAAAAATGACTTGAAGTGTCCTTTATCTATTAAATGAATTGAATTAATAATTAATAACTTTCCAATAATGAAGTCATCATGACCAGATGGTTTCACTGGTGAATTTTCCCAAATATTTAAGGGAGAAATTATACCAATTCTCCACAATCTCTTTCTAGTAAATAGAAAAGGGGGAACACTTCCTAGCTCATTCTATGAGATCAGCATTATTCTAATACTAAAACCATATACGGACATTACAAGTAAGAAAAACTACAGGCCAATATATATCATGAATATAGATGCAAAATCCTCAACAAAATATTAGCAAATTGAATCCAACAATGTATAAAGGAATTATACACCAGAAATGTATTAGTTTCTTAAGACTGCCTTTAAAAATTATTAAATACTGAGTGGCTTAAAACAATAAAAATTTATTCTCCCACAGTTTCCGAGAATAGAAGCCATGATGTCACGAGGGACATGTTCCCTCTGAAACCTCTAGGAAAGAAATTTTCCTTGCCTTTCTTTAGATTTTGGTGTTTGTCAACAATCATTGGCATTCCTTGGCTTGCAGCTGCCTTACTCTAGAACAGAGCCAGAATGCTGCCTGTGCTGTGACATAGCCTTCTTCCTTTTGTGTGTGTTTTCAAATATTTCTCTCCTTAGAAGGAGAGTCACTGGATTTCAGGGTCACCCTAATTCAGTATGATCTTATCTTAACTTGATTACATTTGCAAAGTTCCTATTTCCAAATAAGTACACATTCTGAGATCCTAAGTGAACATGAATTTTGTGGGGACACTATTCAACCAAGTATAATTACCAAGTGAGGTTTATTTCAGATATGCCAATACTAGTTCAACATTGAAAAATCAATATAATTCACTGCAGATGAAAAAGGAACGTTCATATCATTATGTCAATAGACACAGAAAAAACACTTAAAAAATTCAATATTCTTTTATGACAAAAACTCTCAGTGAAGTAGGAATAAAGGGGAACTTTCTCAATTTGAAAAAGAACACTTACATAAAACCTACAACTAACATCATACTTAGTGGTGAAAAGCTGAACCTTTTTCTTCAAAATGCATCATAGATTTGAATGTAAAGTAATAAAAATATAAAACATTATTATAAACATAGGCTAAAATATATATCACCTTGTGTATTTAAATACATCAATAGAATGATCCATGAAAGAATTGTTATTTTTATATTAAATGGTTATATATTAAAATAAAACATGCTTTAAATAATACACTGTTAAAAAATTTAAAATGGAAGTCACAGACTGGGAGAAAGCATTTGTGAAACACATTCCTGTTGAAGGAATTGTATTCAAAATATACAAATAACACTCAATGATAAGAAAACAACTCAATTTAAAAATGAAAAAAATACACCATAAAACAGATGCCTCACCAAATGAAATATGCAGGGGGAAAATAATGTGAAACGATGCTCAACATAATTTGTCAAGAGAGAGTTGCAAATTAAAATGACAATGAGATACCAAATATTTAATTAAATATTTAATTTAATAGGTACATATTATACCTTTTAAAATGGCTAAAAGACAAAAATTTGTCAATATTAAATATTGTTGAGGACATGGAACAACAGGAACTCTCATTCACTGCTGATAGAAATTCGCAATGATACAACCACTTTGGAAGACAAGTTTCTTAAAAAACTAAACAGAGTCATACCACATGGGCCTGATCACTCTCCTAGGTACTACCCAACTGATTAAAAAATTTATGACCATATGAAACCTGCATGTGAGTATTTATAGTAGCTTTATTCATAGTTTCCAAAAACTGAAAGCAACCAGAATATTCTTTAAAGGAGAATGGATAAAAACTGTGGTATATCCAGACCTACAACATTATTCAGTGATTAAAATAAATGAGCTGTCAAGTCTCTCTCTCTCTCTCTCTCACACACACACACACACACACACACACACAGACAGAGAGAGAGAGAGAGAGAGAGAGACAGAGAAATGAATAAATCTTACATGAAAATTGTTAAGTGAAAGAAGCTATCTGAAAGGGCTATATACTATATGATTTCAACTATATGACATTCTGGAAATGGCAAAACTATAGGAAACAAATTAGTGGATACCAGAAGCTGGAGTAGTAGGGCAGAGGAGGGTTGAATAGATGAAGTGCAGGGAATTTTTTAGGGTAAAAACTATTCTATGCAATACTGTAATCATGGACAGAAGACATTAAGCATTTATCAAAACCTACAGTGTTTTACAACACAAAAAGTGAAGCTTCTTTTTTAAGGTTTTTTAAAAAATGTCCTTTAGAAGGTTGGAAAATTCCAGGATGGAATACAGAATGTGAAAAGATATTCTAAGTATATTATAAATGTATGAAACAAACTCATTGAAAGGGTGAGAAAATAAGGAGGAGGGGGTTATAATGACCTTTGTGGTAATGGATCAGAATTGAAGACAGCAGTATGAACTCACGTTTAGCTCAATATAGAAGAGGATGGACTACATAAAAGTGAGCATGTATATTTCAACTGGACATGTACATGGCAAAAAAAAAAACCTAAGAAAAAGAACCTGAACTATTCTGCACATAACCTATCATTATGCAAAACAAGTAAACAATCAATAAAAATAAGAACAAAATCTGGTGGATATCAGCACCATCTTTCATACAAATTCTCTTGAGCAAGAAATCCAACTGAAGGGAATTTGTAAATGAGCCAGATTAACATTCATACAAGAATAAGCTTTAAAATGATACTATCATTCTATAAAGATGAAGAAATGTTTAAACTTTATAAAATTTATTAATATTAATAAACTGCACATAGAAATGTTTATCAAATTTCAGAGGTAATTTTTTTCCACATAGTTGAGAAGGGAATATGTAGGTTCCCAAACCCATGGAATTAATTATTGAAAATTTTGATGGAGGCTAAAAATTCATGCTTGACAGATTCCTAACATTAAATGATGGATCTACTTTTAAAGTTCTATTGTGGAGAAAAACGGCACTCTTCTAGAAAATACGTCTTACCAAGGCTGGAAAGGCTGTGTCTTGTCTGGTCTGCAATTTCTGTTTTCTTAACGGTTTATTACGAGTGAGGCTACAGAAGATAAGAACAAAGAGGCTCATCAATTAGGCTTTCTATAAATATCTGCAATAATATAAATCCCAGAACACCATCCCATGATGTCTAGGATTGACTTCTCCAGATGGTTAAGGAAAGATAGAAATAGAAGAGGACTGAGTGGAATTGAGAAAGTGCTGCAGACATTTTCAAGGGAAGAGATTGTTTTGAGAGATATAAGGACTTGCTATGTAACAGTTTCTTGTACTTCCACAAAATGAAAGTAAGTAGAAATCATGGAATGTGAAGTTAGTATTAGCGATGCCCAATAAAGGCATATGCTTTTGTTTAGTTTCCCAGCAGTATGAAAGGATGTTTTCTTATTCATCAAGACTATCTTACGTAACCTTTAGGCATTAATTGGCCTAATTCACAAGGTCGCTAACCATCTAAACTCAATAATGGAGTAGCCCACATAGGGGCTTATAATGTATGATGTTTGCCTCATTAGTGTGACATTTTCTCACTTGCAACATGTGCAAAACTTTTCACCTCTTTATCATACTTTCAGCTAATGATCAGCACTTTAATGAATTCCTTAAAAGTGGAGGTAGAGTGGTGTCAGTATCTTTAAAGATGCACCTATGAAATTCCAAGTAAAAGTAGAAAACATTTTCATTTTATTAAATTCTCAAGCCAGTAATGAATATTAAAGATTGTTTTACAGTATAGTTTCTCACAAAATGGGGAATTAAATCTACACAACAAAACCTATTAAAATACAACTCAAAAAATTAAATTCATCTAGAAGAGCTTGGGTAAATATACAATTTATCTAGGCTCACTTAGTCATTGTGATTGAATAATGTCTTTACCCTGCGCTTCCTAGCAGCAGCACAATAAAAGCAAATGTGGCTGGGGGGCCCTGGTGGCTCACACCTGTAAGCCCAGCATTTTGAGAGGCTGAGGCGGGCAGATCACCTGAGGTGAGGAGTTCAAAACAGCCTGGCCAACATGGCGAAACCTCGTCTCCATTAAAAATAAAAAAATTAGCCAGGCATGGTGGTGGGTGCCTGTAAGCCCAGCTACTCGCGAGGCTGAGGCAGGAGAATCTCTTGAACCCAAGAGGCGGAGGTTGCAGTGAGACGAGACTGCACCACTGAACTCCAGCATGGGCAACAAAGTAAGACTCTGTCTCAAAAAGAAAGAAAAAAAAAAAAGAGAAAAAGCAAATGCAATGGATCAGGAAGTTTATATTATTTCAATTCTTCCGAAGAAGCAAAATTGTATGTACTCTACTTGGAAGGAAATTTTTATGTTGGTTATTTAAAAATATGGAAATTATTGCTTTTACCAATAATTTTGTAAGATGTGGGAGATTACCATCATATGCATTGACTCTAGATTAAGCCAGATCTATAGAAATAACTCACAGGTGTTATTCTGCATGGATGCAAGCTAATGAGGTATGGGCATATTGTTTTCTGATGCTCTAATTTGATGCAAATTTGTAGAAGATGGTGGATAATATGCCCCTTAGATTATCTTTATCACACCAGTTCTTAACAGTAGCAGTATGAAAAGATGTCATACAAGAAGAGCAGTCAGGTCAAGATTTATCTCTGTTTAAGAGTGTTGCTTTCCTGTAATGCTGATTGTTTTTGGTTGGTTAAGGAGTTGTTTAGAAAGGCAAAGATGTTTAGAGTCCTCTTTCCAAAATACAGTTTAAATTCCCTCATTGTATTCAGTGTGTTTTTTTTAAATCCTTGTAACATATTTATTTCAAACAGACAATGAATATATTTTTTTAAATGCCTGGTTTTTCTTTTGAAAAGGAAAAAATTGATGACAAAAAGATTTGTCAGTTCTTGCAAGGGTCATTTTCAGGGAAATGGGAGTTATGGTAAGGGTCATTTGACTGGCGGTTCATTAACTTTCAAATTTTTCCATGCTTCTGATGATTAGTATTAACACGGAACAGTAAGCAGCACCTCTGACCTCAATTATTTTTACCTATGGCTCTCTTCTTTTCTGTATTATTTTTCAGGAGCTGATTTCTGTATAAGTTTGAAGAAGATAATTTCCTAATCCAAATGTGGGGTATATGTTTTTCAGTACAAGGGGGTTGTCATGGGACTGTGATAGTGAAGAGCAGGAAGAGATTTTGGATGTGGTTCTTCTCCTGTCATATTCTACTCCCTCCCAGCCTCTCTCACTTTTTATAGCCACGGTGGCTCTTTGTTAAAATAATTATTTTTTCTCTGTGTGAGATTCTGTGATTAGATGAAAGGTCATGGTTATAATATGAATCCTGGATAATAAATACAGTGCAAAATGGATTGGAATGCATTGAGCAAAGAGACTTTCCAATTAGAAAACATTTTGCCAGGACTGCACCAAACAAACGACCATATAGACTCTGATTTCTCTTCACTTATAATTAGCTGCCAGTGAAAGTTAATTACTTTCAGGATCAAAGGAAACAAAACTAGAAATAAAATGAAAGAATTCCTTTTAGATTTAAAGTTTAAATAAATGTTTGCCTTAGGAACAGACCATATGCTGAATTCATCCCAGGGGGAAATGAACTTAAGGTTCTTCAATACATATAGACAAACATTAAAGTTCACCGCAGGTGGGCAAAGAAATAAGGCAGACTTTATTTCCTTTGGGAGTATAAACTGGGAGAGTTTGTAAGGGAGCAGCAAAGCCTCTTTACATATCCTTGTTTTTGTTTTATCAGTAGAACTGAGAAAGTGTGTGCCTTTTGGAAGATTTATTCTTGAAATGCTTTTTCCTAAGATACCAATACAAACTCTGATTTGATTTCTGATTTCTCTGAAAAACACGTCTGCCTTATTAAGAAGGCTAATTGATTATGAGGATATGAGTAGATCTATTCATGTACTTACCTTCTCATAACCAGTATTAATTGGATCACGATAAATATCTTTATTGTTTCACTCTCCTAACTTTAGTGCACTGGGTTATGTTTTTCCACAGAAATAAATTTTACAGATGATATATGGGAACAAAAATGGGATTTCTGTAAGCATCATTTTTCCGTTTGTTTCTAAAAATAGGTTATGAACTTTTGTAAATTGCATTTTGGAATAGAATGATCAGGTTCTGTGATGTTTATGAAAAAGTCAAGAGGGCATAGTCCCAAGATAATTCAGCACCATGGATAGTAACATGTAGATAGCTTTGGGCAGTACTCCTGGGCTCTGGATCTGATGTTAGCTTGAGGTGTTCATCCTAAGGTCTGGGCTCAACAATAATGTGAATGTAACAAGTCTTCAAATATTCACTTACTCATCATTTCCACCAACCCCAAAGCTGTCAGGAACTCACCAGTCTTCATCCCCAGTCCTTCATTTATACTCCATCTTCCTGGAATACTCATCACACCATTTAACTGCTGTTGATTGAGTGCTTGCCAAGTGCCTAGCACTGAGCTCAATGTTTCACACTTATCTAAAAAAATTATAATAGTAAAGGTAGGAACAGTTATTATCCCCATTTTGCCAAATAGGAAGCCTGGCTACGAGGTTAAGTGACTTGTGGGCCCTATGGCTAGTATGAGACTGTATCCAAACTTAAGCCATGTTTATCAGAATCCAAAACTTTTGCTCATAATCACTATGCTAACATTCTTCTCCTATAACATTTTTTATTATGTTGAAAAACTCATAAAATTACTATCTTAACCACTTTTCAGTGTAGAATACTGTAATATTAACTATATGCACATTGTTGTGCAACAGATCTCTAGAAACTTTTTACCTTGCAAACTGAAGCCCTGTAGACATTAAAAATAACTACTCATTGCTACCTTTCCCCTACCCACTAGTGCCCACATTCTATTTTCTGTCACTGTGAGTTTGACTACTTTAGATACCTGATATAAGGGTAATTATGTAGTTATTTTTGTGACTGGCTTAATTCACCTAATATAATGTCCCCAAGTTTCATCCATGTTGTAGCAGAAAACATGATTTCCTTCTTTCTTAGGGCAGAATAATATTACATTGTATGTATATATCACATTTTCTTTATCTGTTCATACATTGATGGACAATTAGGTTGCTTCCATCTCTTGGCTGTTATGAGTAATGCTGCAGTAAACATGAAGGTGCAAATATCTCTTCAAGATTCTACTTTCAGGTTTTTTTGATATATACCAAAAAGTGGAATTGCTAGGTCATATGGTATTTCTAGCTTTAATATCTTCAGGAACCTACATACTGTTTTCCATAACAGCTGCACCATTTTACATACTTACCAACAGTTACAGTTGTTCTTTATTTAATTTGGATATTAACCCCTTATGAGGTATATAGTTCACAAATAATTTCTCCCAATCTGTAGGTTGCCTTTTCTGTCTGTTGATTATATCCTCTGCTACATAGAAGTATTTTTTTAAAAATTCTCATTATGGATATTTAAGGTATATGGCATGATGTTATGGGATACATATGAATAGTAAAAAGGTTACCATAATGAAGCAAATTAACATATCCATCATCTCACATAGTTATCCATTTCTTTTTGTCTGTTTTTGTGGCGAGAATATCTAAAATCTACTAATTTAGTGTGAATCTCATATACAGTACAATTTTATTACCTATATTTTCATGTTGTACATTAGATCTTAGAATTATTCATCCTACATATCTGCTACCTTGTATTCTCTGGATTACCTCTCCTCATTTTGCACCTTCCCACCCTGTCCCTGGTAGCCAAAATTTTGTTATTTATCTTTGTATATTTATTTATTTTTTTAGATTCCACATGTAAGTGAGATCATGAAATATTTTTCTTTCTGTGCTGCACAGGAAGTTTTAAGTTTGATATTTTAAAATTTGTCTAGTTTTGCTTTTGTTGCCTGTGCTGTTGGTGTCATATCCAAAAAATCATTGCCTTATCCAACGTTATAAAACTTTCCTTTATGTTTTCTTTTAGAAGTTTTGTGGTTTCAGGTCTTATGTTTGGATTTTTCTTATGAATATCTAGTTTCCTTGTACCATTTATTGAAGACACTACCGTTTTCCTGTTGTGTCTTTCTGATGCCTTTATAGAATATCAATTGACTTTAAATGTGTGGATTTATTTATTGGTTCTCTATTCTGTATCAGTCTGTATGTCTGTCTTTATGCAAGTACCATACTGTTTTGATTACTGAAGCTTTGTAATATATTTTGATATCAGCAAGTGTGAGAACTCCATCTTTCTTCTTTCGTAGTCTTTTTTTTATATATCAGCAAGTGTGAGACTTCCAGCTTTATTCTTTCTTAGGATATTTTTATTTTTAGCTACTTGAATTCATTTGAGATTCCATATAAATTTTAGGGTGTATTCTTCTATTTTAGCAAAACAAAAATGCCATTGAGATTTTGATAGAAATTTCATTGAATCTGTAGATTACCTTGAGTAGTATGGACATTTTAGCAATATTAAGTCTTCCAATCCATGATCACAAAATGTCTTTTCATTCATTTGTGTATTATTTAATTGGTTTTAGAATTTTGTAGTTTTCAGGGTACAAATCTTTGGCCTCTGCTATAGATTGGATGTCCTCTCCAAACCTCATGTTGAAACTTAATCCCCCGTGTGGCAGTATCAAGACGTAGGCCTTTAAGAGGTGATAGAATCATGAGGACTCTGCCTTATGAATAGAACAATATATCCATGGAATGAATTAATGAGTTAATGAATTAATAGTTTATCATGTTTGGTAGAGTTATCCAGGGAAGCCATCTGGGCCTGAACATTTTCTCATTGGGAGATTTTGATTACTGATTCAACCTCCTTACTTAATATAGGTTGGTTCAGGTTTTCCACTTTGTTTCTAGGAATTTATCCATTATTTACAGGTTATCCACATTGTTGGCATATATTCACAGTACTCTTTTCTCTTTTTTACTTATTTGGCACCAGTTGTGATTTTTTTTGTAATTTCTGATTTTTGTTACATCTTCTCTCTATATTTTTAAAGTTAGTTTAAGCCAGGTGCAGTGGCTCATGCCTGTAATTCCAACATTTTGGGAGGCTGAGGCAGGTGGATCACTTGAGGTCAGGAGTTTGAGACCAGCCTGGCCAACATCGTAAAACCCTGTCTCTACTAAAAACACAAAAATTAGCTGGAAGTGGTGGCGTGCACCTGTAGTCCCAGCTACTTGAGAGGTTGAGGCAGGAGAATTGCCAGAACCCGGGAGGCAGAAGTTGCAGTGAGCCAAGATGGTGCTACTGCACTCCGGCTTGGGTGACAGAACAAGACTCTATCTCAAAAATAAAATAAAATTAGTTTCATTAAAAGTTTGTCAATTTTGTTGATTTAAGAACACTAACTTTTAATTTCATTGATGTTTTCTATTCTTCTGTTCTCTATTTTGTTGCTTTCTGCTCTCATATTTATTATTTCCTTCCTTTTGCTAACTTTTGGTTTAGTCTGTCCTTCTTTACCTACTTTCTAGAGGTGTAAATTTACATTGTTGATTTGAGATCCTTCTGCCTATTTAAGGTAGGTGTTTACTGCTCTAAATGTCTCTCTTAGTACTACTTTTGCTGCATCCCAGGAGTGTTAGTATGTTATGTTTTTGTTTTCATTAGTCTCAAGATATTTTCTAATTTTCTTCATGACTTTGTCTTTCATCCATTAACTGTTCAAGAGCATATTGTCTAGTTTCTACATATTTATGGATTTTCCAGTTTTGCTTTTGCTATTCATTTTTTAAAAAATTTTAATTTCTATTTTTTTGTGCATACATAGTAGATACATATATATCTACTATATGTGTGTATATATATACATATACATATGTATATATATACATATATATTTTATATATATATATATATATATGGAGGATGAGATATCCATCCCTGCAAGCCTGTATCCTTTCAGTTACAAACAGTTCAGTTACAGTTACACTCTAAGTTATTTAAAAATGTACAGTAAAGTTATTATTGATTACAGTCACCCTGTTGTGCTATCAAAGAGTAAGTCTTATTCATTCTTTCTACTTTTTGTACCCATTAACCATTCCCACTCCACCCACCACAGCTCCCCACTATGCTTCCCAGACTCTGATAACCATCCTTCTATTCTCTATGTCTATGAATTCAATTGTTTTGATTTTTAGATCCCACAAATAAATGAGAACATGTGATGTCTGTCTTTCTGTGCCTGGCTCATTTCATTTAATGTAATGATCTCCAATTCCATCCATGTTGTTGCAAATGACTGGATCTCATTCTTTTTATGGCTGAATGGTACTCTATTGTGTTTGTATTCCATTGTGATTATAAAATATAGTTGGAATGATTTTAATCTAACTTAATCCTACATTTCTTAAGACACGTTTTTGTCCTAATGTGATCTATCCTGATAGTGTTCTGTGTGCTCTTAAGGAAAATGTGTATTCTACTGTTGTTGGCTGGAGTGCTCTGTATGTGTTTGTTGGATCCAATTGGTCTACAGTGCTGCTCAATTCCTTTCCTTTCTTTTATGTTTCTTCTTACTGGTTGTTTTATCTATTATTGAAAGTGAAGTATTGAAATCTCTTACTATTACCATGTTACTCTCTATTTTTCCCTTCAATTTTGTGAATGTTTGGTCAATATATATGGGTGTCTGATGTTGATGTTGGTGTATATATATTTATGATTGTTATATCTTCTTGGTTAATTGGTCTTTTTGTCATTATGTAATGCCCTTCTCTGCATCTGTGACAGTTTCCGACTTAACATCTACTTTATCTCCTATCCAATGAGAGATGTTTGCCATTTTCTTTTTCAGGAGCTCATAATCTTTTGCTTCCTCTGGTGTCTGTCTGCGGTTCTTCAGGTTTCCCTAGATTAGCTGTACATGAACTCTTCATTTTAGAGTAAGGACATGAACAGTTACAGCAAAACTACTTCTCATCTACCCACTCCCTAATTTATTATCATTCTATGATTGTTTTTTGCCCATACATCCAGTTATCACTGATATACAGGAAGAGGTCACTCTTCCATATCAAAGGTTTTCAGCAGCACTCAGGCATCCAAAGTATGGCATTTCCATCAGCACCCTGAGTCAGAGAAGACAGAAATTACTCCCTCACTCAGCTCCCCATAAAACCAAAACACTGAATGCATGTTCTACTATTCTGTTTCCACCTGGAGGGGCTGAAAATTGGGTACTTTTTCTCAATCATGCCAAACTGTGCCAGTTTGGAGGAGGGGCAATCATAGGTAGAATAAAATGACTTTTTCTTATACATCTTAATGTAGCTGTTCTTGGCCTTGTGCTCATTTGGGTACTGAGACTTCTTAACTGGCTTCTAGAGTCTTCATGGAGGCATTTTGGTTTATATATTGCTGTTAAGTCCGTGGAAGAACGAAGGTTGGGGCTTCCTATTTCTGCCATCTTTCTGCTATCCTTCTTCCCTTCACTAACATTTTTTGATATCCCAGCAGGACAGTCTCATTTTAAAACACAAAATTAGTCTGACCTAAAAGTGGTCAGTCCTTTGAGCTCATGAATATAGTAAACAGGTTGCTGAGGGTTTGCTCTAAACATGGGCAATTATAGGCAAAGATAGATAGATGGGCTTGGGGTTTTTCAGTGATGAGGAGAAGACTTAGTTAATCATTAAAAGATCTTGATAAAAGTAAGCAACAAATGTGCTTAAGTCATTCAATTCTAGCAAGAAAAACCAAGGACAATTTAGTAAGGAATTAGTTGTCGACAAATATTTAGGCCTGTGAAAACACAATGCTTTTGAAGTCTTCTAGATACTTTCTACATGGCTTATAAGAGCTACATGTTTTTAACATATTTTTTATTAAATAGAGTCTATAAGGATGCATCCTACTTTGTCCTCAGTTATTTATGAATAGACAATTGTTGTGTATGTATTAGAAAAAGACCAAATATTTAGTTTATATGCAGCAGCAGTGGCAGAAGCCATGAGGGTTCCGGCCATTGCCACTGCTAAAATTAAGGAGATAAACTAAGAAGATATAGAAATAATAATAGGAAAATTGGGACCATAGGAAGAGCTCATAGTAGTTGTCGGTATTTAAATTCTACACTCTGCATGACATTCCAGCTGTCTTCCCTTTATGTCCCTTCAACTCCTTGGGTCTACCTTGACTCAGACAATATTTAGGTCCTGGCTTAAAAATAAACTTTGACTCCTCTTGCCCTTACTATTCTGTAATCCAAGGTTCTGCTAGGTTTGAGAAATTGTTTTCAATAGGCTTAACAGTTTTAACTGAGGATAGATTAATGCTCCTTTGGTTACCTAGTCACCTTTACATTCTGCTCACCCTTAAATGGCCTTTATTGTGTTTTAATCAGGAGTTATCAGGGGAATATTTTAAACCAAAGTTAGAATTTTATGTACAATTAAGAGAAAGGAGGAGGACATGAAGAATAGAGACTGATGAGAATAAATAACGAAAAAATAGTAAAAAACAGTAAAATTTAATTTAATGACATTGAAATTAAAGCACCTGGATGTTTATTATTCCAGTGGTTGTTTTACACCCAGTCATGTGATCCAAATACTAGGTTAATGATAGTCTTACTAATCAGACTACTAAAAAATACCATATGGAGCAATGACCTTTATAATTATGCTAATATCAAATCTTTCTTTATATCAGAAAATATCTGAGGACTGCAAGAAAGAGTCCCTTTTCCTAGATTGGCTGTACATTAACCCTTCATTTTAGATTAAGTATATGCACAGTAATAGATTGCTTCTCATCCACCCTAACCCCTAATTTATTATCATTCCATGATATTCCTTCTTGCCCATACATCCAGTTATCACTGACAAGCAGGAAGAGGCCACTCTTACCACCATTTCAAAGGTTAACAATTGATCAGGACACAGATACCAACATTCTTGAAGCAGGACCCCAGCGAACTGAATAAAAGATAAATGCTTAGAGTCCGGTACTCTGGGGATGTTTGGGTTCTAAACCCTGCTGTTCTACTTATCATTAGCTATGTGCCTTTAGATAAATTATCTAAGATTTTTCTGTCTTTAAAAATCTATAGTATAGATTTATCTTCAATGTCTTCATAATTAAATTTAGTTTAGTAAAATAACAAAAATAGATTTTTTAAAATGCCACTTTAAATTCATTTATTCAGAGACAAAACCTATTAATTACCAGCTTTTTTTTTTCTCTTAGGATCATATTGTGAGCATCTTTCTTTGGCTCCATATATATAACCACCATTATAATTGAATGTATTATATGTCAGTATTCCTCTTTATTTGCATAAAATATTTAAATAATTTTCATTTATTTCACATTTAGCCTATTTACTGCATTTTGTTATTACAAACACAGTTTCAGTGAATGCCTTCATAATGCTTCTTTGAAAATTTTTCTCCATAAAATAAACTCCCAGATTTCAAAGTGCTATGCCAAAAATAGTCAAATTTTTAGACATCTGCCACACAAGGCATATCATTAAAAGAAAAACTGGGTTAAAATGAAACACAACAGCATTTCACAAAAGAGGAAATGCTATGGAAAATAAATATATTAAATATTAATGATTGAAGAAATGCAATTGAAGACCATGATAATATATGCCACTTTAAACCTATTCAAATGGCAAACATTTGAGAGTTTGATAACATCACGTACTGGATATGATCTATTAGATCTTTTAGATATTGTCATTGGGCATTTGAACTAGTGTAACCACTTCAAAAAAGAAGTCAGCTTTATATTGTAAAATTGAACATTTACATACCTGATGACTCAATAACCCAACCTCCAAGTAACTAAGAGAATTCATGCATATGTACATACAGATATGTGTGTGTGTGTGTGTGTGTGTGTGTGTATATGAGTGTTCATCATAATTAAAAATCTAGAAACATCCAAGTTTCCTATTATATTGAGAGCTGAAGAATAAACTATAGTATATAGCTAGCAGTCAATATGAATGAACTATAGTCACATGCAACAATAGTTTGCACATTTTTCAAATGTTATCTGAATTAGAAAAACAGGCTATTAATGATGAACTGAGAGTTCATATGGGACAAGAGCTGCTGGTGGTTTGTGCACATTATTATCCCAAGAACTATAGGAAGTGAAGATATTCTTCTCATTTTACAGATAGTGAAATTCTGAGAGGTTAGCTAAATGGTCCAAGGTCTTATTGATGAAAAAAGCCAAACTCTAAAGAATGTGAAGAGATTTATTCTGAGCCAAATGTGAGGACTATGACCCATGACAGAACCTCAAGAGGCCCTGAGAACATGTGCTCAGGCGTATCAGGTGGTTGGGTTACAGCTTGGTTTTGTATGTTTTAGGAAGACATAGATATCAATCAATACATGTAAGGCATACATTGGTTTGGTCCAGAAAGGTGGGGCGAGTTGTAGCAAGGGGTTTACAAGTCATAGGGGGATTTAAAGATTTTCTGATTGGCAATTGATTGAAAGAGTTAAGTTATTATTTAAAGACCTGGAATCAGTGGAAAGGAGTGTCTGGATTAAGATAAGAGGTTGTAGAGACCAAAGTTCCTATTATGTAGATGAAGTCTCATAGGTAGCCACCCTTAGAGGCAATAGATGGGACAGAAAGGGTATCTGGTTTAAGATAAGGGGTTGTAGAGACCAAGGTTCCTATCATGTAGATGACATCTTGTAGGTGGCCACCCTTAGAGAAAACAGATGGCAAATGTTTCCTGTTCAGACCTTTAAACCATGCTAGACCCTAAGCTAATCTCTTCAGGATTAGAAAAAGACCTGGAAAGAGATGGGGATTGTCTACACAGTGTAAATTTTCCCCACAAGAGATGGCTTTGCAGGTCAAATAAATATTTTTTGCAGTAAAATCTTTTTATTTCTTTCAGGGCCTACTCTGTCATGTAATGTTATACTAGAGTCAGGTTAGAATTTGGTATCTTATTGCTACAAAGAGTCTGTTTTGTCAGTCTTATGATCTCAGTTTTAATGTTAATGGTAGTCAGTTGTGCCTAAATTCCAAAGGGAGGAAAGTATAATAAGGCATGTCCAACCTCCTCTTCCCATCATGGCCTGAACTAGTTTTTCAGGTTTCTTTGGAATCCCTTGACTGACAGTAGGGGCCTATCCAGTCAGTTGGGGGGCTTAGAATTTTGTTTTTGCTTTACAGTCTAATGGCTAATGTACTTGCACCAGGAGTTGGTCTGACTCCAGAATCTACTTGTTTTGTCACTGGCCCATTCTGCCTCAATATCTCCACAGTCACTTCCCACTTTTGTATGAGAATGATAGAAATTGCTGAATGTAAAATCTTTTTCAAAGGGTTGTCATATCTTAAAAGCCCTGAAAGCTAATGACAGAGTATTCCATAAATAAAGCAACTTAAGGTAGATAGGAAAGATGGTGAGTGGCAGAGAGCGGTTTGAGTTAGCACTATTATTTTCCAGTGGGTCATTGTGTATTTTTGAGAATTCGATAGAATGACATTACAGAGAAATAAGAAAGTATCTGAAAGCAAGCCTACAATAAGAATAAAGTGACTTCTATGACAAATGAGAGCATCTGAAAAATGATTTGCAGACACACAAGGTCTTTGGAAATAGCTGCCTGGTAAAATAGTTCAAAAGTGAGACCCTGTCTTGAAAAAAAAAAAAAAAAAACAGTTTAAAAGACACAATGACCCTCTGAGCCAAAGCCTTATGGTAATATTTTCCAAGGTGGGATTAGGACCCAAAAATGACTCATGGATCTGAAGAGTTAGTGGTGTCTGCAAAACAAAGTTGTGGGTTTTATTGTATGAGAGGAAGAACCATGTAGAATCAGGAAGGGTTGTGAGAATCTTGAGGGATAAGTGAGAAGTGCCAGAAAAAAATTATTCCTCTAGAACATAAATTAAATGCTTATTGGGAGAATATGCAGACTTGGACCAAAAGAGCAAAACCAAGCAACTTCAAAATAATATATTTTAAAGAATATCAAATTCAAGGTCACCTTTTAGACATGCTCAAAATGACACATACACACACAGGCACATAATACTTACATGCCAACCTGACACTAGTGAGTTAGAGTCACTCAGAGGGAAAAGTTGTAAAGCCTAATTTGCAACAAATTGTATTAAGAGCAAAGGATTATTGAATGATTTTAGAAAATGTGCATGGCTTCACTATTGTAGTTTTGTTCACTCTTCTGTATGTAGAATATTTTAGATGCAGAGAGAGTTAAGAACTCCTTACCTGCCACAGTAAAACATACTAAATGACTGTGAGGAAACAATATACAAAGTCCATAACATTAGCATCCACATAGCTCCTTTAGTGAGAAAGGAATTAGAGACATCCTATTTTTCTTATAGCTAAACTGTCCTGTAATTTTTTCCTAGACAACTATGTTAAAATGTCAGT
This sequence comes from Homo sapiens, assembly GCF_000001405.40. NCBI lineage: Eukaryota > Metazoa > Chordata > Mammalia > Primates > Hominidae > Homo > Homo sapiens. Next base: position 117,312,858 of record NC_000003.12, on the reverse strand, counting down.
CTATGATGCCTCTTTCAAGACTTGTTGATTGTACTCAAAAAGCCAAAACTCAATAGGCTGATACAGAGCAGGTAACCTAGTTTCACGAATTTAGGGCTTTGGGGTCTGTTGACCTCAAATCAAATTCTGCTTTGGGCTTTTAAATGATATGTAACCTTAAGCAAGTTTCATCTTTCAAACTCTCAGTTTCCACATCTTTAAAAAACAGTAATGGTCTCTATTTTCCTATCTTTTGTGGGGAGAAGAATTATCTAGGTAATATACATAAAGCAGTATGTCTGGCCTGCAATAAATATTCAAAAAGACAGTGGTTATTTTAGTGAAAGAACACTGGGCTGGGGAGCAGCAACACAGAGGCCAAAAAGAACTCTATCACTAACCATTCTTTTGACCTTGGGTAAATCACTGTCTTTCAGGGCCTTCATTTTTCCATCTATAAGGAGATTTATATTCAGTTTCCTTCTAGACCTCAAACTTTGTGGTCTACATGCTTACCACTGCCCCAACAGAAAATAACACTTTTTTTTACCACTAACAGTGGAAGTATCTGCTAGCTATCAGAAAATGTTATCACTCATTTTTGTTGTCACAATTTCAAATAAAAAATAAATATTATTTAAGTGCCTGTAGTGTTGTTCTGAAGCTTTGCAGACTTTTTACAAAATGAACATCTTTCACCAGCATGTCTGCAGGGTGGAGGAATAGTGGCAAGGATGGCCATTCACACTTGACTGAGGCCACACTGAAATCCAGAGTATCACAGCACCCTTCCATGCAATCCTTACATTCATCCTGAGGGCAATGAGGACATTTGCTGTTTACATTGTAGGGTATAGATTCTGGGACATATTGGGTACCTATTATGTGTTTTTTTTTTTTTTTAATAAGTGGGAGTAACTCACAGGGTAGAAAAGAGGGGATTTTCTCTTGATCACAGTAGAGACGAATCTTTATTTTTCTGCCCTTTGTCAAGGTAAATAGGACACAAACTCTGCCAGGATTTCACCTTCACATCACTGACTACACGAGAATATCCCTCCATGTATGGATGGGTGGCAGAGGGAGGCACTTCTTCCCTCAGTTCTAACCCATTCCAGTCTCCGATCCTGGATACATCCACCTGTTTTAATTCTCCCTGACCTTTCATCTCAGAAAGACCCTAAGGATACAGAAGATCATTGTAGTCAATACTGGATCTCAGGAGAGATTTTTTGTGTTAACTAGAAGTCTAATGGTAGCAGAGTAAAATAATGGAGGGAAAGTATATGACCTCTGTGATGCTGAGCCTGGGACAAACTCTATAGCTTCTGGGTTCATAAAAAAAAGTCTGCAATAGAGGGCTGACTGAATAATTGATCAACAAAATATCAATAGAAATTTCATTCTTAGGCAAATATAATAATAATAGAGATGACTGTAAGTTTCTAAAGAGTGGTATAAAAGCGGAAGTGTGGTGTTTCTATCTGTCTTCATTCAATTAGATATTGAGTAGCCATAGACTTGTAGAACACATGGATGATACAAAAAGAAGGGGATCTATAGGGTGTTTAATACACACACACACACAAAATAACTTAAGCACACACAAAATCCCATACAAATTTGTGTTTTACCAAAATGATGAAGAGTTGAGAAGATAAAAATGAAAAACAGCTGGAGTAGTAGATGAGTTAAGCAGGCTAAGACTTCCTTGTTGACCTGAACTTAAATTGTGTTCTGAGTGGAAGAGAGGCCTGATGTCACAGAAAGGAGAAAAATAAATCCCACAAAGGTTACAGATAAGCAGATGCAGAAACAGAGAGGTAGAAATAAACAAATCCTATTAAAAAATGAGTCAGAATTAATAATTTTAAATAGTCTAAAGAAATCATGTTGTAGTATAATGGAAGATGTGCTTGGTGAATATTATGCATGTTCTTGAAGAGAGTTTCAAAGTATATGTAGAGGATTCTCAAGTTAATATGCAACAGGAAATATCTGTTCTTATCTATCTGATGTCTTGTTAAACCCTCAACCGAGGAACTTTGTTCCACAAGTTACATGTAGGAGGGGACTATAAGATTGTCACTGTGATCTAAGCTGAGTCCCAGAGAAAAAGTAAAAACTCAAAAATGTCTGCAACAGGTGCTGATTTGGGAAGCTACTCATAGATGGTTATGTTGACTCCTTCCTGTCAGATCAATTGGGAATTTAAAGATTTATAATAATTTGAGTTTTTTATAGAAATTTTAGGCAACCTTTATTTTATTACCACACTAAGATCAATTTAGCTAAGAGGTGAACCCAATAACCCCAAAGCCATTATGTGTAGTAGGACAGGTTATGTCATCATCCAGAATAATGTTCATTAATCTGGCTCAGATCCAAACATCTCAGATAAGAATGTAGTCCAGGGCTTTACTGTGTCAGCTTTTTAAAGAATTCTTTTAAAATCTCCCTTTAGTCATGATATTCATAATACTCTTCCAATTCCCACCTTTATTTCTATAGTGGTCTCAATAAAATAAATAATATAAAATTACATTTCTCATGACTTATTATTGCATTTTATTATACCAAATTTTGTTTGTTCTATATTTGGTTCATAAGTATCAAAATTAAATTATCCTGGCCGGGCGCGGTGGCTCACGCCTGTAATCCCAGCACTTTGGGAGGCCGAGGCGGGTGGATCATGAGGTCAGGAGATCGAGACCATCCTGGCTAACAAGGTGAAACCCCGTCTCTACTAAAAATACAAAAAATTAGCCGGGCGCGGTGGCGGGCGCCTGTAGTCCCAGCTACTCGGGAGGCTGAGGCAGGAGAATGGCGTGAACCCGGGAAGCGGAGCTTGCAGTGAGCCGAGATTGCGCCACTGCAGTCCGCAGTCCGGCCTGGGCGACAGAGCGAGACTCCGTCTCAAAAAAAAAAAAAAAAAAAAAAAATTAAATTATCCTGAACTTGGTCTACTATGACTTTAATAAATTGATATCACTTACAATTCTCTCATCTGTTGGCTAGCAAAAAGATCATGAAATGTAAAGCCTAACCTTAAAATAAAGTTCTTCCCAGCCCAAATTTGATTAGTAAATCAAATTTATGAATTAATCATTGCACATTGCTTGGGGATTACTGTGTGCACATGGAACTGTGTGAACAGCTGTAATCCCAGCACTTTGGGAGGCCAAGACAGGCAGATCACTTGAGGTCAGGAGTTTGAGACCAGCCTAGCCAACATGATGAAACCCCATCTCTACTAAAAATACAAAAATTAGCTAGGCTTGGTGGTGAGCACCTGTAATCCCAGCTACTCGGGGGAGACTGACAATAGCTTGAACTTGGGTAGTGGAGTTTGCAGTGAGCGGAGATCATGCCACTGCACTCCAGCATGGGCTACAGAGCAAGACTGCATCTCAAAATAAATAAATAAATAAATAATAAAATAAAGGTCTTCTTATATCACCACAAAGATTTTTGTTTGTTGAATTTCTTCAATCATCTTTTTTTTTAATTGAACATATTTCACAAAGGGAAGGATTATCTCCAAGTATCCACAAAGAATCAAACTTCTTATAGCACTTTTTTGCTTGTTCCTTTTTGATGACTTCTACTCTTAAAAATTATTTTTTTGAGCTACAGTCACCGGGCTGCTTCTCTCAGAAAAAGAATGTCCATTTAACCCAATACATATCAGGGTGTACTTTGCCATTTCCAAAATAGAAATCGTTTTCTTTGTGTTGGGCCTTATACTATGTATTTTAACTTTTGACTTATTATCTTAGTCATGTCAGAATGAAAAATGGATCTCTCTAGGGACTTCCATTATGTCAGATTGAAAAATCATCTCTCTTGACTGCTTTGGGCAACTGCATGTTCGAAGCCCTTTTGCCTCATTTCTCATTGTGCTCTGTAAGGCTATGCTGCCTTCCTGCTTTCAGGCCCATTTCCACTGCTGATGACAAATCTCACACTCAGGGGTCAGACCAGTTCCATGTGCACACAGTAATCCCCAAGGAATTGGCAATGATTTATTCATAAATTTGATTTATTAAAAATATTCCCATTACCTAAAGCTATCTACTGCCTGAAATGTGGGTTTATATACATGTGTAGCTGTGAAGTAGAATTATTTTACAGACATACACACATCCAAACACACATACAACAGTGGATTGAGTCAAAGGTCATGTAGAGGAAGCAAGATTTTCTTTTAAATGTATTCGCAATTTGCTCTAAGAAAACTTTCTATTGCATAAGCTTTCTGATCTATGCAGTAGTTAATCTTGGGCTTAGGAGACTGTGGAATTGTTCTTTGGAGGACTATAGTGCTCTTCCTAGGAGATCTGGGACAAATTCAGTCTCTAGGGCCTAATTCAGACCCTCTTTAAACCATGGGAGAGAATATTTACGACTTCACTCTCTTATCCAAATGATCTCACTTCCTCTCTCTCTCCATCACCTTCTCAATATTCTTAATCTCTTAACATTTTTGACCACTTATGGTAGATACGAGAGGCAGAAAGACAGGAAGATGTGTGGGAAGCTTTCTCATCTGCCTTCCTCATCCCTCCCATTCATATCATCCAAGACAACATGAATACAGCTGTGCTTCAGCTGGCCTGGCCTATGGTTATACGTTTTTATATCTTTCCCCATTCTCTCAGACCTTCTCTTTGATACCTTCCCAATCACTCTGGGCAGAAGGGATTTCTACTTTCCTAGCTCTATGATAGTACTTCCTTTGCACCTCTCATGTGGCACTGGAACATTCTATTTCATAGTATAGTGATTTTTCTGCAGATCCTACTTATTTTTCTATACTGTCGACCCCATGAGAGGTTGTACAACTTCCAAGACTGAACAGCACCTAACTTAGAGCTTTGTATCCATCGCTGTTTGTTTTCACAATGGCCGCTACTGAATGAGTACATCAGGGGAGGCCAGGAAAGCAGTGATAAATTAATGAGACTGTTGAACAAGAAAATTTAACTACTACGTCTGATGTGATGGAATGCTCATCAAAGTGTAATGATTCATTCTTGAATTTGAAATAAAGGAAGCGTATATGTTTAAAGGGGATTTTAGCTGATAAAAAGTCACTGAGGCATTAAACATTGTTATAGTGACCCTTATTACTGAAAATTGGCATTTCTGTTTAAATGGCACTCTATAAAATTAGATTTTTTAATAACACATTAGGCGAATACACTATTCTGGAGGTTAAATTTAAAATTCTTTAGAATGAAGAATAAATAGTGCAATAAAGCAGAATATTCCAAACAAAAAATGTAAGTATTGATTTGACATTAACTTTAATAACAACAAACAAAAACTGAGAGTTGTGAGCAAGAAAATAATTTTAAAATTCTGTTTTCTTCCTGGGTTGCTTCCATAGAGTTAGATTTTGTTGTTGATTAATCCTTGAAGTTCATCTAATCTGGACACTTTAATTTATGTATGGAAACAATATCTGAGGCTTAGAAATGCTAAGTGGCTGAGATACCAAGACATGAGAGGCAGGAAGACAGGAAGATGTGTGGGAGGAAGGTGTCATATGGCTTAAATCTTTATTCAAGCCACATGACCAAAACCACAGATAATACAAACCACAACTATTTTTTTTACCTACACTTTTGACTAAATAAATTTATATTATATAAATGTATGACTATTACATGGGTAAGAACAAATAAGCAACAAGCAAAACAAAATAAAATCCCATTTTTAAGTACCCTTTTATTAGGACACATAATTTCTTAACTATTGAGATATGGATTGAGAGCTCATGTGCACCAGGATCACCTGTCCATGTACAGTAAAGCCACTTATAGGACACAGGGAGTGGGAGTAAAGGAACATTGGGTGAGGTGGTGATAATTTCACTGGTCCTATCATAGTTAATTAGTTTGCTAGGACACAGAAGTTGTTTGTCCCCGAAGCTCATGTTACTAGTAGGAGAATAATTTTTTAATGGTATCTTTATAGTTTGTATTCATTTATCTATTTAAAACAATTTTTGTGTGGCATTGGATAAAGAAGGCAAAATTCCTGCTCTTATTAACCTTACATTCATGGTAGAGAAGGTACAGGAAATAAGATGCATTAAACAAATCCTTATGTATGTCAGGATGGGTAAGTATAATATCATATAAAGAACAGCAGGTTAAGGGTGTGCCACATGAGAGAAGGTGATCAGGGAAGGCCTATCTGATAAGATAAAAGCCATAATACTGTTCACAGACATATCCTTCTTCATAGTACATGAGAGGAGACATTGTTTCTCTTTGGAAAGGAAGGTTCACCTAAAGTAGAAAATTGGGAAGTGAAAATCATTAGTGATTTGAGCCAATGACCTCACAGAGTAGACAGGGCTCCAGGGCTCATGAATTTACCCCATCACCTACCTGCCTCAGGGCATCATGCGGTTGGTGACAGTTTTGGAATGAGAGAGAAGCACATGAAAGTAAGAAGGCTTATTTCTAGAGTGATATCAAAGTAACCTGTCCAGTCACTCCCTAGCCAACATTATGCCCTCTCAGTCACAAAGAATCCTGTCTATCAAATGAAAGCAGATTCCAGAATAGTCCATTGTCCAGAATGTAAACCTTTAAAAATATGAACTTAGAGACACATTTGATATTAAACTTGAAACAAAAAAACCTGCATAATCAGTGGTCTCAATATGTTTGTGCCATCATCAGTGGAATGAAAACAAAAAGCCACACTTATTATTTCTTCTTCCTTTTCTCTTCAACCATATAATAATTTATCTATCATGGCACAGAAAATGTTCTTATATATATTTTTTAATTTAATAAAACCCAGTAACAGGCTTTTATACATATTCATAGAACTTGATTAATAATTGATGAGAAGGCCTGGGGCAGGTGGTTGAGAATAAAAAACATTTAGCACGGAGCAGAGTGGAAGAAGGAGCTCTCACTCTAGCCTCAGTCCTGATGGGAATAGAAGCAGAGAGGAAAAGGAGGAGAAGGTGGGGGCAGACACAGTGCTGAATGTCATCAGTGCAGTGTAATTTCCTTGATTTACATATTTAATTGCTTCATGTCTTTAGCAGTTGTGTTCTAAGATTCTGGCACACTTTCTGGGAAATTCATCTGAGAGTTGAAAAGGCTGTGTTGTGTCAGAGGGGAAAATGAAACATGGACCTATTTGTCCTCAGGAGCTGAAGAGGGGTTATTGCCACTAGTTCTTGAGTTAAGGGACTCTATCAACTGATTTCTTCCCAAGACCTAGTTTTCCCAGAAAAGATATTGTTGGGGTAGTAAAATATATACCTGTATCTGGGAAACAGGGAGTTTCATAATTAACTAAAAATACATTTACCCTAATGCCTTACTAAATAAAAATTCCTTGTATTTATATGGCCATTGATGGTTTACAAAACACTTTCACTTAATCCTCATAGCAAGTCTCTGATGTAGGCATTATCATCTCCCTTTTTCACATGAGGGAACTTAAATATAGAGAGGTTAAGTGACTTGTCCAAATCCCCTGTAAAATACAAACCATGCTTTAAATGCAGTCCGTCTGGATTCTAATCGAGGGTTGTTTCTACCAGGCAGGCATATGGCTCACAGTGTCAGGATGCAGTCCACACTGAACACCTTCACATACGTTTTGACACATCTACAGATCTTGGCTTAAATTCCCAGTGATATCACATCATAATATGATGATGCTCAAAGTATTGTACTATGTTATTGAGCCAGGTAAAATAAAAAACTTGAACATGCCATGTAAATATTTAGCATTAGCAACAGTAGGTAAATTACAATCCCAAATAAAAACCTATGAACTCCTATCAATTAAGCAAATAATATAGAAAAGGTGAAGACCTTAATTTCTTGACACCTCAAAAAAATTAAATAAAAAACAATCCTGAATTTCACAATGTTATTTAGTAATCCTCTTTCATTTTTAGTAACGTATTTGAGTAACTTAGCATGGTCATATTGAAAATAAAACAGAAAGTCAGGAGATACAAATTGGCCATCTTACAAATATCTGTGAATAGGCAGTGGCAAAAAAAAAAACTGGAGTGATCAGACCGTTTGTTTTCATTATTATGATCCTCTCAGTCCCAACCAACACACTGTACTCTGTGTTTTTCTAAGTACAGAAGCTGATATTTGAAGCTTAGTTCATGTGGAGTGTGCAAGTAGGCAAGGCCAATGTTAATTCATCATCATGATTTTTCCTATGCAGAAAATAATTGTTTATTTAAGATCTGGGTAGTGAAAATCAAAGTAATATTTAAAAAACAATGGCAATTCTGGCCACTCAGCCTCATTTTCTGTTGTGAAGACAATGATAAGTAATAAAGGAGCAGTTGATGCATATTTTAACAGAAATGAATCATTGCATAAATGTTAACTACTTACTTATTAAAACTTAACTACTGTCTATAGTTCTTAATGACAAGTACAGAAACAAATGATTATTTTTCTCCCCTTGACATGCTCAAAGAAGCAAAGAAATTTCTCCCAAATTTCTCAGTTGTTGCTACTCTTCATGATTATTTCAAGCAACATTTCATGAGGCTTTTATTTGGCTGTGTTCTATTGGGTAATTAATGGAGTATTTTTTATTTGAAGGGTATAAATCAATGTCAGAGTAGCAAAGTCCTGATTTTTCAAAATTTCTTCCCTGTACAGTAACTTCTTCAAACTTATAGTTTCAGATTATCTTGATACCCAGGTTTGAATGGCTCCTCTTAGTGACAGAATAACTTTGTCCCATTTGAAATGTCTCTTAAACATATTTGCTTCTGGGTACAACTACTTGTTGAGTAATCACATCGTTACTGACTTCCCATTTTTTTCCTAATGATTGTAGAAGGCTCATATTTGTTATTTTGTGTAGGATTAGCTCTTCAACTAATAATGGTTCTTCCTCTTGTTTAGGATCTTTGGAGTCTTGAGATTATTTTTTTTCATTTCTTACACATTATGGATTGCATAATGTAAATGAAGGCTTTGGGTAAAAAATTGAGAATTTTAGCAATGAGAACATTCTAACAGCAAACAAATATTCCCTTGTTGACAGCCTATTTCAACAAGATTTGACTGATCCCAGGGACCTGGTTTAGGATTATGTTTTGAAGTGACACTCTAAGGCTTTGCAAAGCATTTCCTCAATATTCTGCTGCTGAATGGCTTATATTTTGATAACAGCAGATCTTCCATGGCAGCCCTTCCTTCTCAATGATTGCTTACTCAGCTCTTCCAGTCATAGCACAATACGCCACAGTCAGTGACTAATATCTTCAGTTGGAATATAAGCCTTTATGAATGTCTCTTAACTTTATAGGACACTCTTAATGTAAGCCAGGAAATTGCATTTTAAGAAAAATTCCTTTGTGCCCAAATGTAATCTGAGAAAATCTTTTCTCTCATTTTGGCTTTACCTCCCCTTTCCTTGGAAACCAGTTCTTTGCAGGTAATCTGTAGCTTCTTAGAATTTTGTTCTTCCCCACTCTATCTGGGAAGCTTTATGCTCCCTGCTACAGATATTCCACAGGCAAATCAGAGAATCACAAAACTTCTTTAGAGTAGTGATTGCTAAACACAATTCTGCATTAGAATTACATCACATGCCCTTTAAAAGGGAGATTTCTTATTACTTCCCACTGAATTTCAGAATCAGTGTACCTAAGGATGGGATCCAAGAATCTGTAACTTTGTATAGCCTGTCAGGTGATTTTGATGTATAAATAAATTTCAGAACCACTACCTAAAATGGCTATTTTTGTACCTTTACACATAATAACTTAGGTTCTGTTGCATACTTGGTATTCTCTGATTTAATTTACAAACTATCTTCTGTTCTTTTCAGTGATTTATTTATCTGCAAATATTTAATTTTTTATATTTAAACAATGAATATACAGGATTTTTGGCTAACAAATGCAATCATTGGACCCACCTATGCCTTCAGACCTATTAAGAATATTTATAATCCCTGGAGAGGAATATAAATTTTTATAATTTAGTGAAGGAGTATAAAATACCAGAACCAATATTTATTCAGCAGTAAAATAAAATGGCTAGTGAAAAACTCTAAGGTTGGGAATCCTCAGTTCTTAGAGGAACTGACTGTCTCTGTTACAGTTGCGGGAAATGAGTTAGAAGAGACAATGAAAGGGTCGATAGATTGGTCTGAAAAACAAATGCAGTGCTCTTTCTGGGAGACTATCCAAAACGAACACAGGAAATTTCAGTTAAACATTGGAGGGTAGGGCACATATTTGCAGATGAACAACACACTTTTATTCTTCACTTACTCGGCAACCATGCCTTCATTCTCTGGTGCTGCGACACAAAGTGAGTTTCCATATGTACTATAGAGACTGCTAACGTACAAGATAAAAGGAATAGAGAATATGTGGCATCATAATTATCCTACATAAAGAGGTACAGCCTTCTACAACCGTCATGCTAATCAAAGTTTCTAAAGAGAGGGAAATTATATATCTCCAAACAGAGTTGAAACTAATGTAGGAAGTAGCCATATTGATTCTACACAGAGAGCAAAACAGGGGCACATATTTGAAGGTGAGACACATGAAGTGGGGCCAAATAATGTACAAACATAACTGAACTTGCCAGCTTGAGTATAGGAAAAGCTTCAAGCATGTATTCTAAATGATCAGTTAGCATTATAATCTATGTCCCTAGAAATAAACGCAGATATATGTAGTAATTAAGACTTATGCCTGATTTGTCTCTTGGTCTAACCAGTTGAACAAACAGTATCCGCATCCTGTCTGCCAGTTGAACAAAGGGTATCCACATCCTGTCTGTCATCTACGCAACAGTGCCCAAAATCCCATGTGGCATTCAAGGCGATAGGGTTCATAACAGGTACTTTCTTCAGATGGCTGTCTGGGGAACACTGAGATTGGGGTTAGTCAAGTACAGGAAGTAAAACTGGAATGCAGTTGAAGATCATCCAGGACTACGGAGTCGAGAGGTTACCTAGAATCAGTGGACTAATATGAATTGTCTTTTACTAGTAATACTTTGCCTTTGGCTTTGCTTTGGTTTACTCTAGGCTGTTGCTGTCCTCTTGCACCCATACTTTTGGTGCGGGTCTACGGTTTTCATCCAGTATTCTATGCCCCCACCATCATACCATTTCCAGATTTGCCTTCTTTAGGAAAAGTCCCTTTATATAGTGAAATCGTCTTTTTTCAGCATTTCCACCTATGTAAGATGATGGAATATGATGGTCCTTAGCGTATAAATGTAAACCAGATATGTCTCTTTCATACATTTATTTACTAATCTAGTAGAGGTGATATCTATTCTATACATACTTTCTTGTCGCATTTCTGTTTTTATTCATTTAACAAATATGTAATGATTGCCTTTTCTGGGCTATTGCACTTATGAGCAAGAGGGCATATGCGTTAACTAGTTCAGTACTATAACACACCTATTTTAGAAAGAAACACCTAAGGACAGGATTGCTAGTTTTAATGCAAACAAATGAGCTATCAATGGAAATATATCAAACATGGGTTCAAAAGATCTTCCTATGGGAGTAGTAGCAGGCAAAAGGTAGAATTGCTTAACTCCTCCCAAAAGGTGGATGCCTACTCTACTTTAGCAAAGTTCCCAACAGTGAGATAATGAGCCAAACACAATAGAACTTATATAACATTGACTTTTACATATTCTCATTAGTACACTGTTCTACATGCGCTAACTATACCAGTCCAAACTATGAAACCCAGAGTGCAGCATCCTTTGGAACCCCAATCATTGTAGTGATTAATAATATTGGCTCCAGAGCCCATCTCTCTAGGTCTGAATTTTGTCTTCAGTACTATCTATACATGTGACTGTCAGCGAATTATTGTCTCAACCTGCCTCAGTTTCCTCACAGGTAAAATTGGGATAAGAGCAGTACATACCAACATAATTAGGATTCTGTGAGGATTAAATCCATTAAAACAGGTAAAACATTTTGAAGACTGCATGTTGAATAGTGTTATCTTTCTTATGATTATTCACGGTCTGAACTAGGCTGTATGCTTTTTTGTGAACAAGCATGTTTTACTTCTTTATGTTCCTCACATGTGGCAGCTGCTCAGAAGATGTCTGTGAACTTAGCACGTCTCGCTTCATAGATTCATAAGACATTGGTTATGCCTCCTTCTTTGGATATCTGACATATTTTTGAAACTTTTAAATTCTAATACTATTTAGGGCCCCCTTTTTTCTGCTCTACGTTCTATGTAAGGAGACCTATCAGAAACTCCGGGAGAACAAAGTGATAGTTCACTTTGTGTGAACAAACATTGTGTGTTTCATGCACACCCATTCTCCCATTCTTCAGTAATTAAGACAATAAATTATACTTGTTTGAGACAGGCTTGAAAGAGTTCTCTGAATAATCATGTATTTCTTATATTGTGTCAAATTAAATGTAAGAAAATGTGCCCAAACCAAAGTGTGACATAAAAAGAGTTGTGACCTTTTATAAAATGGGATAATGAAGTGAGATTAACATTGGAGGAGGGTGCTATTTGGACTGCCCTAGAGGCTGCAGTTCTTTATCTGGAAAGTACCAATGGTATGGCAGCCTCAGCAGCTGCAGAAACTTTCCTAACAAATTGCCTCCTCTGCAGAGGCAAAACGTAAGAAATAAATGAGTTTCCTGAAAGTTGGAGATTCTACTTAGATAAACACCCATATATTTCAGGGTTATAAATATTTTTAATATGGATTAGATTTAGGAGTATTTGACTTGACAATACCATTTTATGTTTAAGAAGTTACTTGCTATTCTATTATCATCAGAGACATTATGTGTTGTGCATTAGATGTTCATGTTGTTAGAGTGGCATATTATGAATCATAGAGGATGTTTCTCTCCCCATTCTAGGAATGTAGAAAGAGAAACATTTACACTTATATTCATACTGGTGGGGAGGGGGTTGTGTGTTTGTGTTTATGTGTATGTTTTATCACAAAAGAGTAGTTTGTTGTATCTATCTGGGGTAATAAAATTCCTGTCTTTCTTCCTTAACAAGAAAGGTTCCTTGGAGGATGTGAAGTTGGATAGGCACTTTGATGAAAAAGAATAAAAGCATAATAGGTTTAATATGTAATGGGAAGTGGCTTCAAAGAAAAAAAAAGGACAGAGTAGATTATGAACTCTCTAGAAAAAAATAAAATGACATATATAAGGTTAAGATAGCAGGAAATTAGAGGGGGGAGATAAGTATTTTTTTAATAACTGTCAGTGCAGCAGTGTCAACTAAAATCTACCCTTAATGGATTTTCAAGTGTGACATACATGAGCTATGGTAACAATATAGAGCAGTATGTGGTAACTGAAATAAAAATAAAAATCTACAATGGGCATTATAGTTGTTGTAGATGAGAGGTATAATGTTGAATAAATTCAAGGCAACAGATTAAGAATAGAATTTAAAGCTGGTGATGATATCACAAATTAAATGTTTTAATCTCAGAGCAGGAGAGTCAAGGTCATGTACTGAAACTTCCTCCTATTTTTGAAATATTATTTGTTCTTATAACATGACCAGGCATGAGGAAGAGGATAAAGTGGCAAGAATGTCTTTCATGTTCCATGTATGCATTACATGACAGAAGAGGTCAAGGTGGGTGGAGCAGAGGAGTGTTAGGAATTTGAAGAGGATTTAGTTATCTGTGTTCTACAAGCCAAAGCTAAATATAGGGGCTACAGACATAAGGAGTAATGGATTTGAGAAACATATAAGGGAGACTTGCAGTCCAGACTATGGAACCTCTTCAGACAGGGGGCGGGGAAAAAGAGAAGAGGAAAACGTTCTGATACTGAAGATGAAGCAAATGTTCCCCAAATCAGGAGAAAACCAAAAGGAAGATACTCATAAACCTATGTTAACACCAGGATGATAGTAGGTTCTGAGACCTTCAGGGTTAGTTAGAACAACTGAATATTGACTTCTGCAGTTGTGCACTCTGACACATCTCCAGTCTCCTTGAACTCTATTTTGTTGCAATTTATCTTTTCATATGTGCTCAAAAACTTGTTTCCCTTAGCTTCCACGTAAGTTAGGAAGTGTGGAATCTTAAGGTATCTATCAAATATTTAGATCTGGAAAAGTCACTGTTAATTATTCTAAAATTTAAGACAGTGGCAGCCACTTACAAATATTCTTGTAAATTGGTAGCTTAAAAATGAAAAGATAAAAATGTTGATATTTAATAGGGCAATTAAGTCATTCTAACTATACATAAATAGCAGCATAATTTATGTCATTGATTGGAAGCCAACACACAGCAACACTAAAAAGATAAAACATGACTGTCAATATCTGTAGATGACTGCTCAGTGAGATAACACTCCAAAGAAAGGAAGGAAGAGAAATTGTTAGAAAGGAAATTATGGTGAAAGATTTGAAAGCAATATGTCAGATTTATGACATACCAAGTCTAATAGTCTGGTATCACTGCAATGTATAAATGTGGTTTATGATACATGACAGTTATCCTTTACCTAAAAATAGTAGATTTTTACCAACTTCCACAGCCTACTCTTCTAAGCAATGTATTTAAGATCTATCATCTATATATTAATTTGAGATATTTCTATACCTACTTTTGTTTTTATCTCTTGATGACGTTTTTAGGATAAAAAGAGGCAACGTGGATTGTTAGAAAAATCACTAGACCAAGAATTAGAAGTTTGGTTCCAGTTGCAGCATTTTTTTTGTCACCACCCATCACTCTTATCTGTAAATAAGATATTGAACTAGTAATATCTGAATGTTCTGTTACATCTAAAAGGCTACAATTGCACATATTTCACTCATTGAGAAAAAGAGAACTTTTAAAAAATGTTAGCCCAAAGTGGTAACTTTTATGATCTCTATGTCTAAGATTTAGTAACTATTTCTGCATTTTTCCTAGTTGTCTTCCTTTTTTATAAATTTCACTTGTGTCTCTTCCTAAGTACACAGAGACTTAGTTTTATAAATGGTCTCCCATATAGGTTCATAAGAGCCATGATATCAGGGCTGAATGCCTGCAATAGATCGCTTCTGGTGTTTGCCAGAGTTGATTCATCAGGGGGTGACTTCCTACCTAACTCTTCAATCCATTCTCTGTAAAGGCCTTTGCAGAGAGATGATAACTGGCGGTTGGCATGCAAGGCTCACTATCTTTCCAGGGTTTTGTACATTTATGTTATCTCATTTCCTATCTTTCATTTCCCTTGTCTGTTTTGTGTTTTGGTGATCAAAGTTATGTATAGCCCTATAGGTGTAACAACTACAATGGTTTGAACAGCAAAAAATACAAATAATTATTTTATTGGATCTTGTTACTTCAGTTAAAAACACATTGGGCTGATCACTGTAGAGAATAATCTACAACATTTATTATCCCTTTTCCTGAGTTATAACATGGCTTTAGTCTATCAGAAGGAGCTTGAATTACTTTTCTCTAAGTGTATTAATTACTGTACACCCACCTGAATTAAAACACTTTTGACACTTACTACAGTGTGAAATCTTCTATAGTTCCTCTCCACCTGCTTGTAATTTCCCTATCCAAAGTTCATGCTGCTATCACCTGTGAATAAAGTACGAAGGTAGGGGTGTGTGTGTGTATGTGTGTGTGTTTGGAGACCTGCAGAAATATTTTCAATGAAGTTACTGTTACAAAGTCAGATTGTAGATTGGAGAAAGAGAATTTATCTCTCTCTAGCAATTACTGAAGTTGTGTTGCTGTTTCAGTTTTCCATGGTCTTATTAATAATTAGCTGCTACCACTGCCAAGGTTTCTTTCTGTCAATTACCATTCTACAGAGAAATAGATTAAGCCCACCAACTACTTTTCTATTAAGTGACAGTAAACAGTAGACATTGTTGTCTGTGAAATGATCCTTATTAGAATATCAGCTTTCATTATTTTAATCCCTTGAGAAGAGTAATGATACTGTGGGTCCACCATCACTAGTTATAGCTATAACATTAGTGGCTATTTGTAAAATAATGTGTTCTACTTCAAAATTCTCTTTAGACATGACCTCCTTGACCATTGCATATGAAGGAATGCACTGGATAATAGGAACCACTCATCTGAATTTATAGCAATTAATTCATTTCCATTTTCATCATTGTTGCATTTTTATTGGTGACAGTTAATTTGGAAATTATGTAATTATATAGTCTTGAATTATATAATAAACTACTCTAATAATATAGTGCAGTCATTCAATCAGAACTCTCCAGAAAACCTGAAATTCATTTCTCATAGATTTCTTTCCAGCACAATTTTTGTTCTTAATCTTCCTGCTTTATTCTTATTACATCATAAGTCTTGAAGGACATGCTGAAAGTCTGTAGATGGGGGAAATCATCAGAGCATGGATTCACAGAAATTGTGTAAATTTTGGTTTGGTTTTCCATTGTTACATTTTTGTGCTGCCTGAATTTCTCTTTTAATTTGCAGTTTAAGCTACCAGAATATCTTATTGTTAGCACTCAACTTATATCTGTAAGTTTTATCTGGTTTTTATATTAAACAAAAGACAAACTAATTTTTTTTCTGAAATTGGCAGAAACTTATATTTTTCAAAAAGTTTTGTGACATTTGAAGTATTCTAAAAAAAATGTCAGAGTTTGCTAGGTTCTAGTTATATCAAGAAATTCTGGTCTATTTTAATACAGCCTGACCCCAGGTAGAGAATATTTTACAAATGAACTAAGGTAACACGTAGCATACCCAGACAGAAGTAAGCCTTGTTAAAATAGAATTCTGTTAAGGCAGCTTCTTCTCTGTTGTTCTCTATTCAAGACACTTAAATCTTGACTGTAACAGGACAGTATCTTCCCATCCTAGAAATCTGTGTGCTGTGCTCTCTGTGTGTGTGTGTCTGTGTGTGTGTGTGTGTGTGTGTGTGTGTGATGTGTAAGTATAACTGGAAGGATATAGTAACTTAAGGCTTTATAAAAGCAACAAAATATTTTGTTTAAAATGGCTGAATTCACACTCTCTTTAAAAAATGTTGCACATTTTATAATATATATTTATATACATTGAACTACTATTAAAGCTGTAACCTGCTACTTACTTTTAAATAAAGAACCAGCAAGAACACTTACTTGCAACTAAGAGTAGAGTTTTGGTCTGTGTTTTTCTGAGCTATTGAATCTTTCTCAGTTTTTAAAATATATTTCTCCAAATGCTTCCAGTTGGTCTGCGTATATTAGTCAGCGTGTGTAAGTGTTTATATACACACACTTGTTCTTTATTTATAATGAGCAAACGGTAATTTGCTCGTAGTTATTTTCTTAAGCAACAATTAAATTTAGCTACTTATTACATTTTATCATCCATGAAACTCACTGATGGACCCTTTTATCTGCCTCTCCACTCTGCCAGTTATTGTTCCTCAATAGGAAACAGATTCTCTCAACCTTGTTTTTTGAGTTTCCAACCCAAGTTTTTATAATGGTTTCCCTTTCTGTTTTTGAAAGTCATTATATATTGAAAGAAGAGCCAAAAATAAAATTAATAAAAAGACAAAATGACATCTGACCCAAAACCTTGGTAATTGACCCATTTCCTGGCCAAGTTGAACAAAACATAATTAGGATAGTCTTGCCACATCTGGTTCTTAATTCAGAGCCTCATCTGCGGGCTTATGAACCTATAGGGGAGGGTAGAGACCAACCGAGCTCTAATTGTGCTTTGTTAATGTAATCATTTAAATGATTCTTTTTCTAACGTATTATTTTCAATAGCCATTATATCTTTTTATGTTATGGTATAAATTGTTCTATTTTACCTCTCTGCCTTTGGAAGGGATGTTAAAATTTCAACAAGGGACATAAAAACTTACTGGTTTAAAAAAATCCTGAATATGTCCTGAATGGTATTGCCTAGGTTTTCTTCTAAGGTTTTTATGGTTTTAGGTCTAACGTTTAAGTCTTTAATCCATCTTGAATTAATTTTTGTGTAAGGTGTAAGGAAGGGATCCAGTTTCAGCTTTCTACATATGGCTAGCCAGTTTTCCCAGCACCATTTATTAAATAGGAAATCCTTTCCCCATTTCTTGTTTTTGTCAGGTTTGTCAAAGATCAGATAGTTGTAGATATGCGGCATTATTTCTGAGGGCTCTGTTCTGTTCCATTGGTCTATATCTCTTCAGGACATAGGCATGGGCAAGGACTTCATGTCTAAAACACCAAAAGCAATGGCAACAAAAGCCAAAATTGACAAATGGGATCTAATTAAACTAAAGAGCTTCTGCACAGCAAAAGATACTACCATCAGAGTGAACAGGCAACCTACAGAATGGGAGAAAATTTTTGCAATCTACTCATCTGACAAAGGGCTAATATCCAGAATCTACAATGAACTCAAACAAATTTGCAAGAAAAAACAAACAACCCCATCAACAAGTGGGCAAAGGATATGAACAGACACTTCTCAAAAGAAGACATATATGCAGACAAAAGACACATGAAAAAATGCTCATCATCACTGGCCAACAGAGAAATGCAAATCAAAACCACAATGAGATACCATCTCACACCAGTGAGAATGGCAATCATTAAAAAGTCAGGAAACAACAGGTGCTGGAGATGATGTGGAGAAATAGGAACACTTTTACACTGTTGGTGGGACTGTAAACTAGTTCAGCCACTGTGGAAGTCAGTGTGGTGATTCCTCAGGGATCTAGAACTAGAAATACCATTTGACCCAGCCATCCCATTACTGGATACATACCCAAAGGACTATAAAACATGTTGCTATAAAGACACATGCACACATATGTTTATTGCGGCACTATTCACAATAGCAGAGACTTGGAACCAACCCAAATGTCCAACAATGATAGACTGGATTAAGAAAATGTGGCACATATACACCATGGACTACTATGCAGCCATAAAAAATGATGAGTTCATGTCCTTTGTAGGGACATGGATGAAGCTGGAAACCATCATTCTCAGCAAACTATCACAAGGACAAAAAACCAAACACCGCATGTTCTCACTCATAGGTGGGAATTGAACAATGAGAACTCATGGACACAGGAAGGGGAACATCACACACTGGGGCCTGTTGTGGGGTGCGGGGAGTGGGGAGGAATAGCATTAGAGATATACCTAATGTTAAATGACGAGTTAATGGGTGCAGCACACCAACATGGCACATGTATACATTTGTAACAAACCTGCACATTGTGCACCTGTACCCTAAAACTTAAAGTATGATAAAAAAAAAATCCTGAATAATGTGTTACATTGTCTACCAAGCTTGAAGTTAGGCATTTGACAGAGCTAGCACATGTCTAGTGGATAGATATTCCGTTGAACCGGAAATCATGCTGAAGACCTTCAGGAAGTCACCTTAGTGACACTAAACACCAGTTCTTCCCTATAACTCTTTTAAAAAGTTGGGTGAAGGAGTAGAAAAGAGATCAATTTCGTCCACTGAGGTAGAGCCCCTTTACTGCTTGAGTTGGCTTTTCTTTTATTTATTTAGAATCAGAAGCATGCCCTAGAAAGTCAACTATGAATAAATAAAAGGGAAAAATTGCCTTATTTCTTCTTAATATCTTTTTTCACATTCTTTCTCCATCCTTTCCTCTTTTTTGTTTCTTCTCGTGCCTTTCTTGTACCTTTCTTCCTGTCCATTTTTCCCTTGCTGTGTCTTTTATTCCCTCCCTCATTTTTCTCCCTCCCTTCCTAAACTTTTAGTGAATTCTTCTTTTATACATTATAGAAAACTTGGAGATGTTACAAATAGTAGAAATACTTACAGACAGAAATTAACAAACTAATCAGATATTTCCTGCGACACTCTACTTTAAAACAACAATAAATGTATTCTGCCTTATCCCTGGATATTCATTATGGGATTTTCTCAGACCAGGCAACTGAAAGGATGATTTCTAAGGAAATATAGTACTCTTGCCTCACTTTAGTGGGCAGTAGCCCATGAGGCACCTGTTATGCTGTTATTATTGACATCATTGCTGCCTTTGTAACAGTATTAATTATAGGGTTTTGGGAAGGAAGATAGACATCTCTAAACAAGATGCTGAAAACTGAAAAGCAAATTTGGCTGGCAGTAGCTCTCCATTCTGTCTGCATACTGGAAACATTTAGGGAGCTTTTTAAAATACAGATGATTGAACCCCAACCCCGAACAATCAAAACAGAATAGATAGTAGGGTCTAGTATTGTATTTTTAGGCAATTCCCATCCAGGAAATTCCAATGTTCAGCCGTGGTTGCAAATCACTTGTATGGAGGAATTTGTAAGAAAGAAAAGGTAAACTCCATTAATTCCACAATTTTGAATTAATCCAAGATTAGAGCACCTTGTATCTCATTCAAGGTGGATTTTGTGTAGATGTAATGCAAGTGAAATAAAGGAGTGCATTGGTTCCCCCCTGTGGCCCCTAACATTCCTTCTAGAGACCCTTTGAATCTGTGTCTGAGGCTTTAGCTCAGAAACCATAGCTACCAGTGCAGCCAATGTTTAGGCACCTTCTTTCTCTCGTCGTTTTTGGGTGTTTCTTCCTTCCAGATGTTACTCTCCTCACACTGATGGGGCCTCAGACAGCGGCTTGTGGTAATGAACATAAATAGATTTAGGCTGGCCAAAGGGAGTCTGCAGAGATGATGGCTATAGCTCTTCAGAGTCTTGCAGAATAAATTGGGGCTTTAAAAGAAAAGAATAAGAGGAGAAACTAAAAAAAAAAATCTGTATCTGGAAGTCAGATTTAACTGGGGGTCTTGTATTCTTACTTGGTAAATCTGACAACCTTAGTCAAGGCACACACACACAAAAATAACAGGGTTTACAAATGTCCAGAATGTGAGGATAATAAAAAATAAGAACTCAAAGATTAAATATATGTGACCCCTATTAGACGAGTCTGGAAATTAGAGAACTTGACTTCCTTCTTTGAAAACCCAGCACCTATGTTTCCTTAAGAAAAAGAAGAGTGGAGCTTCTATTTTATGTTATTTCAGGCTTATGCTTAATGAGAGAAATTTGAGTTTCTATGCCTTTCCTGTGGCAATAGAAATTCACAAAAAAAGGGTTTCCCAGGAAGGCCACAGAGTTACCAGCTTATAGCCCAAGAGATCTCTGCAAAGACAGATGCTTTTGGTTCAAACAACAGTTGTAATCCCCAGACAGTGTTCTGTGCCAGGTCTGTGCTAACTTGTAAAGAAGCCTCCACACGTATAAAAACAGTCTTTTTCCACAACACAGCAGATTCCCTACCATAAGGTAACACAAATCTACTTCATTGCTGTAAGATCAGAGAAGTTTATAATAATTGAAAACCAGTATTGTATTTTATTTCATGGGGAAAATATGGGCTAGAATTGTGCTTCTTTAATCTACCTTCCCTGTGAGTAAGATTAGGCAATTCCCAAAGTCTTGTTTATAAATTAGTTAACTAACTGGTTTAATCTGTTTTCTAATAACCCCTAGTGGTTTCCAGTCAAATATGGCTCTTGGATGAAATCTATAATGTCAATTAACATATTTAAACAGAAGTCTATACCACTGCAGTTACTAAAAGAATTGTGGTAGGGCCAGGAATCGTTCTGAGCACATTCAAGGAAACAATTCCCTGTCCCCTTGGTAGGATTCTGCCATACTATTTTCCCCTTTAAATTAATCCTTTGGTCAAAAGCCAGAGATATACTCTGAGAATTTTATATTATTTTAGTATTCTATCCTGTAGAATGGCCATGGGACTGAAGACTAGGAAAATACAGTATATTAAAGGAATAGGCATTTGCATTCTCTCTCAGTGTCTCAATCAATAAATATTTGATACATATATTTGTTAAATGGTATTGATTGATTTCAGCAAGCATACAGGGCAGATGATTAGAAACATGCCCATTAGATACAGGCAGTCTTAGGTCAATAATTCTTGATTCCAAGATGTGGTTAGAGCCTTGGCTGGGTAATCCTAGGCAAGTCCTCATCTGTGAAATGGGGATGACATTTCAGCTTAATGATGGAGAATCGTTAGAAATGATGAATGATGATTCTATATGGAAGTTTGTGAATTGCTTGCTAAGTGTAATATACTGTTATCACCTCAGCGATTTAAAAAAAGTAAGGAAAACAAGGAAATAATGACACCCATACACACTAGCTCTTAGAAAGGTGAAGGGGAATGTGATGTTTCATGGTTTTAGTCCAGGTCTATAATCAAATTCTTGATACAGCCAAATTATATATTTGATCTTAAACTGCTAGCTATGATTTATCAAAATTTATTGGTTCTTATAGTTTAACACTTTAAAAAGCTAATATTTGATGCTCAATCTATAAATGTTAGCAAACACAGAAAAGTATGTAGAAATTAAAAATCTTAATTTGATCATCCTGACATAATATTAATACTTTCCTATGTTTTTATTTAGTCTTTTTATCCTGTGCACCTATGCAAGCATAAATATATATTTATATTTAGTTAATAATTCTATCATATCGTTTAATCTTTATGTGTTTTGTGTTTTTTATGGGTATGAGTTCATTTTTATAGAATTTTTATTTTTGGTTTTATTCCACATTATGAGGAAAATTTTATTTCTAAGATTAGACATTTAATAATATATTTTTCTATATTTTTTTATTGTTCAAATATTTTATTCTGATGAATCCCACAGCAATAGAGAGACCTGATAGCTTTTTTACAGCTGATAAAACTACTTTACAAACTTATTTCAAAATTTCTTCATGTTTGCATAGCGCAATGTACAAAATGTGGCAAGTATTTACCCAAATGTCCTTATTGATGGGAGGTACATTGATAAGGTATAACATAACTTTATGCTGACATATTGAGTGATACTTTCACCACCTCAGCTGTGACAGAGTTTGAAATAAACAGAATTTTCTAATATTCTAGAAGAGTGTGACAGATATGTCTTTAATCTCAGGGGAGTCAATATTGGAACTATATAAAATGGTATGAGCTTCTGCTATGTCTCTAGATTCCTAGGCCAGAAGAGATCACCAAAAGACAGGGGTATAGTTTCAGTTTGCTGTGTTCTATGGAATGATTCATTGAAATAACTCCCTCAAAGGAGTCACTTGAAATAGAGGGGGAAAAAAAAGATGATGTTGGAAGAAGACATGTCCTTGATTTGATGGCCAATGGAAAAAAAATCTCTATCTCTGCATTTATATTTATGTCATCTAATTTAAAACACTATGTGAATTTAAAGAAGTATCATTAGATAGAATAGTTTAATTCTTTTCAGCTTTTTACAATATAGACAGATAACATGAGATACATGAGAATATAGTGAATAATAGGGAAGGAGTTTGTAATTCAAAAGGAATGTACATTTTGAACTAAAAAAATGGGCCTGTCAAGCCATTCATATGGTGACTGCCAATCCTAAAATACAGAAACAAAATATAAACCCACACATATATCCCAAACTTTAAATGATGTATTTATTTTAAAACTACCTACCATATAAGCCAAAAGACAAATTTTTAAACTAATACCTGTGCTCTATTGTAACTGACATTTCGGCTATTCTATCTGACAACATTCTCTAAATTTTTGGTCATTGAAAATAAACCAATATAGAATCTGATCCCTGAGGCAGAAAGTAAAAAGAATGAGTAAATCAGGCTATAAAAAAACTAGATTTAAACTCAAGTTGATTTTAGCTTAACAGAAGACACACACACACACACACACACACACACACACACACACACGCATAGGTTCTTTATTTGAAAGTTTTATTAAAAGATTGACATTTGTAGTACCTAGAGTGAAAAATAAAATTTTACCAACCAGAGAGATAAAATTAAAAAGCAAAAGCAAAAGTAAGATTCATCATCCAACAATAACCAATATGCACTATGTACTAAGACAATGATAATGTACTTTAAGATAGACCATTTAAGGAAGTTCTTCTTGAGAAAGTAACTTTTACTGAGACTTAAAAGATGAGAAGGTAACTAAACTGAGACTTAAAGGATGAAAAGAATCAAAGTACTTCTCCCATTGCCTACAGTACCCTGTTTATTTTCTTTATAGCATTTAACTACAAATTGTGAGTATTATAATTGTTTGTCTGTAAAGTTTTTCTTTCTTCCTCATAAAATGTGAGGTCAGGGAGAGCAGGGGCCACCAACTTGAGTATGTGGGGATGATATTGGTGCGGGTGAGTCAGTGAATGTAAGATAGAAGAGTAAAAATCATGCAGGAGCTACTCCAGGTGTCTAGGTGAGATCATAGTTTTTCAGAATGTGTAGGCAGCATTCAGAATTAAAAGATGTAGACAGATTCAATATAATGTATTAGAGCTAAAACCAAAAGCAATTGCTGATAAATAGGATGTGGTAGGTGAGAAAAAGGGAAGTAAACAGGGTATCTCCAAGTTTTCTAGCTTAAGTAATTCAGTGTGTGGATGCCTTCTTCTCAGGCAGTAAGATTTGAGTAGGAGACAAGTTTGGGAATGAAATCAAGAGTTCCATTTTAGACATTTTAATTGAATATATCTATGAGTCAATCAAGTGACAGTAACAAACGTGGTTAAATATGTTTGTCTTGAGTACCACGTTTAGGGAGACTGGACCTGGCAGTTTATTTCCACAGTTATTTATTAAGCAAAAAACAAATATTCTCAAATAATGTCTCAGAAAACAATTATTCATTTACAACTCAAGAAGCTTTTAAAATTAGAGCAATAAATGAATATTAGAGAATTAACAAAAAATAGAAGATAAAATAGATAAAACTGGTATTTTATGATCCTGGGAACTGGTTTTAGAGGGGGTCTTTGCAGGTGAACGAAATAAATAGATATCTTGTGAACTCAGGGACCACGTTTACAGATGAAATGTTTAAAGCAAGAGAGTTCCTCCACTTCTAGGTATCCATGTAGGGTTGGAGAAAAAGAAACAGTACAAGAAGATATTTTACCATAGGGATCTGCAAGATGGAAGAGGCCTGTCCTTATCTAAATGTAAAACCTGTCATTTTTCCCACTCCTGACCTTCTCTCCTATTCCGATTCTTTAGCCAAATGAAACATATTCTTCTGGGTTACCTCACACATTATAGGGCAGGAGGTACTGAGGTCAAATAAATGGAGGGACACAGGGTAGGAGCAAATTGGTGACTGTTCTGCCCCTCCATTTATGACTCCCCAATCAGAAAGCCCTCTGTGTTTATGAATATGTGGAGTTAGTGGACGCGTGATGCTCTATGAGTTTGGGATATTGTTGTTAGGTAGCTGGTGACTCCTGACCTTATTCTGTTCCTTTGAACCAGAGGAAGAAAGTTAATCAAATGACTAGGTAACAAATTTTGACTGGACAAAGCTCGTGCTCTTTTATGTAGGGCATAATTAACCTATGAAAATCACTGTTGCTGGACAATATTAAGCAGGTAATTTAGGAAGACTCTAAAAGGGGATTGAACATTTATATGAATATAATTAACCAAGGCAGTTTTAGAACCTAGAATAACAGCCTATACATCCCTAAGTCTTGATTTAGGCAATAAGCTGCTTAACTCTCAGAGAAGAGCCAATCTGTACTGCCCACACCCACTATAGAAAATGAGCATCTTATACATTGAGCCTTATATCCTAAGCAGCCTTTGCTAAGAATGACTGGAGTTAGGAATCTCTGACTATAAGAATATTCTTCTTAACCAATAAACGGATATTACCATTTATTCATTAATTGCCCCTCTCAACATTTTGAAGTTGATATCTCATAAACACATCTATTAGCCTTTTCCAGGAAGATGATAAAAAGACTATCTGAATTTGGAGATTATAAAATTCTAGATAAATATTATTGTAATGTTTATCATGTTCCTAGTTCTGGCCACTAAGTAGAATCCACAGAATCCTAACTAAAACAATATTTTTTTCTGGAAAGGTAGGTTATAGGGGAGCTCTGAAAGAATCTAAAACTGTTACATAGGAATATAAAAAGCACAGACATTGATTTGAAAAAAAGATTTAAGGGCTATCAATTTATGAGAAACACATTTCTTAGAAGATATTTTGCTGTGTGGGGACAGGACACATAGTTGCACTTATTCTGCCTGACCATATTTAAGTTGAGCCATTAAAGATGCTATTGCCTCATCCAGCTGTTTTAGGACAATTAGCCATGTGACAGCCAGATGGGAGAATAAGATGGCAACAGCCATTTCAGCACAGGCATATGTCTCTTCTTTGTTGAAAAAAAAGGGGCAAAAACAAGGCCAAGTGAACAATGCTAGTAGAATACATTAAGTTATCTTCCTTCAGTGTTGTTCATTGGTTTGGCTGCAATCTAAATCATCTTCCATCAGAGACAAGAGAGTGACAAGTCTTGACTGTTTTAATATTGTTTAAAGATTGATTAATTGAGCATCCTAGGTAATTTGAATTTAAATTAGTAAAAGTAATGATCCTTAATTTTTAAAGTTCTTGATGAATCACAAACTCTCATTAGCTTTAAAAGATTAGGGCTGAAGGTGAAAGTCTTTTGAAAACTGCTAAATAAATATTATTTTGCAGTGTTACTTCACCAGAGCTGAAATAGAAGTTATTATTCAAACGTTTATTTTGCTTTAAAATATCATACAAGCAAACATGTATTTTTAATTTTGCTTTCATCGTTTAAAACAAAAGTTCAAATCCAGGACACCCTGAAGAACAAGGGTGCAGTGGGTTCCTTTCTCATTGCCATTTCCCTGACTGGCAAATTCCCAAATTGGCCCTACGTGATGACTCCTTGTCCTGTCCATTTTAGGATTTTCATCCAGCCTAATAAAGAAAAAGCCTTTTATAAGTCTCTGCTCTAGCCATATGAGTACTTTGTAATGGATGTGGAAAGGCAGCAGCCCATCTCAGTAGACATCGACAAGGCAGTAAATAAATTTTCCACTCTGGGCCTCTGCCAAAAGCAGTCATCATTCTGCAGTCCCTGCTCTCCTGGCCAAGGAAAGTCACACAGAGCATTTGTCTCAGTCTCTAGATTATTATACAGGGAGGGCAAAGAAAGTAGAATAAAGAGAGGAGGGCGTACGTAACCTTGAGCCTGGAAATTCACCCCTGAAGGGTGTGGAAGGAGGGTAGGGAAAGTTAGAAAAGATTCTCTAACTTCAATATCTGTTTGTCAGACTGCACTGCAGAATTTTCAAAATGGTATTCCACAATCCCTTTGGATTGGTTGTATTTTTCAGCCTTTTCAATACTATGCATTTTATGATTTGTCTCTCATCTATTTCAGTTTTTACTCTGTTTTTTCAATCTTAGTAATGCTTCCATTTCTTATAAACTATTTCTCAAGCTTTCTCTGAAGGTTTGATCTGCCCTACCAGCCCAGACCTTTAATTTTTTTCTTAATTAATTTTTCCCCTATGTTTTTCCCTGAGGATGTAAAGAATTCACTCTTGCTTTCTGAGAATAGGAAGAGTAGACTCGTAAAACATGTGGTCTCAGTGTGTGAAGTGAATGGCATTTTTATCCTCTAGTCAAATCAGCTTCAGTGATTTTGCAATGTATAATATGGCTGTAGCACTTCTAATGCATGGAGACATTAATATCACCGATGGACCCATCAGGCACAGAAAAGTCAAAATCCTCTGCCCTGGATGTTGCCTTGTATGCCTTGGGTGAAGGGCTTCTCTTGCCTCAGCTGAAACCAAGTTTTATAGAATATGGATATGGATCATCAAATGAGATTTTTACAGTACAGTAAAGTGTGAATCTAATTGCAGCCAGAGCCAAAAAAAAAACAAACAAACAACAACAACAAAAAAAACAAACTGTAGCACAGAGGTGGTTTCAGGCAAGAAATAAAAGAGCCAACCTGGGTATGTTCATAAAGTGCTAGCCAGCCACGAGACCATTAGGATCAGGGAGCCCCAGGGTATCATAGTTGTACAGAAATGCTCAGGTGATACCCAAGGGCATTTAATTACATTATTCTAATTTGTATTATTAATGACAATATTAAAGCACAGGCAGACAGTTTGGTGGAAAATTTAGAAGAATCAAAGATGGCATAAATATTCATTTTCCCTCATCTCATCATTTTGCAAAAATACATACAGCCAGCCATTCACTTAATCACAGGCCCATACCCCAGTCTTCATCAACCACAGATAGGGCAACATGCCCTTAGGAACAGGACTCAGCAGATATTTGCATCTTGGCAATGCCACTCTCTTCCCTGCGGAGTAGTTATTCTGCCAGGTTGAGAATATTGCCCCTGATGTTTGGTGTCTCTTAAAATCAAGCCTAAACATGTAGGCTGAGTGAAGGAGCCAGGGAGAGAGGTATACCTGTTTTTGGCACTTCTTCCTCCATGCTCAAGGAGAATCTCAATACATACTAGAATAAATAAATGAATGATAAATTAAGCAAATGTATAAATGAACTGTAAAGTCATTTGCTGGAGGAACTTTTCGGAAAAAACAATTTGCTTAACTCTCACATGAATAAATGCAGGCCAGGGCCAGGCTACCATTCAAAAAGCTGAGTTCAGGTTTTCTGCATTTCCTTTCCAGTCAGATAAATGAATTGGGCCGGTGGTCCTTGAGAGGTCCAGAGAGACACCAGGTTAAAATAATTTTATTTCTGTGGTGTAACCTGGCCAATATTTTTGAATGTGGTGAATAAGACATTTGACATTAAAACAAGTATTCTATATATTTCAGTAAAAAATGGTATTTCGATATAAAATTGCAGCTGGGAAGGGAAAAAGAGAGGAAGATAAGCCTGCAGCAGGAAGAGAGGAATCCTCGTCTCACTGTTAGTGTCAGGTTTTCGTAAGGAGACTGCTTCATAATGACACAACTGGAAAGCAACCAGATGCCAACCCTAAATCTCAGCTTTATTTCAGGGAAGAGAACTTATATTTTCTTTTTCTTTTCTTTTCTTTTTTTTTTTGAGACAGAATCACTCTGTCACCCAGGCTGCGGTGCAGTGGCACAATCTCAGCTCACTGCAACCTCTGCCTCCTGGGTTCAAGCAATTCTCCTGCCTCAGCCTCCCAAGTAGCTGGGACTACAGGCACCCGCCACCATGCCTGGCTAATTTTGTTGTATTTTTAGTAGAGACAAGGTTTCATTACGTTGGCCAGGCTGGTCTTGAACTCCTGACTTCATGATCCACTCGCCTCAGCCTCCCAAAGTGCTGGGATTACAGGTGTGAGCCACCACGCCTGGCCAAGTCCTTGTATTTTTCAAAAAACCTTAACACTACAGATATTAAGAAAATTACATTCACTGTGGTAAATTAGCTCATCCTTGGTTTGTGTCTGAAAAAAGTCTTTGAAGTGATAAAAAGAGGTAGAAAGGAAAACTATCAGAGAGTTAAGACAAGAGTGAGAAAGAAAGAGTAAAGTTGAAAAGGAAAATAGGGAAAGAAATAAGAGCAAATTAGAGAAACATCAAATTATTATTATCTAAAAGAGAAAGGCTGAAAAGTGTGGAAAGAATAATGTGAAGGAGATGGAGGCCATTTTTGTTATAGAAATTCAGAGAAGTGGAGATGAACGTGAAGATGAATGAGCAGAGAAATGTGTTTAGGCAGTTAAAAGGGAAAATAATAATAACAAAATAATAACTTAGTGCATACTCTGGGCCAGGTCTCAATGTAAGCACCTTATATATAGCTATTTATTTAATACTCAAAACAAGACCATTATAATAGTAATGGATCCTATTATCATCCAGATTTCAGAGGTAAGGAAACCAAAACAAACAAAAAAACAAACAAAACAAGTTAACCAATTTGCTAGGATCACAAGTTGGAGGAAAACTTGGGGTTAAAACCCAGAGGGTCTGTTTTCAGAACTGTGGAATATTGTAGTATTCCACCTCCCACGATATAAGCAAGAAGGGGAACAGAGACAAGTACAGAACAAGGGAACTACAAGGACTTTATGTTTGGTTTTGATAGAAAAAATATGTTCTTAGGCTTGAAATGAATGCCATCAGCCCTCAGCAGCCTTGCAGCAGAAAGCAGAGGCTTAGTCTGTTGGCAGCAGTGAGGGAAATGGATAAATAATTGATTAGGCACAGCGTGCTCTGTGTGTGCAGATCTATAGAGAGGAGAGGGGTCCAAGAGGCAGAGCCAGATGGCGAGCTGTAATGTGCCCATATTAATAGATGTCTTCATTAGATGACATATTTGCAGGAGTCCAGGACGAGTGCCTTTCAGCCTTTGCCAGACACAGACAAGGTCTAGAGATGAAGGTGACATTACGTGGAAGACAATGGAAGTGGCAGGTCAGGTGCAAAGGAAATAGAGACATAGAGGTTTCCTTGTTGCAGTAAGAGAAATAGCTTATATTACAAAGGCAGTCACTACTCTGTGAGTCCATCTCCAAATATATGAAATAACAAGGCTCTCCTATCCACCTCCACCTCCATTCTGTATTTCTGATACAAATCTCTACTACTCACTGTATTTCTGTTCTCAAGTGCATCACTGCTTTCCATTTTCTCTACCAATTACAGCTTCTCCCCTCTCTGTCCTCCCATGACTTTCCATTAAAGGCCCTTATCAAACTTCTTCCTGGACATTGACTGCCTGGCCACATCCTCCTTCACTTTCTTTGATAATATTATTGTACTTAGTAGCAATTGCTAGTAGACTGGTCTTATATTAATGGATAGCTGATGGTCAGCTCAAAATTGTTAAGCAAATGTTGAGTCTGAAACTTTTATAGTATATGTGAAATAATATTGGTGACATTAAGCTTAAATACCCTTGAAAGGTTTTCTGAACAGATGTTAAATATTTCAAGGACTTTGGCTCTCTGGACTCTTTATATATGCAGAGACACATACACATATTGCCCCCCCCCCAGAGATTAAAAACTTTGTCATAATTGGAATTCAACATAGGCCAAAACAGAGAAAAAGTTTGCAGAATAGTTTTTGATTTGTATGACTATTATCAGTGACAATAATGCATGTAATTACTGCTCCAGATTTCCCCCACACCCCAGGAAAAAATATGCCACCATGTGGAACACAGTATCAAACTTCTAGAATATTGATAATAGCACATAATTTATTGAGCACCCAAAAACTACAGAGTATAATGTTGGTACTGTAGGTCATGGAATTTAGAAAATTATGTCAAGTAGCTTAAGCTGCAGAAGAAAATGGGATGCGTCATTAAAACTAAATGAAAGACTCTTTAGATTGGCAGCCTAATTCTAAGTCTGTACTATTAAAGAGAGTTATTTGCATCATAGGGCTAGGATAAAAATACTTTCACTCTTGGCTAAACCTTGGTTAGTTTCCAGCACGCTTTCCAGCTTACACAGACTTCTTTATGTCCATATTGCCAGCATAATTGGAGCCAGACATTCAGAGTCAATGTGGAAGTGAGCAGGATCTGCACCTAGCTTCTGCCAAGGGAGCATCATCAAGATTGGGTTTGCCCTCTGCCCAGGATAGCACTTTCCTGGGCATTGTCCTAACGTCAGGTCTCAGTGTACCCGTGGATTAGAGGTTAGAGGCAATCAGCAACAGATGTGTACCTAATGTTATTCATCCAAAGTTTAAGATGGACATGAGATTTTTACCTGATGTCCTCTAATTATACAGATCATAGTTTTGTAAAAGCTTTCATCTTGTTGATAATAGGACTCAAAATTCCCTAGCAAGTTTGACCTAAATAGAAGCCACTGGAAGGAGATTGGTGTCTATATTTTGTACCTTTTTCAGCCTAAGTTTTCAGTGAACCTCAAGGTACTATTTTCATTTTATTTGCAGAGTGGTTTAGAAAATAGATGTAGATAACTTTTGTAGCCACCTACAATGGCTTAAATTAGGGATGACTTTTGACTCTACTTAACATTTTCATTTCTGAATAATTGCTTTAGAACATGTCATATATTTTTCCCCTGAATTGTAGCTGTTGATTCACCTAAACTGTTACACACAACTTGTGGCAGTTGCTATCAGGCTTGTAATTCCTCTCTGCCCCTTGAGACTGTTCATTTGTACATTTGGATTAAGATATATTCTGGCCTCAAAAATTAACAAGAAGAAAAAGAACTGTAAAAAGACCTGGAGAACTTGGTTGGCAAATACCAGGCTTCATTTTTGCCACAAATATTTTGTACCTATTACAAAACCTCTTGCCCAAATCCTGCCCTACATTTCCTCCATCTGCTAGATAGATTTTTGGTGGTCTTGAGAGAAAGAAAACAGAGCAGTGGGGAGTGCTGGTTTCCGAGTCAAGAGTGCTTGGACAAAAATTCCAGCTCTGCAACTTTCTAGCTCTGGGAATTAACAAATCCATGTGAACCCATTTCCTCATCTGTAAACTAGAGTTAATGATATCACCTCCTCTAAGAGTCATGGTAAGGATTAAATGAAATAATATATATGAAGCACTTAACTTGCCTGGTGCACAGAGTTAATTAAATGAATATTAGTTGTTATTAATATTGCCATTTTCCCCAGGTGTTTGCTTTCTGTTGTATGAACTCCTATCCTCCAATATTCAAACAAAAGATGTTTCTTAAATACCTGCATGTGACAAGACCATGACAAGCTCTGGACTTGATTCCTTGGCTGAATATATTCTTCATTCGCAATAGTTTAAAAAATAAATGCCAATATTTTTTATGTATTTTGATAAAATTTGCTGCAAAATTCCTTTCCTTTCATTCCTGAAAGATTTCAGAAAGACCTTAACAAATGCTTACACAACTTACTTAGAAGTTTATTTTGAGATCTTCTTCTCCAAGGTCATCATTTGGTATTTTACAAAAGAACAAGATGTTTAGATCATATGCTGTTTCTTCTCTCTTGTTTGTTAAAAAAGAGTCAAACAGCCAGCTAATCACTGAATGCTAATGCACCTTTAACTCACAGCAATGAACATATCTCTATAATTAAGTTAACTGAATAAGAAATGATTTCTACAAACATGTTAACTGGCTAAAATTTTCAGGTAAAAGCCAATTCTCCAAGAAATTGTTGAACTATGAAATTGTTCTCAGGTAAATATTTTGGTGGTGTATAAAAATTCATCTCTGGTAAATATTTTATTAATATGTTATAGTTTGTGGATGACAATTCTATATACAAATATTTACCTGTCAAAATGCCTGACAGGTAAATATTAATATGCCTGAATGGCTGTCAGTTAGCTTTGACTAAAACAAAAATAAAAACAAACAAAAGGTACCAGAGGCAATAGCTTCTTAAAATATCAAAATATAGAATATTCAAAACTTACGGGAAATGTGACAATAATGTAATCCAACTAAAATAAGCAATTTGTAGACTGCAGGGAAGTGCTTAAATTAAGACATCACAAGTTGGAAAAGGGAGTTATGATAATAAATCCAAGAGACCAGAGGATAGGAAACATAATACCAGTTATTAACATCTGGTGAATATTAACATTTGGTGAATAGGTGAAAGGGTGGACAAGGCCAAGTATAAATTTATTTTGGATGTGATAAGAACATGAATGACAAAAGACAACAATTTTATCAAACCGGTCTAAATATGCTGGATAATTTCTTTGG
Source organism: Homo sapiens (assembly GCF_000001405.40). NCBI lineage: Eukaryota > Metazoa > Chordata > Mammalia > Primates > Hominidae > Homo > Homo sapiens. Next base: position 117,279,306 of record NC_000003.12, on the reverse strand, counting down.
AAATTAGTTCTTGTAGACATAAATATAAGAAATATTATGCCTCTATTTTAGAATTAAGTAGGCTGTGTTGCAAGGTTTACAATTTTTAAATTAATTCATTTTCATTTAAATATTAGCATGGGATTAGAAGCTGATTGAGACAAAATGGACACAGTTTGAAAGAAGGAGGGCCAGGCAGTGCGACACGGGGTTAGTTGGCAGTATCGTTATGATGATTCATCTGTCAATGATTTACGTGGTGCAGGACAGGCAGTGTGTGACAGCACAGTCTCTGATTTAGAGGTTTTCAATCTAGGTTAGAGAAAACTACAGTATAACATTTATCAGCTGATGTCAACTCTGAAATGCAAACTTTATTGGCATTTATGCCTCTAGGTTTGGGGAGGAGATAGAAGTAAAAAAACTGGAAAAGAAGAGAAGCCTTGGGCAATGGGCCAAAGGAGCATAGTGGTAGAGGAAAGGAGGTCAGAGAGGGGGCAGGAAGCACTGGAAGTAGCTCAAACAAAGTGAGCTCCTCTGCCCAAAGCAGCACCTCTCTACCTGCTATTCACTGTTTTCCTGACTTTAGAGAGAAGATACTGGGAAATTCACACTTGGTAAACAAGGTCACTAATGCCCTGAAAACTATAATACGAAGTTTGCTTGCCATGGTGAATGATAGGTAAACATTAATAAACTTTTATTTGAAAGACAGTGAAAAGAGGTTTGCTTACCTTTCAGAGGTGCCACTCTCATGCTAGCAAATCAAGCTGAAACAATCACCAAAAAGAATAAACACAGCAAAATACTAACAGATGATATTTATGGAGCATTTGATGTGGGCCAGGGGCTCAGCAAAGCTCTCTATCACACCTTTAATCTTCACAACAAACTCCTACAGGAACACTATTATTATTGCCATTTTGCAAACAAAGAAACTGAGACATGGAGAGGTTGGGTGATTTTTTTTTTTTTTTTTTTTGAGCTGCATTTGCACCATGGTGGTTTCAAAGCAAAGACAAGCCTCGTTGAGAATAATGCTCTGATGGACAGGAATGCCAGGACCTGGGTAGAAACTCAAGTTTCCTCTCCTGTAATATTTTTATTTCTTTTCTATTAAGCTGTCTTTCCAAAGAAGAACTTTTAAAAAAATTCAATGAGGGTACAGTTTTAAATTTAAATGTAGAACAAACAAAGACGAAACAGAAAATGGACAAATTGAAACAGGAAAAATGGTCAAGATAGGAATTGCACACAAGTGTGGCTGGAGTTCCTGGAGGAAGGTTCTATTTCTCCAAAGTGTTCTGGAAGCAGAGCTGCTTACCTAAAACCAGTGCACAGGCCAAACTATGACTGTTCTCACACTTGGCAATGCTGACCCAGGCTGTAGGCTGTAATACCTCCTTGTTTGGGGGACTTAATTACTTGTTTCCAGGCACAGAGGCAAAGAAGCATTAACTGTGTCGTTCAAAGACAGTCATAAAGCCAGTGTGGGGACAATAAAGGTAAAAATGTATGGTGCTTTTTAGGTTATAAGCAAGCCAAAGAGGAACTATGCTGAGAATGCCCACAAAGCACTGAAGTGATACTCAAATTACATTTGCGTGATTGTTTCTCCTATGGAAATCACGTATTCATTGCTATGTCTCCAGCGTTTAATACAGTAAATGCCATTGTAGGAATCTGATAGATATTCATTGAACTAAACCAAAAAAGGTCAAAGAAAAATGTTGAACTCTTGGCAAAAATATTTAAGCAATGGAGATAGTAAGAAATAGGTGCATTTGTGGAAAAGCCTCTGGGGAATGCTCAGAGGTGCATGCACACAGGTGTTGAGAAAAATCACAAAGAGATGAAGGAATTATGTAAAAGAAAACAAGATTTACACAGGGTGCAGCGGCTCACACTGTAATCCCAGCACTTTCAGAGGCTGAGGCAGGAGGATTACTCGAGCAGAGGAGTTTAAGACCGGCCTGTGCAACACAGCAAGACCCTGTCTCCGCAAAATATTAAAAACAAAAATTAGCCCAGTGTGGTGGCAAACACCACACTGAGTAGTCCTAGCTACTCAGAAGGCTGAGGCAGGAGGATCATTTAAATACAGGAGTTCAAGGCTGTATTCGGCTATAATCATGCCACTGCACTTCAGGCTGGGTGACAGAGTGAGACCCTGTCAAGCAAGCAAGAAGGGAAGGGAAGAGAAGGGGAGGGGAGAGGACAGGAGAGGAGGGGAGGGGAGGAGAGGGGAATTAAAACTTAAGAGGACAACTTAGTAATGCTTATGAGGAACATTGAAAAATCATACTCTCTTAACAATCTTTGAACGGATGAGGACATATCCCAGAAATAATGGGGAGACATCTGGAGATATGAGACTAAAAACAGGAAAAGACTGCACATTTTTAGTGTGATGTGACACCCAAAAGACTAATGTTATTTTTGGATGCAGTCTATTTAGAGCATTTCATCATGGAATAGAGGGTGACAGTTCCACTCTCAATGACATTCATGAGACCTATTCTAGAATGCCCCATTCCGTTTGGTTTGTCTGACTACCAAAAATAAGTAGACAGATTGGAAGGAGTCCAAAGAAGAGTTTCACAATTGATTAGGGAAAAGAAGCTGACTTATGGGAAAAGTTTGAAAGAATTATGTCTATACAGGAAGGTATGGGTATACATGTTACAAAGCCATAAATGTCTGTTGGAGGAAGAAATAATTTACGGAGATTAAAAGGCTACAGGTTGAACTGTACAGTGAAATGGGTTTTGAAAAGAGAATTTGGATTACGTATTGGATGGAAATTAGTTGGTGGTTAACGACATCTAGGTGGCATTGATTTGGAAGTAGTGCGTGCCCTGATGTGAAATGCTGAAACGCGTCTTCCATGCACATTCAAGAGAGGAATGGAGGCAAAATAGGAGGTGAAGGGATTTGATGTCACTTTAGATACTTTCCATCTCAAATCTGTCACATTCCACATTGTATCTGTGTGTGCCATATGCATGTATTACATTTAATTCAAATGTAAACTGTTTTAATCCTGTATGTATTAAGATACTTTATCCCTTCCCCCTCTTTTGAATACCCTTTATGGGAAGCTAAGGTGATTGTAAAACAACGTTTACCACACTATCTGGAAATATTCACCATTCTTAAAATGGTTGTGAAAATAACCCAAATATCTAACAAATTCAAAATGATGTTAGCTAAGAAGTTATTAAGACATTATGATTGCATTTATGGTGAATGTGTGTACAGAGTGTTGCATAGATACTTTGCAAAGAGCCTTTGCATGTATTTCTTGGTGAACTTGAAGCACCTCATTCCTTTGGTTAGATTGTCCTCTCCAGTTGCTTATAATAGGCCTCCACCTCACAATATTGAGACTTTTAAGAAAAGTAATTTTACATTTAGCAAGGGAGGTAGATGGCCTAAAGGTTAAGTAAAGGAAAAAATAAAAGAGGAGCACAAATAGTAATAAGATAGGAGAGTCAGGGATTGGTTTAAGTAATGAAGTCCGCAATCAATTTTACAAGTTAAGGACAGTAATGCTTTTATTTGCCTTTACACACTCATCGTTGACACTTAAAGACCATAGAGACATAATAGTTTGTATTCTAGAAAAGTTCTTTTGTATTTTTCTTCAAACTATCCAATTAAAAAAACTCTTAATTTTATCAGAGAATTGACAGTTTAAATAAAAATTTTCCATTGCTTTGTTTCCTCTTCTGGGCATATAATCAAAATGCCATCTTTTTCTACCCTTCTCATTGCCCTTTGCTGAACTATTCTTTCTATGTATATTAAAATTATTAACCCCCACATAAAAACAGAAAAGCCAAAAAGGAATAGGGTTCCACCAGCAAAGCCACATAGTGCTCATACTGATTGAAAACGTGGCATGGGGACTGAGTTTTCCGTTTTGCTGTAGATCCCTATGGAAATTTCAGTGGTTTAGGAAAAAGCCCGAAAGGTGGCTCTGAGTTTACCAGCTGTAATCTTAACTTGAATTTCTGGTGAAGATACAATTATTTATGATATATTACAGTTTTAATAATCTTGAAGGAATTCTGGGCTAACATTTGTTTTGCCAATTTCTGTTCAGTTATCATCTATTCAATCAATTTATATGTTTCCTTTGTATACTAGCACTGAATCAAGTTTTGTGGGGATACCATGAGGTAGACTTGTTCTCTATCCTTCACTAATTGCAGTATGTTTGGGGAAAAGAACTAGAACGATTAAAGTAATTCGAGGGTAATATATTGTAGCAGAAATTGCTACTGACAGACACAGTATTAAGGAAAAATGGGCACATTCAAGTTTCTTGCAGAAAGTCCCCAAGGAAAAATAGTGGACTACCGTGATTTAAGGTGGAAAAGTAGCCATAGGAGTAAAAACTTGATGGTGACAACACATGAGGGAATGTGGAAGAAACCATGATGGCCAGCGAGAAGGGTCATCTTGGGGAGCAATAGCATAGGTTCTAAGTACATAGCAGAACCCCATTATTATGTATTATTTATTAAATGGTCCTTGTATTATGTATTATTTACTAAATGGTCCTTGTATTATGTATTATTTACTAAATGGTCCTTGTCTCTTTGTTGACAACAAATATTCTCATCCACTCCTGTTTCTTTTTTCCCACTTTGAAGCAGCTTGTTCCTGGGCGTATGTGAAACTGCCTCATAGCTTTAATACTATAATAGCATAACAAATATTTCATTGTTTTTCAGAAAGGGTTCTCGTTATAATAAAAACCAATCTATACCCCATAAAGCTCAAAATCTTCCAAAGAGTAGATGTTAAAAAGCACCCAGTGGATGAGAGAGTACTATAATCTTATTTTAACTCTTAGGCACACCCCTAAAGATAGAGCCTTCCTCTCATTGCCAATAGCACTAAACTCCTTTCAACATTGAGGAGGTACCTACTTGTCTTGGGTTGCCATTTAATTGATCTTTAAGTTTTTCTTCTCAATTGGATATAAAGTTTTGAAGACTGGAATAGGTTTTACACAAAGTTAAATACACAGCAGATATCATAAAACATATGTTTAATTAATAGATTTATGAGATTGTGTTTTGTTTCCTTTTTTGTGGATGAGGCAAGCATAATTGTCACCAAATACACAGCAGATATCATAAAACATATGTTTAATTAATAGATTTATGAGATTGTGTTTTGTTTCCTTTTTTTGTGGATGAGGCAAGCATAATTGTCACCTCTAGAGGCAATATGGATGGGCAGACTTCATCCCATTTCATACAAATGCACAGGAATCAACCATATATTGACCTACTTACTTCATTTAAGTATTTCCTATGATGACTTTGACTTTGTCCTGACAACCCTATTAAAGCTAGTCTGTGAAAGCTGGAAGCAAGGTGTCTAATTTCCTTTGTAGAGAGTAATAAATGGTGTTCGCTAGCACACTGCTTTGCATACAAGAAGTGTTCAACAAAGGGCAAGCATGATGATGATGATGATCTTTTCCTATCTCAGGGAAAAAATAAAAGAAAGTAAATCTTTTGATTGATTATGCTATCTTTAATGCTTTTACAGATTTTATTCCTTTCAATCCCTCTGTCATCTTCTGATGCATTGTTTAGGTACACTCTTTGAAGCAGCTTGTTCATGAGTATATGTGAAATTACCTTGTGACTTTGATATTGTTATGATAAATTTTTCACTTTTCTCTAGCTTTGAATTCCTTTTGGCATATAAAGATTTTTCCTTTTCCTGAGTCATAATATTGTTATAGAGTCAACAAACATTTGTACACACTCTTCTTCATTTCTTCACACATGTGTAATAAAACCCCGTTTTTATCTCAGCTACGAGAAGCCCGAGTGACACTGAATCAGCTTCATACAATATAAAGTTCATCAGGTTTAAAATGGAAGCTTTTCCTCTTTCCTGTACTACAAACGTTGCTTCTGTCACATCATCCAGAGATGGTTAAAAAGTTGTTGCACTTGCTCACTGCATGTAATACAAACTGTCACCTTTAACTACAGTACTTTTCTTTTGAATTAGGAAAGAATTTGTCAATGAATCATGGAAGATTTGGGTATTTATTGTGATCTGGGAGCAACTAGAAAAATATACAATTTTATACCTAGGAAAGTATGTATATAAGAAAATAATTTTAAAAAAAGGAATAAGATATTTATGTACTTGGAGCAAAGGAATATAATTTCAGTGACATTGTTGCTATTTCACTGTGCACCTCATACCTTGACTGACAGATGAAACAGTCTTGTGTCAATTTGAAGTGGCTCCTCATCTCTAAAATTTCCCTGTGCAGTGAAATCTCTGGCAGGTTTCTTCAGTTGCCTTGGTGGGAAGGCAGCAAGCAAGATTACAGAGAGACAGAAATACCTCCCGTTCCTTTAGCTCTTCACTGGAGTTATTTTTCTTGTATTTTCTGTTTTTCTCTCTGGTGGTATTGATACTGTATTTTTTTCTTACTACTAAGTGATATTCAGTTTCTGAAAAGCAGTTAAAATGAGCCCACTACACATTTATGCATTACACAAAGAGAAGAATGTTGTAAAGAGGGTTCGACACTGAAGAAATCTTTTTCTTTAGCATAAATAATGCCTTTGTGGTAAGTGAAATTTATTTCGGGTATTTGTCTTCATTTTTTTGACCATAAAATTCTCTATGATTTTATAACCATAAAATGTTTTCCTGGAGCAGGAGGTTCTGAACAGAATTTTAACTTGTCATTCCGAATGTTACTTAACCAAATGGTGTCTCACAAATTTCTACATAAGAGACATTTGTGAGTGGCAATCTCATTAGGAGAAGGGAGTGGAATGCTAAGGCACTGGCCTTGAAGCTGAAATGTGCATGGGGCACACACCCTTTTCACTTAGATTCTATGTTTCAGAGAAATAGTATGGATGTGGCCGTGATAGAGAAGCAAAATAAAGTCACTGGGAGGAGTTTAAAATTACCTTATTTCTTCCAGAAAATAAGGCTACATGTGTTTCAAAAGTTCCACAAGGACAGGGTAACACCAGCCTCTTAAAGTAAGGACTCTATGCTTAAGTAACATTTAGGGCAAGTTAGTTACTTTTCAATTAAGAATTTGGCTGAGATTATGGAATCAGTAGCAGGTAAGTAGTTTTATTATAAGGACCTAGTTGGAAATAAATGAGAAATAAAATTATAATTATCTTGAACTGATCCAAGAGGCTCCGTATACTGATTAATACATACCCAAAACAGATTTCTGTGGCCTAGCTACATTGCTCTTTGTGGATAGTTTTCTGACTGTAGCAGTGGCTTCAAAAGTATAGTCGTTAAAATGGCTCAAACACTTTTTCTAGCCGGGAAAATGCTACAAAAAAAGTGGGTCTTTTCTAGAATGTCATTAACAGATACTGACAAATAGTGGAATGCCAGTACAAACTGTACCTGGTGAGCTCAATTCGATACTGGGAGACTGCATGCACTTTTTAAATTCCTCTATCATCATTGCAATACACACAGCTCATATTTTTCTCCAGAGAACTGCTCGCCAGGCTCATTTACTTGTACTGCTATACTGCTCTTTTGATCTCTAACATAAGAATTACTTAATGTACATATAAAACTATAGGATTTTCCTGACTTTATCTCATTAATCTTCTTAACTAAACAAAACCAATTTGCCTTCTTGATTCACCTTTATCCCTCAATCAAGAGCTTGTTTTCTTACCTTCAGCTCTTTTCCCTTAGTTCAACCTTAGTAGACTCAACTGTCACTCCTCATTCCCCTATGCTGTCTTTGTGCCACTGCCGCCGGTCGCATAGTTGAGAACAGAGTTCTTACCTGTTTACTGACACATAAAGGGCCAGATCCTTTTGTTTTTAATTTAGCAGATGTTGAGAGATTATGCTCCTTTTTTTTTTTTTTTTTTTTTTTAAGATGGAGTCTGGCTCTGTCGCCCAGGTTGGAGTGCAGTGGCACGATCTGGGCTCACTGCAAGCTCCGCCTCCCGGGTTCACGCCATTCTCCTACCTCAGCCTCCCGAGTAGCTGGGACTACAGGCGCCCGCCACCACGCCCTGCTAATTTTTTGTATTTTTAGTAGAGACGGGGTTTCACCATGTTAGCCAGGGTGGTCTCGATCTCCTGACTTCATGATCCACCCGCCTCGGCCTCCCAAAGTGCTGGGATTGCCATGCTACATTATTATTACTATTAGTCTTTGTTTTAAAATACCAATATTGCTTAATTCTGGTCTCACAAGGGGAATGTTACCATATAGGACCCACCAGTTCTCCTTACGAGCTTTCCTTGCCTTCAGGTAATATCCAATCATGGAAACAAAAACATAAAATTATAAAAGAGCCAGAAGTCTTGGCGGCAGATTTCCCAGAGAAATCCTGAGAGTGAATAAAGGTGGTCAATCCTGACCCCGTTTCAATTCTTTACAACAGAAAAGCACAGCCCTATGATTTTTCATGATAATTGCTTGTGCTCCTTGCTCACATTTGTTTTCAGGGGGAAAAGTGGAAATCCAGCCCAGTTGCTGAAGCCCTCATTTTAGGTACTCCATATTTTCTTACCTGTACTTTTTCCTACCCAGCTGTGCTGTTTTAACCTAAAAGGATCACTAAAACAGGAATGAAGACATCCTTAGAGAAATCACAATCATTGTCTTCTCGATTCATTTTTCTTTTCCTTGTGATGGGCTACTTTGGTCATAGTTGGGGGGCTGGGAGTGGCATTTACTCTGGAAAATGGAGAAATGCAAAAACCATGTTGAAGAAGAAGAAATACCCCTTAAAGGTACAAGTGAAATTTTGTTGAGAGAGCATATAAACCCAAGGTCTGTGTGAAAAATAAAGAGAAGTGGGATGAAAACTTGTGCAGGTCTACTCAGCAAGAATATGTAAGGATTTTATCAGAGCTCATATGAACTCTTTCTGCAATTCAGTAATACTGTCCACTTCTATTCTGAGAACATCTGAACTCTTGGGTGCAATGAAAACAGGGGAATCATTCTTTCCCTTCACTGATAGAATTTTCATGTACTCTGAATCTGCCTACTAACCTGAATATTTCATTTATGACATTTATTCCTTTTTCTCTGTCTCTAAATTTTTTACTACATACACAAAGTAACTTGTTTAAGGATTTTATTTTTATTTGCTAATTAGGTGTAAATCACTCATTATCATAACTCAAAGTGAAACCTTTCTTCAGAGTCTCTTCCACCAGTTAGTAATATATCTGCCATATTTTGTCTCCTTAATCACAGTGAAAATAATTGGAATTTTTCTCATGAATTATTTATTCGTTTTCCTTAGTAGAATGTAAGCTTCATAAAGACATGACATTTGCTCACTGCTCTACTTATCACTTCCACTCTTTGCCAAAACAGTGCTGGCACCTAATAGGCACTTCATGATGGAATGAGAATGGATCCATCCATTAATCAATTAATTAGAATATTGTTAGATCTTCCTAGTCAAAGAAAAATCACAGTTTACATAATTTTCTGAAAAAGTTCTCAGTGTAGCAGTTCTGCAACTTCTAATTTATTTTGTTTTTATACCTTTAAGTTTTTTTTCCAATTAAGACCTAATTGAATTTGGGTATATCTAGTTTATTCACTTAATTTCAAATAAAGTCTTATCCCTATTTGTCCAATTCCTGTTATTCATCTTGACTTTTTCCTCTCCTATAATTGTGTACAAGTAATTTATTTACATTTTACCACTTTAAATGACAACATTGCTGATTATAACTCAGAACCCAGTGGCTTGAGTCCATTCTGTCTTGATGCTTGAGTAAGTTTCACTCAATCTCATAAAAGCTTTATCTCATTACATTATATTTCACTAGAAAACAGTATTTGAAGGATGCTACATAGAAATGAATTAAATTTAAACCTTTGATTGAAATGCTCCATGACTGTGTTCACATATTTCCCTATCTACAATACTATTAAGAGATTCATTTGACACAGCATTTCCTTTGCCTTCAATTTAAAAAAAATTCTTTAAACTTTGCATACATTAAAAAATTAAGGCTGTTTAAGATTCCAAATGTTATTTTGATGTGTGCTGGCTTTCAAACAGTAAATAATTACTTTTAAAATGAAGCCTAGTGGTCTACATATTATTTGACCAAACCAATTCACTTCAATATAGTAATGTCTTCGAGGTATGCAAACATCTAATTCCTGATTACACTATCCTGACCTTAACTAATCATGTTTTATATTTGTATCCACTATTGTAATGGCTATAGGCATCCACCTCCTTTCCTCAGCCCAGTAGGAAGGACTAATATAAAATGTGTCATTTGTCTTTAAATCAATTTTATTTTTATATTGCAAAATGAATGGAGATAATTTGGGTAAGTGTAAGTTACAGAAAGTAAAATATAAGCATCATATTGGCAATGGCTACTGTTCTTTTCAAGCAAATTTTTTATCAGAATAAAGAGATTTCATTTTGAGTTTTGTTTTCTTTTAGTGCTTCTGTCCAAATATATGAAGATTGAAATAAATAGTAAAATATATTTGATTGAAAAATTAGAGGAGTAAGCTAGAAAATCAAGTGGTTAACATAATACATTAAAACCAGCCACTTCATAATAGAAAGTTTCAAACCTTTAAATAAGATAATAATCATAAACATAAATCAATGAAAAGGCTATAAATTATATACAATGCAAAGTTTGGACCTTTATGGATGTTTTGAAACTATCTGTGAGGAAAGTACCATTTAAAGTAGACACACTGATAAGGTCAAACCACTGCCAAATAAGAAGTATTGCATTTAATCCGAGGATGCCACCTACTGAAAGATAACTTCCTAACCCCTCTATTTAAAAGTACTGTTGACCTCTACCACTGTCAACCCTATTATATGTGCAGCATAGGAAATACATGGCTGGAATAAAAGGGCCGTCCTCAACCTTCAAACAGTTCAAAAGAATTTGGAATAACTTGTTCTTAGGTGTTTAATAAATTGCTTTTCCTTTCTGCATATAACTCTCCTTAAATATAAAAAGAGGGTAGACCACATAACCTCTAAATTTCTTTTCTTTTCTTGATTTCTAAGTTAGAAGCAAAATGAGGTCATGTAGGAATAACTTGAATGCAGTATTGCCAGGAAGTTTGCTTGGGTAATCATTATCCCCCCATATTTCTAAAAATGGTTGTGAATCAAATAAGGCAAAACCAGGCTTACTTAGCATTCTATTAACTAGACATTTCTATTAACTAGCATAGAAGGCAAAAATCTCTTAGTTTCATGTTTTAACTCCATGTTTAAAAAACAAGAGTGGAATAAATATACTAATATTGGAAGATACTAAAAGCAACATCCAACCTTTGACAAAAAACAGATTCAACTTGATTTGTTATTCCTTCTATTGAGATAATATTGAGATACAACCAAGGGATAGAAGGCATTGTATGTCACATAAACTTAAAATATATTCAGTTTGCTTGTTGTAGTAAGCATATTAAATTCTGAGTTATTGAAAAACTTACAAGTAGAATATATGAAATATTATAGCTACTAATCTAACTCTTTGGATAATCAGCCCCTGCTAGGTAAAACTTTATTTTTATTTTGGGTTTTAAGATGCAGAACTAGAAGCAGTAGACAATGGGGTAGGACTCCAAAATCTGGAATTCTCCTCACAGGCACTGGACCACGTTTTCAGTCCTGACTCTTTTGTTTAAATAATTGTTCTAAATGTGATTTGTTGGCAAATATTATGGCTTTACTTCTAAGCAGCAGCCCACCCATCAATAAAAAGAGGGTAAATGTACTTGCTTTACAGGGAAGTCATGATGACTAAATGTAAAAATTGATGTAAAAAATTATGTAGATGAGTAAACTAGTTAAGTGTCATTGAAAATGCAAGGTGGCATTATTTCTAAATGGCTTATAATATTTGAGTCCTAATTATTGCAGTCATATGTTTGCAGTTCTTTTCTTTGAAAGTGTAATTAAGTTGCTTCTTCATCAAAACATATAAAATGAATTTATGTATCAAAGCTTCATCCTATATTTGCGGAGAGGAAGCTTTCTATTTAAAGCATTGTGAATTGTGAGTAAAGATAATTTTATTGAAAAACAAGTGCTTTTTTTTTTTACTCAAAAATGTGTTTCTAATAGATGGTAGGGTTTAGGTAGGAATATTCTCCTTTTTTGTGTGTGCCTAAAGCTCTGAACACAGTGCAGTTACTCAATAAGTGATGGTTGATATGGAATTTGTGGGGTGAATCAGAAGGAAAGGAAATTGACAACTCAGCCCAATCAGTACAATTCTGTGTTTTATTCTCTGACATAACTAGTGAACAAGTCAAATTATCTTCCTGTTATTTTACTTGAAAAGTCTATTCTTAATAGTCACATGTGTGTTTTCATGTATTTCCTCTTTTTAAGTCTCTTAACTATTCAGACTTGAATCCATTATTTGTTACACACTAGAATTTCTGTTCTACCTCCACATGTAGAGTTGATAAATTTGTTTTATTTAAAAATACTTAGGTCCAACTGACCAAGGATAAAGTAAAATCATACATTTCCAGTCATTATACTTCTTTGAAATGAAGATGCATTCAAGATTTAAAAGCCTTAAAAGTTTACTCAGATTAGCATGATCATTCTCAGACCAAAACAAAAAAAATCACTCACTATTTAGTAAATGCAACTCTTATTCTGTGTCAAGCCCTATGGAAAGCAATTGATGCATATAGTATTTTACCATAATTCCCAAAGTAAGTGGTATTGTGCCCAGAGAGAGGTTGAGCAATGTGCCAAATGTCACAAAGCTAGGAAGGCATGACTGCAGGATTTAAACTCAGATCAGGCCCCAGAGCCCGTGTTCTTAATCTCTGCACCCTTTACTGCAGTCATCCCCAAAAGATTGCTCATGTGGCATGAGCATGGACCCTGGAATAGGTTCCCACAGCCCTTAAAAGTCCATCATCTTTAGTGAAAGCCTGAATGTTCACCTTAGGAAGACTTTCATTTAACTTAAATTTTTTATCCCGTATTAAATATTGATGATCCCAACTCGGAGGAAATTTTACCTCCATGAAGATATGTGATCCTTATGTCTAATTACATTTAGTTTTCGTGAAATAAACTTACATATAAATTTACTCTTGCTAACTAATTATCTGGTCTTTTACCTACTATTCAATGAGAATATTACATGAAAAACATTGTAGATATACTGAGAAGAATAAGGTAAGAACCTTATTCCAAGAAACTTTAAATTAATTACATAGATTCACATACAATGACAAACAACAATACAATGAAGAATGGAAAAGTGCTGCAACCCAGATGTAAGTCATGGTGTTCTCAAGAAGCATGCAAAGAGCATTTAATTCCAGCTGTTGGCATGAGGAAGGCTTCAAAGATAGAAGAGGGATAGAGGGATGCTTTGGCTATTTGATGAAAAAAGAAGGGAATTCCAAAATGAAGGATTGACACAATCACGGCACAGAATTTTCAATGTGCATTTTGGAGAATGGTAAATGATCCAGTGTATTTAAAACATGGCACTCATGGAGAGTTGTTGGGAAAGGCATGCTAAAGGGAAACCAAGTCATTGGAGTCTTGACTGAATAGTGAGGTAATTAGCACTTGTTTCCATAAACAGAATGGAGGCATTGAGGTATTTGATGGTGGCAGTAACTATCGAACCTTCCTTTTAGGACAATAACAAAGGTAGCACTGTGGAAGAAGATTTGAGGACCGGAAAAGGGAGAAAATTTTGCCACAATTCAAAAAGGACATCATGGCCTGGCACAGTGGCTCACACCTATAATCCCAGCTCCTCAGGAGGCTGAGACGAGAAGACCACTTAAGCCTGGGAGGTCAAGGCTGCAGTGAGCTATGATCATGTCACTACACACTAGCCCAGGCAACAGATTGAGACACAGCCTGTTGTGTTTTGTTTTGTTTTAAAAAGGACAGAAAAAAATCTTGCAATGGCAGAGAGAATAAAATAGAAGAGACAGAAGGGAACTTGCAGAAATAAAACTGAATGAACGTAGTATGATCATTGTGCCTTCAGAAGCTTGTCCGTAGTCACAAGGTGAAGTGGATACATGTAGTGTTTGTATGTCTTTCCATTATTTGTCTCCCATCCCAGCGCTATCACTTTAACCTCCCCAAAATAGACATTAAGCAGTGGGGCTTTCAATTTACCAAAAGAAAGTTTCTCTTAACATCATAACATCATTTAATTGTAATTAGAATAAATGCCCCTACCAAGGAAAGTGTTTAGGAATTAAACTAAGAGTGATCTGGATAGGGTGGGACTATATTGATTTTTAGATTGTATTTTCCTCCCTGTTTCTCTTAGATCACACCATATGTGTACCCCTAGTTCAGCATGTTCTTTCATCAAGTCAAAGACAAAAGAGAAAAAAAGATGCAACAGTCTCTGGACTCCTCACCACCACATCCGTTTGCTCTCCTTGGCTCTTGATAAATAGAATGGTGAAGACCCCAAGGGAAATCCCCTTGTCTGTAGTTTCTGCATTGCACAACTGCGGGGACACAATTCACAGAACAATATGATAGGATACAATGTAAGAGCTTCTCCTGCACTCTCCCAGTCTTGTTCTTGAGTTTTCACCCTCCCAGGCTTACCCACTATTTCTGCTCTTCTCCCTCAAATTTTCATCTTACAGTCTTTACTGTTTCACAATGCAAACCCTAGTAAATCATAAAATCACTCACAGGCCAAATAAAAACAGTAGCTATTTTTGATTAAGCATTGGACAAAGTATGATCTGCTTTAGAAGTCCTGCTTCTGGCTGCCTCCCAATCTTTTGTTTGTATGTTTCAATCAAGACATCTGCTGTCTAGTGTTATTTCAGATAATAATCTTAATATTAAGAAATGATTCAGAATATCCAGCCATACCAAAGCAAAAAGGCAGCATACAATCTCTTAAGAGAAGACATAATTAAGTTAAGGAAAACAGAGAGTTGCCATTTTTTAAGAGTGAATATGCATGTCCAAATTACTTCAATTAGCATAACCACATCTTTCCAGAACAGTTGGCTAATATCATGGCCTTCCTCATTAGGATTCAACTTCACAATTGTGAATAACAACTACAAAGAAAACAAAAACAAAGAAAACTGAAAGATAATCCTATATTTTATTGTTAATCAAGTGTAACCTTCTTTACTTTTTTTCTTCTTTGTCCCTCCCTTCAATATTTCAAGACTAGGAAGATAAATAACAGCAGGTTTAATACTATTGACAGAAGACTTTCTGCTATGTAAACCTGATTTTTCTACAAATGCATTATGGCCATTGGGGACGGTGAGAGCAGGATTGAAGATTCATTAATATATCCCCATAAGCAAAGAGCAAATGAATCTCAGGCTGTTTCTCAGAATGTTTGGAATGACTCACTCAACAAGCTGTCTAGATCCCTTCTGGCTGGAAATATCAGAACTAGAATTGAATAATCTCATATTAAAAATGAAGGAAAAAGTACAAATTTACTCTGTGTTTATATTGTAAATTGGCATTATATTTAATTGCAAATGTACTGCAAATGCTTACTTTATTTTGATTATTATATGATTAAGTATCGGTTCCGTGTGGAAATACTTTATTTTGTTTTTGGACTGAATTTTGTGGTTATGAAAGTTATAGAAGATTTTGATATGAGGTGACATTTCTATTGGGTCTTTATTTCCAAATGCAATAGTGGTACAAAATGGCAGCCTTAGAAATTGACTTATGTATTCTTTCCCCAGCTACTTGCAATTAAACTAAACTCAGACACATTTTTGTGCTTCATCTCTATTTTGAAGAGGAAAATGTTACATATGACAGGACATAAGAGCTGCCATCTGGTCCCGGTAATTCTTCCACGTCTTGTTTATCTATTAGGTATAGAACATCTTGTACAATAACCACGATTTGATCTAATAGTTCTCATCTGTTTCTCTTGTCTGTTTACAAAGACATTTAGCAAATGAGAATCTCCTTAACATTTTCTTTAAAAATGGGCAAACAAAAATCATTTAATATCTCAGCCTGCTATCTTCCCCCGTAATGACCGAACAAGAATTTATGCTCTTCCATGCTCTCTTTTGACTCTGTAGCATACCTTCTGTCTCACGTTTGTCACCTGGGTCCACAGTCCTATCCGCGTGTTCCTTCCATTTTTTTTCTTGCCTCATGTTGCCAGTGAAGAACTAACAAATATTTTTGTGACTAAGAAATTGCATTTTATTAAATGCAAAAAAGCTAAATAGATGATTGAGGGATTAAATTGTAGATACTATTCTTTTACATTTTTTAAAATTTTTAAAATTATCATGTATGATTTTAACCTATGGTAAGTGTTGTGAAGGAGAAAATGTTATGGGAAGTGAGTGTAACAGTGTACTGAGAGGAGCAAGAACTGACTTAAAGCAAAGTGGTCTTTTTTTGGAGTGAATATGTATATTAAGAACTCTTATATTGCTATAAACAAATTTTTCTGCAACTATTAGTTAATATCATGAGTCTTTCCCATCATGAATCTTTCCCTTCAGGATTCAATTTCAAATTAGAAATAAGAGCTATAAAGGACAAATTTTAAAAGAATCCTGTTTAAGTTTGTTTGGTTTGGGCTTTTATTTTTTTAAATTTTGTTGCCAAACGATGTAAGGTATATAACAGGACAGCCACACTAATCTGGAAAATCTGGGAGGACTTATTTGAGAAAGTGACTTCTGGTCTTAGATCAGAAGGCTAAGTGGGAGAGAATGTTCCAACATAGGGAACAACAGTTTGAAAGCTTTGAGGCAGAAAGAATTGCATTTCTGAAAACTAAAAGGCCAGTTGAAACACAGTGAACGTGGTGCAAAGTGAGCCTGCAACAAGAGGCTGGAGCCAGGTCATGGTGGGCCTTGTAGGCCATAGTAAGTATCTTGGTGCTTATCTTAAGAGTGATGTGGTGCCACTGAAGAGTTTTAAGCTGCTAGCTGTAATGTGAACAAGGACACCAAACCTGCTGGAACAGCATTTTTAAGGTTAAAGTTTAACCCCAAGTTTAACTAATGGAGACAATATCAGGAGCAGGTGCATTTGTATTCTAGAACAGCCGACAGAGATTTATCTAGGCCAGATACCAGACTTCAGGAGAAGCCCCTACCCTTGATCTGCGGGGCTTTGAAGCTGCATGATTACAGAAGCACTGTGTAAGCAGGAGCAGGAAAACAATAGTAATATTATGAGGCAGAAACTGGGCCTCAGTCCTAGTCAGCATTTTATGGTTGTAGGTAGGACCAACCTCTCCTGTCATTTGGCACTGAGGTTCACAAATATATGATGTCACAAGGAAGCAGTAGAATTCTCCACTTTAAAATGTTCCTGTTTGGGGAAGCATAGGCCCCTCTTTTGGAATGAGAAGGGCCTGGAAATCAAGCCTTGTGAGTGTAGTTGGTCAGAATGGAGTACTTTAAGTTTAGGGCTTTAAACTCAAGGTCTTAGCCCACTTTCAGGAAGCTTTTCAGAAGACCCTGGGGAATCTTTTTTGGAAAAATTAACCCTTACCTCTCATCAACAGCATGCTTGATGTTGTGTATCAAAAAAATAAAAATAAAATAAAAAATAAAAAATTAGCCAGTCCTGGTGGTTCATGCCTGTAATCCCAGCGCTTTGGGAAGCTGAGGTGAGAGGACCGCTTGAGGCAAGTAGTTTGAAACCAGCCTGGGCAACATAGCAAGACCTGTCTCAAAAATAAATAAATAAATAAATAAATAAATAAAAGTAAAATTGGCCAGATTTAATAATAAGCTGGTTATGGGGTGTTGGGAAAAGAGAAGTTGTAAGGTCAATTCCCAGATTTCTAGCTTGAACTTTGTGGATGGAGCTTCCTTTCCCTGTAAGAAAGAATATTTGTGAAGATCCAAATTTGGGAAGCAAGATCATGAATTCAGCTTTGGATATGTGGAGGAGGCAGTCAATTCAATGGGATAAAGGTCAGACATGATATATCTTGCTTTTAGTGCAGGCAAAATGAAAAAAGCCACTTATCAGGAAAAAACAACCTTACCCCTTTACTAACCATAGTCAGGAAAAGATTGAGGCCTGAAAACAAAGGAATCCACTCTCTTATTCATAGCACCATTGTCACCAGAGTGTTGATAGCTTCTCTTCAGCCTCTTAGAATTCTCTCAAGTAATTTCCTTCGGGGTTGACATTTATCTTCTGAGTCTTAGCCTTGAAATGTGTCTGTAGAGAAAGCATCCTAGAGATTCGTTGTTAGTCTTGCATTATGCAAGCATAGATTTGAAGACCAGATATTACAACTTAGTAGCTTTACTGAAAATGTTGTCATTTTTATCCAAGCTCCAGGTCACTCTCCTCTGTTCACCAACAGGGTTCCATGAGTTTGAGGCTGCAAGAGCACTAAAACCTGCTGACTGCTCCCTTTATCCCTGGTCTCTCTTGACCTGCTGCACCCTCATCTCTTACTTGCGCCAAGTCTAGAAGTTCATCTGCCTACAGGGAATGAGTTATCATGTGCAATATGTTCCCAAACACCTCTTTAGGGTCTTTAGGGTGCTTTACTATAGTTTTAATATGTTCCCTGGATGAACTGTGGGGTATATGTGTGTGTGTGTGTGTGTGTGTGTCTGTACTAAACTATAGCGCATATGCATTGATATAATTTGTTATCTGAATGGAAAGATTACTCTTCTGTAATGCAGTTTTCAGATTTTTAATATATTGTTTCATTCTTTGATACTAATCCTATCTAAGTTTCTTAGCTTTAAGAGCACTTGAAGAGACAGTTTGAGATATTTATTTTCTCTGTGCAATGTTGAAAGACTTGGTTGATTGTGGTAAGACAGGTTTTGAAAAGGATATTTCAGTAACTCAGTGGTAGATGTCAAAGCACTTATGTATATGTATATTGTGCAAGTGTCTGCTGCGTTTAATAAAAATTAAAGTTTTTAGTGAATAAATATTCAAATTACATGAAAACATTATGTATAAACCTATTATTTAAAAATGTGACATATAATTGTTTAAACAGTAGTTGATTTAGGAATCTATTAAAAATAGTTATGAAAAAATGAGGTCATCAATTCAAAACTTTTACATATCTTAAAGATATTATATATTTCTACATGAAAAAAGGAGCTGAAAAGACTGGAGCAAGCAAAATAATTTAAATATTTTATCTTCTCTATTTTTAGTGTCTTTTCCTTGTGGAGCATAAAATAGTCCCAGAATAAGCTGCCAGTCAAACGTCATCTACTCACCTTAACTAATGCATAGAAAGACAGGTAGGATCAGGAAGACCATTTATTCTTATAAGATGTGTAGCCATTTGCTTGGTTCAAGTGAACAGGTCTTAATTAGCAGAAACTCTCCAAGTTCCTTCAATAACTATGCTCTTGCCCTTCCAAAATTCAACAGACAGTGTGTGAAGTTCAAAGTAAAGCCAGTTTTAACAACCTCAAGTCTTCAATTTTTAAAAGATGATTCAGTGGTAACTTTAGTTAACTGGCTAAACCTCAGTCTTTAGAAATACGGAGTAGGCAGGAAGAAAGTGTAAGTGTCTTTTGCATATAAGCATTTTTTTCTTTTCCATGATTGCTTCCAAAGAGAATTAATTTTATCCTTGAAACCCCGTCTCAACTAAAAATATGAAAAAATTAGGTGGGTGTGGTGGTGGGTTCCTGTAATCTCAGCTACTTCAGGAGGCGGAAGCAGGAGAATCACTTGATCCCAGGAGGCAGAGGTTGCAGTGAGCCAAGATCACGCCATTGCACTCCAGCCTGGGTGACAAGAGCAAAACTCTGTTAAAAAAAAAAAAAAAGAGTTGTATAAAGTTGTATAAGTATATCTTGATAATTGAGACAGCATATATAAAAACATGTTAACGATTTGATATGTGAAAGGACAGATGCCTATTGATCCTAAATACATTGAATTGAAGAGTTGACTTGCAGGTATATTTCTCTCTAATGGCTGACTATTCAAACCTTGTGTGAGAAGAAAAGGTATTCGGAAACGGGCCGATGTGCTTAACTCTACAAAATGATAGCAGAGCATCAGATTAGCATCATCTCTATTCTTAGAAAAGAAATAAACTAACAATTTTCTAATATCACTGTATTTGAAAGAACAATTTAGACTATGAATGGTGGATCTACTTGAAATTCACAAACTACTTTGCTGTATCAAGGTTTTAGTTTTCAGGCAGGTCACATTATATTCCACACATGCATCTTAATATATGGTGTGTTTTTGTCATTATAATGTGGATGACATTATTCTGACTAAATTAGCACTATAATGGGGACCTATGATATATATGATGAAATTGTAAATTCTTTTCATAGGTTTTGAAAGGGTAATATTTGGGTTAATTTATACCGATTGTGTGGTCAGGATCAGATTAAGACCTCTGAGAACCGTAAATGTTAAAGGCATTATGGTACCTCCTTTCCTACCCCAGTATGTGTTTTACTTTGCATCTTTTCTTGTCAATTAAATAGAAAACCTCTGCAAGTGCGGGAGAAAGCCAGCTCTACAGCTGCGACATCAAGCCTCCCCTAATCTTCTTCCTTCATTCCTGCCTTCATGATTGACTCAAAGTAAAGCCTTAATATTATCCTGGAGCACATTTCTTCCATAAGTGGGTTTTCATACTGATTTTCTTTTTATTTTATTTTGATTTTAACTTTCTGTTATATCAATAATAATAAGCTTAGTTGTTTTATAAGCAGTCAAAATTTAAAGCATAGCGTTAATCAGCAACTCACAACAGTTTGCAAAAATTATTTGACCCAAAATAAATAGTGATAGAAAAAACAAGTGCCACAGAAATTTGCCCCAATGCATGACCTGCAATTTTGTAAACACAAAATCATCCTAAGTGTTGTGTTTTTGGAATAAGAATTTGGGATGATCAATGCAGGAACAGAAAACCAAATAACACATGTTCTCACTTCTAAGTGAGAGCTAAATGATGAGAACACATGGACCCATAGAAGGGAACAATACACACTGGGGCCTATCAGAGGGTGGAAGGCAAGAGGAAGGAGAGAATAAGGGAATATAACTTATTGGCACTAGGCTTAATATCTCAGTGATGAAATAATCTGTACACCAAACCTCCACAACACAAGTTTACCTGTGTAACAAACCTGCACCTGTACCCTTGAACTTAAAATAAAAGTTAAAAAAATAAATTTGAGATGATCTCCGAAAGTTCTACTTCATTCCAAGGATGAATAGCAAAAAGATCCTGAAGAATCTTTGCTACTTGGAAATCTTAATTAGAATATTTTAAATATATTTTTAAAGACATTTTTGACATTTGATCACTTCTCTAACTCTAGTAGGTAGGGTATGGTGCAAACAGTAGGAGAGGGATCTACTCTAAGACTTGAAGAGCCTAAACAAGGATCAGAGTGGAAGGCTGGATTGCTGATCCACATGGCTCCAATTCTCTTCTTGTGATCCCATCCCACACTAAATTTCCTCTCTTTTCACTTCCCTTCCTTCTCTTTTCACTTAACTCCTTACCGTTCTCCTCCTCTTCCCCCTTCTCTTTCTTGTTTTCTTCTCTTTCTTCTCTCACTAATTGTTATTTTATTTTATTCTCTGCTTACTCCCTTTCAAGTAGAAAACCAAGTTAGTACCATTTTCAGAAGTTTCCACTTTTCTGACTCTTGCCTTTAAACACTCCCCTGCGCTTCTTTGTCATGCTTCTGTTTTGCTGAAGCTTTGAAAGTATCTCTTAGAAAGGCCCTCCATAACCTATCTCAGGTTCTATTGTTTTCTCTCCTTTTTTTTTTTTTGAGAATAGTAAAGATTGCTTGATATATTTCAAGTGAGATGTGTTCCCTAAACTCCTGGAGTTTTATTTTACCCTTACAGATCCAATTGTTTTAACATATCTTAATAGAACACAGTAACATTTGGCTAATGAATATTAGACATGCACAGTAATTGAGGGCTAGCTTGTTTCAATCCCATTAGTAGGATCATATACTGACCCAGCTTTTTACTGTTTGCGAATAAAAAGCAACTTATGAAGCTTCTTTCCTAGTTTATTGTTGCCATAAAAATAAAACCCCAGTCAGACTATGTGGACTATCTTTGTTGAATATTAAATAAGTTAAGTGGTGACCCAAACCATTTCTCTCTCAAAAAAGAATGGGGAATTTATTTAATGGTACAGAATGATAAACACTAATGTAGCAATTACATAGTAATGTTCTCAAATATCCCAGTCTATACAGTAATGTAACATGTATGAAGCCCTGAAAAACTGTCCCAGAGTTTTCTCCTATTCTCTGGAAAGTGACTAGGAAATGTGCTCTACTAGGATCTGGCAACTGGCAAGCCCTCATTTCAACAAAGAAAATCTAAATTTTCTTTATGTGTCTCAGTTTTTGTCAGTGTTTGAGGCATGAACCATGTCTGATTTATTGGTTCTAAGTGTAGCATTGAGCAACAATGCAAGGAAGGAACAGAGAATAGAAGTAAACTGAGGCAGATCTTGAGAGCAAATGAAATTTCTTATTGGTTGAGTCAATTTTCATTAAAGAAAAATTACAGGAGCAAAATTATTAAGGAAGTTTCCAGTAGGAAGCATCTCAGAATAGGCTCTTGCCATTAAAAAATAAATCTTTTTTTTTTATTTTTGGTACAAAGGCCTAAAATAAATTCTTTGGATATAAGAGGACTTCCAATAACAATAATAAATTCAAACAGCAAAACCATATGGAGAAAAAAGAAAAAAAAAGAAGCTTCTCCAGTTATAAGTTAATACACAATATTCATAAAGTCATTCAATATATATCTCACTTAGCTGATGTTCCATTGTAAATATATTAGTAGGAAATACAAAAGACCATAATAAATCTTAAATTGCCATAATTAGGAAATATTTCTTAAATTACCATAATAACATCCCTATAAGTATGCTATGACCATCTTTATTTTACAAATGGAAAAGCAAATTCTAAGAGGTACTTATCTGCCTATATAAAATAATCTGCTTACTAAATGGCAGAATCAAGATTTGAACTAAAATCTCAATTCTAAATTCCTGTATTTGTCCTCAGAATCACATTGTCTAAACAAACAGAGCTAGAGATCAAGTCAGTGCAAAAAAAATGTAGTGCAACAGAATATTTCTTTGTTTTCTCTGCACTCAAGAAAAACTAAAATATTTTTAGTGCGAAAATATTCTTTTGCACTGGTTTCTAGCTTCCTCACAATCATAATGTATAATTATCCTTCTGTTGTTATTGTTTCTGTTTTCAATATCTGCAACTTTGGAATCCAACTAGTGTAAAACTCTCTTCACCTACTTCCAGATACAGAATTAACTCTAAACCTTTATTGATTTTGGTTTTGTGTATTTACTTAGAACAATTCAATCAGTCTGTACAAAGTGTACAATCATGTGATATTTTATTCAGAGAAAAAACAGAGTAACCATGAAAAGCACCCATTTGAGTCTTTAGGTCTTATGGTTTAGATTCACCTTTTTGCTGAGTAAAATGAATACTGAGAGAAAATGGAAGCAGAAAATAAGGATTTAAGGAAGAAAAGTGGGAAGGAAGAGAAATGCTCAGGATCCAGACCCTTGGCTAGAGCTGAGTAAAAAATCTCACAAAAAAAGGAGATTTTGCTTCATTTTCTTCTTCTCTATGGTCTGCCCTCCGTGCTAATGAGAAACCCCCAGCTCCAGAACTAATATCCTCACTCTCCACTCATGAATCATAACGGACTCAGTGAGGCTCCCACTCTCATCCTGTATCCAGTATGGCATTGCTATCTGCCCTCTGGGAGACTTGAGTCAATTCCCACTTTCTGCCTTTGCTTCTGGTCAAAGAGAATGGGGAAGATACTAAGGATGAGAAAAGAGGTAATGATGAAAGATGAAAGATCTGTGAGAAGACCATTCATGGAGAAACCCATGCCCTGGAAAGAGAGAGAATGAGGGAGACATAGAGGTTGTTGGGGCATGAGGTTTGGTCAGGTGGTGAAGGCCTAGAGTTCTGTGGAAATATGATGGAAACTTCATTTTCATAGCATCTGTTAAGCATGTGTATTTTCCAGAGCGTGGTTCATGTGTCCTTGGCAGGGAAAGCTGATGTCAGCACAATCTCAGCATTACCACTGGGATATGAATAAAGCGTAAATCAGGGATTAAATGGGAGACTTGCTAATAAATTTGAGGGAGATACACACTCTGATTAGAATGGGCCATCCTCTAGATTTAAGCAAAGAAAGTCAATGAAAAACACTTCAGATAATTTCTCAAGCAAAATGGTGGCATTATTCACGGCAACAGGGGATTTGTTTATGGGAAATTGTGTGTGAGAGAGAATACCCAGATAGCCTGGTGAAGAGCGGCTGCCCAGCACACAGCACAAAGTGGCAAGAAGCATACCGTGTCAGGTCAGAGGACACCATCGAGACAACTCCAGGCCTGCCCTTGTTTAGGATTCAGCTGTTCTTCTCTCCACTCTCCTCCTCATCCATTTTCCCTGGTCCTTTCTCCAGAGTAATTTATTTCTTAACAGTCTTCTACCCCATATCTCTTCATTGCTTCCCCTGATTGCTGCCAACAATTCGCTGTCCATCCATAACTCCAAGCCAGTCCCACCTTTCTAGAAACTAAAGGATTTTTCACAACTGCTTTGGTCAATCAGTGTAGCTCCTTACAGTATATTTTCTAAGACTTTCCTCATGCCACTGAAAACCACCTAGCAGCATCCCGAGGAGCAGATGGTCCCGTCAAATTTGTAGGAAATGACCCGTTCTGTACCAATAAAGAGTGTGACAACAGGTTTGGCATGAAATGGTTAAGGATTGGAGTAACTTTAGCTCATCCATTTACGCCCTTTCACAGTTAGATAAAATAACAATTTCAGAACCTTGAGTTAAGATGGAATTAGGAGAGAGAGAGAGGAAAAAAGAAAAAAAAAAGAGAAGAATGGAAAAGAAAAGGAAGGAAAAGAAGGAACAAGACCAAAAGGGCAGACAGAACATCAGTGACAGACACAGGGGGAGCAGGAGAATGGAAAATGGAATTAACATGTTTGGAGGGATCTGAGTGGTCAATATGTCTTTTTTTCAGAAAAGCAAGAGCAATGCATCTTTTCTCTCTTCTCAACTATTGCAGAATTCAAAATAATACTATGAAGTAAATGTGACTCTTACAATAGAAAGACTGCCTTACTTAACTTCTCCAGCCAAAATCTCTTTCATGAGAATGCACTCTACATGAGGCAGGGGAACCCTGATATCTCTTCACCACTCCTTGTCATTGGCAGGGCACCGCAATCCAAATAGACTGGAAGAAGTCCATTGGAGATGTCTTATTCCAATGAATACTATTAACTTCTGTTTCAGGCAGCTTACAAGCCTGGGGTGTGAGGAGATTTGGAGAGGGCCAGCACAGCTGAGGCTTTTATTGGTTATGGCAGGCTTTTAGCCAGGCCCTGCTGCTTTAAAAGCGAACAGCATCTTTGTGCTTGCAGAGGTAATGGAGCTATTAGAGCACTACTCAAGAGTAAGAAAAAACCAGTACTCATCCCACCCCCACACAATGGGTTAACACAGTTACAAGGTAAGATAAGCCTCCTCCCTCCAGCCATGGCTCCTCCTTTCTGTTTTCCCTTGATGTGACAGTGAGCTCATGAAGTCAAGCTGCGTAAATCTCAGGAGAAGTAAATGAGGGAGAGACAGAGAAAGAGGGAAAGAAACGGGACTGCAATAAAATAGAACGAAGAATGGTCAAGAGTGAGTTTGAAAAAAACAAAGAAAAGAGAAGACACACTAAAATAAAGTAAAGGGGCCAAATAGCACTCAGATGACAGGGGAATGAAGACAGAAAGTGGGATTCAAAGGAAAGGAGAGGGGAAAACAAATTGGTCTGAATCCTCTCTCTTGAGAACTGATGGCCTCGGTTCAGCCTCACTATTTATGGCCTGAACTGCATAATTTTATCTTTGTTCTTTGTAACAAGGAGAGACTAGAGCCCTTTTTGTCACCAAATCTAACTGCCACACATAGGGATACTTCATAGTCCTGGGCTGGATGATTCCCTTTGAAAAGGGTTGAGGGGAGGAAGGATGTTTCCATCCAATGAATAATGGTTTTAAAGTGTTGGAAGGAAAATGGGATCTTTTCTTGGAGTTAAGGAGAAAAGGACTTAATGAGCTTCTTAGGAGTGTCTTTAATAACTCAGGATGCATTCCTTCACTCTTCACCAACCTCAAGGGGCTTCAGAGAAGGACAAGAAATTAGAATGGATAACTCAAGAGAGAGAGGTCTGGGTAGGATCAGTGGCCATGACCTGAGTTTGGGTTTTGAGTACTGCACAGCTGCTCTCCAGTCTCCCTCAGGACTTCAAACCCCATCCCTGTTGGCTGTTAGCAAGCCTAGCCTGTCCAGGTGACACCTAACTTGCAGTGTGCCTGGCCTGTTGAGCTGCTGTCCATGGTTAAGCTTTCTTTTGGGGCTACACACAGAGAAACTGAGAAAGGGAGGACAACAAGGATGTGGATAGGGAATAAAAAGGAAGAAGAACTAAAGGAAGACATCTTTCACTAAATGATTTTCTATAGGGACCCTCAACCCCAATGACTGTCATGTCTTTCTTCTTTCCTGGTACCTTTCCCAAGATTGCCTTTTTTTGTTTTATGTCTCACACTCTCCTTGGCCTACAATTTCTTGTATCTTTCATATTTTTTCTTTCTTTTTCTGTTGTTCCACTTTTGTGAAATGTCAATGTTTATTTAACCTCTGTGCAGCCTGCTATGAAGGATACAACAAAATGTCTGGTGGGGCTCTGACTTCTGGGAGCTTACAGTCATACGGATGAAACAAAACTAATAAACATGACTCATTTAGCAAACAATAGTCTGACGCTAAGATGTGTCAGAGAAATGCAAAGTGAAAAGTATAATTGTATTGTTGTTCACACTTCAGGCATGAATGCAACTACCCATGATCCCAAACTCCAGGCCTTGGTTTAAGTTCATTTCACTCAGCTTCTGAAGGACCACTCAGAGTTTAAAGTGTCAGCAAGAAAAGAGAGCTTGGCACATATTCTCCCAAACACATCATCAGGGCCAGGCAGAGCTTTGGAGCTCACTTTAGGTCAGGAAGCCCATAGATCTGACTAATGAATGATCCTATGTTATCAGACAAAAAGAAGTCTCTCCATTTTTCATTAACCCCCACCCCCACTCTTTTCTATAAATTAAGAGGAAGGAGGAAAGGGGAAAGGGAAAACAGAAGAGGA
Organism: Homo sapiens; assembly: GCF_000001405.40. Taxonomy (NCBI): domain Eukaryota; kingdom Metazoa; phylum Chordata; class Mammalia; order Primates; family Hominidae; genus Homo; species Homo sapiens. Next base: position 117,252,030 of record NC_000003.12, on the reverse strand, counting down.
GGAAACCTGTTACCATGAGCAGATAAAGAGGAAACATCAATACATGTGCACACACACAAAATAAGATGCTTTTGTTTTTCACCTATGTGTTTAGCAGGTAGATTATCCAGGATATTTGTTCTGGTGCCCAACATCCCGGGCTATGTTGCCTTCGAGTTACTCACCAGAACAAATGCAGGAAATCCATATTTTCCATGAGAAGAAAGAAAGTCAGTTAGGCCAAAGGAGAGAAGAGCTCATGCGGACTCTCACCTTCTGTGACCGTGGTTCTAAAGTGTGAAGAGGAGAGCCAGAGATACATGTTAGGTATCTAATTTATGCCGTATCCTCACCCTATTTATTTTTGCCCCACTCCTTCTCCAAACGTACAGTGAACCTTGAGCAACAAAATGAAACCTGAATAGATGGCAAAGACAGGAATCACAGCAGATTTTGCTGGTTACTACAAGCTTGAAAGATGGGTCTGGGGCCGGGGGGTATTGTTTTCCAGCCTCATGCTAAATTTTCAAGGATCCCCTAATATTGCCTCCACTTTTAATAATGAAAATATTATTAGATTAGTGACTTTCAGCAAATAGACCCAAATCTTTAGCCTATAATGCAATATATAACTAAAAAGCAAATACCTCATAAGTATTCTGTCATCCCAACTCTGCAAGCATGGATGGTGTTATTTTTTGGTGTAACTTTATAATCATTTCACTTCAATGGATATTCATCAGCTGATGCCGTAACTCTGCCATGCTACATATTGTATCTCTAGACCTCAGAATTAGAAGTGGGTTGAAATGGTTCAAAGTTCAGTGTTCCTTAATCCCAAAACAGAACCCCAAATCATTTTTGAAAGTTTAGAACATTTGAGTGGCTATGAATTCCTGTTTTATTAACTACACATACAGCCTTATGTCATTTATAAATTTGACTATTTCAAGGATAAGGTCTCATAAACTCTCTTAAATAAGAACCGACGTCTTTCTCTTTCTCATATGTTTAAAACCTAGAATATCCCTAGAAAGTTTAGTTTCCTTAGGCCTACAGCAGTTTTCCAAAGCCAATGAAGAGCTTTGATAAAGAGATGGGATGTTTGTTCTCAATAGGTGTACTTATCCCTGCAATTTTCAGTTCACCTGTCAAGTCCAGCGCAACAGTCCCAGCCTAGGAAACTAAGCTCATCACCGCTGCTCCTCTGAGAAGAGGCCCTGCAATGTTCTGTAGAGGGTCTACAGGTCAAGCAACTAAAAAAGATCAGAATCATCAAAATTGGACCCCAAAAGATGTGAGAAAACAAATAATTTGCTTTCCCAAGAGTAAAACAAAAAAATAAATAATAAAGCGAAAATAGAGGTTAAGAAAACTGAACAAAAGCCAAAGTATGTTAGTAAAATTTACTCTTTCCTCCTTATCGAAAAATATCCACCTTTATCAAAGCCCATGAAATTTTGCCTCTGGATAATAGATTTACCTTCCAAGCTAATTTCCCTGCCTCTTATCCAATTGAAAGATTGATTTTAAGATTTTAGATCAAGACACATGAAACTGCCATTTTTAAAGATAGAAAAGATCAAATATTGGCAATTTCAGATGGTTCAATCAGAGACTTCACTTATTTCGTGACATTCCTTCCGTGTGCAAAACTCTATAATGTCTCACCAATAATTTCTTGATTAAAACAGAAACTATGAAATGTGCAACTCATGAGTTCCTCCTTACCTAACAGATGTTATGCCTTCCTACCTGTTACCCAGTAAAGACCATCTCCATAGCACCCTCTCTAGGTGCTGCAAACTCTGCCTCTAATTTTTTAAAAAATTAATTTCTATTCTTTTATAATTCTCCATCCCCTCTATCTACTATGTAACTTCTAAGCTTTATTTAAGTACTTTCACACAATCCATATTAAGCAAGAAGACTCCATGACAAAATTCATACTTCACTGAAACTTCCCTACCTAGAATATTTCCTCAAATATATGATTGGCTCAATAATATCATATTGGTTCATATATAAGCCAATGTAATTAGAATATGATAAACTCAATAATATCACAAGTAAAGATACCTATTTTTTAGTAAAACATCATTATTTCAATTGTGAATGCATTTCGTATACCTGACTAAACCTTAAGCACTTTAAAACATTTTACCTTTTCATTTATCTACATATTTATTAATTTTGTTTGATCTATCCCTAGTATAACCTGGCATAGTTTGGAGACAGCAAAACCAACCATACTAGGTAAATCAATCCTTCTCCAACAGTTCATTTCTGTGTAGTAACCACAAAATGCCAATCAAGACATTGTGAGCAGCCTTTAAATAGCAACTTTCCTTCCAACTCTCTGGGACTACAATTTGTGAATATATATTGCTCCAGTAAGTACTGGTTACGGGTCATAAAAGAAAGAAAAACAACACAACAGCAATCAGCCAGACTCTCCTTCCCAAACCTGCCTCCAGTGCTGATTGTTCCAAATCATTACTTATCCAATCAGTCTGTTAGTAAAGTGGCTGGCTAAAGACACCTACCAGGCACACAGGAAATTACTACTATGGGAGATGATGAAGCATCATTGTAACAATAAGAGCAAAAAGCCATTGCGTGCTTATTAAATGCCAGGTGCCATTTTAAGCTCTTCAGAAACCTTATCTCATTTAATCTTCACAAACTCCATGAGGGTTACATACTTTTTCAGTTGAGGAAATTGAGGCAGAGAGTGACTGAGCCACTTGCCAGTTCAATTACTACTAAGTAGTAGAGTGTAGATCATATACTAGAGCTGCTTTCTTCTAAAACATGGTCTTCTGTAAACTGGAGGATCCTTATAAATCACTGAGTCCTAATCCAAGCTGAATGACTTGCCTAAGGTCACAAAATGACTCACTGGCTGAGCTAAAACTGAAATACTGGCCTTCACTGTTAATTGACTTCTAACTCTGCACTGTTCCAACGTGGTACACAGACAAGTTGAGAAGAGTGAAGTTCAGGAAGAAGAAGAGTTCTATTTTCACCTCGTGGGTAAAGTGTTTATTATTTTTAAAATTCCACTCTTGAGCTCATGCCTTCTTTAGATGACAGGTGAAATCTTTCCCTAACACTAGGAAAAATTGGAAAAAAATGGGAAACATGAGGCTTTATTCTGTACCAGGCCCTGTCTTTCTTTTGGAGCCATTTCAGGTTATAAATATGCATTCTTCATATGTAATTTTTTTCCATTGGCTGTAGGGTTCCAGTGGCCTTTCAGAGAGCGGAGAAAACTGTCCACAATTGGTATTTCTCCAAGTGTAAGAGGAATTTGGCCTACAAATGATTCCAACGCAGTTCATGTTTTCAAAGAACTCGGACAAGTAGATGCGTTCTTAAAACAGATGCTGATGAACAGACACCAAAATTGAGTAGTCCTGTTTTATATCTTACTGAGATTTTTGTAATTAAAACATATACACAAATTCTTTACAACTAAGAACAGAAAGCCATCATAAGGCTGGCTTTGGCCGCTGTTGTTGTCTTTCTTGATGTCTTGCAGGCTACTTAAATTTGGTCTCATTTATTTAACTGTTCTTAGACCTCAGAGTTTAACAGACTGTGTGACTCTCCCTTTGTCTGGATCTTAAGAGGAGGGGTGTGGCTCCCATGCCAGCTCCCTCTCCCACACCCCATCACACTCTGCTCAATGCTTCCTGGCATTGAGCTATCAGAACATGCATCATTGGTCTGTTCCATTCTCTCACTTGCTCTGCCCTTTCTTCCTCATTTAAAGCTCTGTTCTTTTCTCTTCTAACCTCTCTGAATTCATGCCCCAGGCAAGAAAAAAAAAAAAACTACAGAAATACAAGCACAGAGTTACCAAATTATTTAGAGTATTAACATTGTTTTCTGAGCTTTATGTCCTATTCCTGATGTTTGCAATGGGTCCTATGGAAAATTAGTTGATGTACTTCATTTTATTCATATGCAAAGTGGGGATCACAAAGGTGCCCTTTGTCTTAAAAGATCACAGTGATATGTTACAACCCCATGTTCCCAAAGAGCTGTATTGCTTACACTTGATGCGTGATCTGAGCTGGTGCACACTGAACTAAGGAGCAGCACAGGGTAAGGAAGCCACGCCTGACTGTGGTGCCCAGTGCCCTAATGAGATTTCCCACAATGGACACACATCCTACATTTTGTTTTATTTAACTTTAATTGAAAGCTTAGGAAACGCTTCATGCTTCATAAATGTTCTGTTATTTTCAGATCAATCTACTCTACTGGAAAACTTAATAAACAAATAGATAATGGTCCTGCTGAGTTGTTCAACATTTCTTATTCACATCTCACCAGCTTCATGCCCTGCTCCCAGATCCTCATCTCTCATTCTGTTGTGGTTGTTCATTTTTTTAAACACGAATTTTCAGAAAAGATAAGCTCTGCAGCAAAAAGGGTGATAAAGACCAGAGCAAACCCTTTCTGAACCACTTTGCATTTGACTAGTTTTTGAGTTGTGTGTTAATATTCCATGTTAACACATTTTTTGCAAAATAAATAAATAATCAGAACAGAATTATTTTCTTCTTCATTCAGTTTTTTTTTTAAGAGAGCAGAAAAGTGTTCTTGGAAATATCTGCCTCCAGGCATGTATGTGATGTGTCATTCTGGCTTGTTATATTCATCTCCTAATGGCCCCATGTAGGTGGCATGTGAGCTGTGACTAATAAAAGGCAAACTTCCAGGTATCTCAGGATTTTGCCATGGTGCTGTCTTTGCCTTGATGCTTCTACATAGCTCACTTGGAAAAGTTTAAAACTTAATAAAATGAAATAGATTAAATACAGTCACATGTCACATAGTGATGCTTTGGTAAAGAATAGACCCCATATATGACGGTGGTCCCATAAGATTATAATACCATATTTTTACCATATATTTTCTATGTTTAAATATGTTTAGATTCACAAACATTTACCACTGTGTTAATTGCATAATGTATTGCCTAATACAATTGCCTGCTGTATTCAGTACAGTAACATGCTCTGCAGGTTTGTAGCCTAGGAGCAATAGGCTATACCATATAGCCTAGGTATAGGCTAGGTTTGCATAAGTACTGTCTAGGTTTGCATAAGTACACTCTGATGTTCACACAATGATGAAATCTTCTAAAGACATATTTCTCCATCCCCGTTGTTAAGTGACACATTACTGTGCATAAAATAGACCAACCAGTGATAAGAGTGACTGTAGAGTTGGAGAGCCCAAATAAATTCTGCTCTTTTTTCAACTAGAATAATGAGAAAACCCAGCTATTTTCTCAATCTCAAAGCCCCTGGATGGGAAAATTCATGGGCAGGATAGAGAGGGAAATAATTATTCCTTTGGCATGGGAATTTTATTTTATTTAGTATTTATTAAATATGAAGGACTCAAAACAGTGCCTGGCACCTAATAAACACTAAAAAGTAATGATAATAAAGTATATATTCCATGTGTTTAGGACAGAAGTGGCCCATCCCAGCCATTTGTTAAATAATACTTAATTTTCTAAGATGAATAAATGGATAGTTTTATTTTCTATGAGTCCCCAGAAAAGTGGTAGACAATTTTCAGTGTTGTACCTACCCCTGCACATCAATTCTCTTGAGCCCCATTCTTCAGAGATTCACTAATATAGTGCTAGCCAGTCAGAACCATATTCAAATCACTGAAAGATGCTAGGGATTCAGGATGAGGAGATCCATGCCTCAGTGGCCTACTGCAAATATAAGGGCTTCCAAGTCTTTTGTATAAACCAGAACCAGCATCATATTCCTCAGAGCTCCTTGTCTGAATTCCATACTTACCCTAAATGGCTATACTTTGACATTTTCAACAAGACATGAGTAAGAAACATTTCAAGGGCAGAAAAAGGAGAAATAAATGGGAAATGCAAAGACCAATAGAGAATACTTACTTCTTGTGTTGGTTAAGGACCAAAGTCATTTCTGTGCACCTGATGTTTGTCTGATGGTTGCTTATTTAATCCATACTGTATTCCTCATGCTGCTAATAAAGACATACCCAAGACTGGGTAATTTATAAAGGAAGGAGGTTTAAATGAGTCACAGTTTAGCTGGCTGCGAGGCCTCAGGAAACTTACAATCATGTCAGAAGAGGAAGCAAACACATCCTTTTTCACATGGTGGCAGGAAAACGTGCAGAATGAAGGTGGGGTAAGAGCCCCTTATAAAACCATCATATCTCACGAGAACTCACTCACTATCATGAGAACATCATGGAGGTAACTGCCCCCACGATTCAGTTGCCTCCCACCAGGTCCCCGCAACGACATGTAGGGATAATAACTACATTTCAAGATGAGATTTGGGTGGGGATACAGCCAAACCATATTACATACAATTTTAAGAACTGAGATCATAAATTATTTCAGAGAAACCAGAATACATAGCATGCTGTCTAAATTGATAGGTGGGAAAACTTAGGTCAGAGGATTCTAAATATCAAAGAAAAAGTAGATGAAATTTTTAAAAGCAAAATTAGAAGTGGTTAGACCACAAAACATGCTGACAACGCAGACTGCCTTAGTTGCCTTTGATAGTTATCAATGAATGTCATAACTTTCACTCCTCCACTTTATACAGAAAAATGTTAGTATGATAACTCAACTGGGGAGACCTTACATAACAATATTAAGTCTGTGGCCGCATATACCATTAGCACGTTCAGCACTATGACTCACCTTGTTAAATGGCCCTTTATGTAGGCTATCATGGAAAAATACTAAAAAAAATGAGATCATTTTTGTGTGTTCTAGGGTGATTAGGGCTCTTATGAAGAAGGGTACTTCTTATAAGAAGTATCAAGTGGGCTAGGACACAGACTCACAGTTAGACAATTCCATAGTTCTTGACTTACATCTATTATCTGTTTCTGTGAATAAATGTAACCCCGTGAAACCCCATGAAAATATATGGGGTTAGACACAGGAACAGAAAACCAACATCACATTCTCTCACTCGTAAGTGGGAGTTGAACGAGAACACATGGACACAGGGAGGGGGACATCACACACCAGGGCCTGTTCAGGGGTGGGGAGCAAGGGGAGGGAGAGCATTAGGACAAATACCTAACACATCCGGAATTTAAAACCTAGATGACGGGTTGATGGGTGCAGCAAACCAACATGCCACATGTATACCTAAGTAACAAACCTGCACGTTCTGCACATGTATCCCAGAACTTAAAGTATAATTTAAAAATATATATATATATATATATACATGGGGTTAGGTTACACTTGTCTCTGCTGTATAATGCTGTCTCTATTATCTTTTTATATAAAAATGAGTAAATAGAGGAAAAATAAACAAAAGAAATGAATGTGATTATGCTTTTATTTGTACGTGTACTTTATATGTGACTTTGGTTTTTTCCTCCATAATAAAACTCCATTAGCCCATCTGAGATGTTTTGGGCAACAGGGTGCTAGATACACTTATTTTTACCAAAGTTTAAAATAACTGCAGCACCCATGGAAAAATGAAAAAGGAATTTTTGCTAGAGCCATGGGTAAGCGTATCTGCCTTTCTGAGAAACATAGTTCAAGCAAGTCTGACCAAGGACAATGAGAAAGGATAGAGGAGCAAAAGATGGAAAAGGGCATGCTGGGGAACCTGTAAATGTGCTTGACCTTAAATTAATGCTTAAGGTATGCATGAGGAAGGAGGAAGGTCAAAGATTGACTAAGCCTTGAGCAGATATGTTTGTTAGACACATGGCTATGTGTAGATGCTGTATCAGTATGTGACATCACAGAAAAGGAATAGAGAGGAAATGAAGGAGGAAGTGAACACAGCTCTGCCTTTACTTGTATTTCTGCACCAATTAAGTACAAAAGTGCTCTCGACCATGTATCAGCAGTCATGGTATGGATCTCACCAGGGAAAGATTTGCAATTTCTCACAAAAGCCAAGTAAGAAAGGTAGGCTTTGAGAAACTTACAGTAAATCTCCTCATTAATGAAAATCTGCTTTTAAGGTGATTTGCTTTGGTTCACAGCTTATTTTCAAGATCAGGATTAATATTAATTGTAAATTTATGGGAAGTGGAAATACTTAAGAAACAGCAGGTTCTCTGTGCATAGCTTTGTCTGTCCTCTGGGGATACATGCCTTGGAAGATGTGGCTTGCACGACAGGTTACATAACTGGTATGATTATGAACTGTGCATGCATTATTGATGTCTGGAACAGCTGCATGCTTGTAAAGGTTTGCATCTTGAAGTTGAGATAGAGTCCCCTGGGCATTATGAAGATTTGCATAGGGACTTCAATATAGTTCACGTCTTCATGTTCTCTGTAATCATAATAACAACTATATTAATAGTAAATACTTAGACACTTAATATATACAAGGCACAGTTTTATTCATTTAATCATCACAATAGCCCTATGAATTATATAATATTATTAATAATAATAATTTAGAAATGAGGAATGTGATCCACTGAAATGTTAAGAAATTTTCCAAGGTCATACAGCTAGGAAGTGCTGGAGGCACATTTTGAACTCAAACAGAGTGGTTCCAGAGTCTATTGATCAACCATGGGGCTAACCTGCCTGTGCACACATTCTAGAAATGGAATTACATAAATATTGGATGAATAGTGAGTTGTGTGTGTAAGTTACATCCATTAAAATAATACTTATCCAATATAGCATGTATGAGAGCTACATAAGAGATACCATATTTCCTCAATTTTAAGACACACATTTTCTTCATGAATTAATATTTCTGAAATTAAATTGCATCTTATCATTGATGATAAGAAAGTATCATGTTGTAATTCATTTGCTTCTATGTTTTTCTTTCTAAGTGACTCAAAATTATGATGTGTCTTACAATCAGTGGCCTCTCGTTGTCAATATAATAGAGAAAGTAATTTTTAATGCCTAAATACAGTAAACTAAAAAGTGGTATATGGTTGCAGATACAAGAATGTTGCTCGATGTGTATATGTTTGTTTTCTGCCTGAAGTTTGATATAACTGCACTGACTCAAAAAACACAGGATGCACTTTTCCTCTGGGAAAGCGTCCACTGATAGGGTAACAAATGTGGAGTTATATCATTAAGAAAATCAGAGTACAAAATGAGAAAGAAAGGAAAAATTAATATAGAATATGTGAAGAATAGAGAATTACATATGAAGTACAGAGAAGTAAATGAGTAGCAAAGGGATGACTATTTCATAAAGTGAAACAATGACTAAGAAAGCTTTGGAGTTAGAGTCAAGCTCACCTTGGTTAGAATTCCATCTCCATCCGTACTAAATACAACTGTATAAGTTGCCATGCTATACATAGACCCTATCCCGGAGGGAACATGCATCCTATTTTCTAAATTCAGGGGAGATGCATCAAAGCTCTGGAAGAAAACAGACATATATACATCTAGCAGTACTCTTTTCATTCATATGCACATGTTTCCTGACCTTTAGAAGCTTCACTTTCCTAACCCGAGATAAAGGAAAAATACATCCACCTTGTACGCATTTTTCTAAGAACAAATGAGAAATATTTGCAAAGTTCTTGGCAGTGTAAGAACTCATTAAATTATGTTGGTTATTATTTTTTGACAAATGGGCTGAATCAGAAATGTTGTATTCTGTACCCTGTGCCTTTAGGTTCAATTATTGTTTAATGGTATCTAACGTTTCACTGTATCCTGTTACTGGCAGCATTCCTGCAGCATTAATTATATACCATCCTGCCAGCATTTCTATGAGCAAAAAAAGCTTTTGACAAGAGGGCACTGGCTCCCTTTCTGGGCATTTAATTTTAAATGTTTTTATGTATATATTATTTATATGAATCAGAATTCATGAAATCTTTCATAGTAATTAAAATATAGATACATTCTCTTTAAAAATTTCAGATTATCAATCATATGTCTAGTCAGTAAATTCGGTGCAAAATAGTATTCAGATATTATCCTTATTTAAGGTTCAGCATCCATGTAATACTACCTACCATTGTCTAGAAACAAATCTGAAATACAAACTTGTCTAAAAATTTCAAAACTTTGTATCCCCAGTGGGCTTCGTTGAGACTCTCTGCACACTGATACCAAACCATTCCTATTATTGGAGTGAGAGGAGTGGGCTGTGGAGCTTAAGCATGTTTCTAATGTTAAGGATGAATCTGTATTTTAATCAGAGCAGAGTATGCATGATTCATATTTTTTAACTGAAGAAATCAAAGCTTGGAGTGATTAAATGATTTACTCGGTGACTACCTCTTCTGTGAGTGTTTTCTGTCACTTGTTAGATGCAGTTGCCCGATTTGGATAAGAAGATGACATGGAGAAGGGACTAAGTCATAGACTCATGAGATTGACTTCTAGTTCCTCATGTCTACTCTGTCTCCCCAAAAGGAAGAATAGGTGGGTTCATCAAATTCAGACAATATCATGAACTAAAGAGCATACTATTTGCTTTTTCAGGACTTACACTAGAATAAAAAACTGATGCCTTAGTTTTATTTATTATTTCTATTAGTACTCAGATTTAAACAAGATCTTAGAGATATAATGTCCAGCTTTTATCTTCTGAGTTTTGATGGCAGATGCTTAGATCTGGGAATATTTAAGCCTGAATGACTACTGCCAGGAATATTATAGGCAGATCATATCCTTGCTACAGTTGAAAATCAAGTAACTAGCCCTTTGCCTGCCATACAAAAGGTATGTAAAATATATATATATTTAATGACATTAATTTTCTAATTGAGTCAAATATGTTCTATTACATATAAAGTTTATTCAAAATCTAGTGTTCTTTATTAGATCAAAATCTAATCTGTATATACATAGGTTCTATAACAATTTTAAAATTCTGTATCTTTATCAAATTATTTTCTCATCTTCTCCTAGGAAACTGAATGGTATTAGTGAAAGAGGTCGTGATTGGGGTTATCGTAGCTGAATTCAAATACCAACCACACTGCTTTTGTGTTGTGCAACTTTGGGGAGATTATTAAGTTGACTGAGCTTTGAATCTAAGTTTGTAAAATGGAAATGATAATACCTATTTCCCAGAGCTATTATGAAGATTAAACAAATTTATAATATGGCATATAATAGGAACTCAACATATGCTACTTCCTATAATCTTCTCTCTAATCAGAAAATTTTAGGTTATCAGCCTTCTGCTTAAGCATAAACTGGACAAAGCTAGTTAGCGAAGAAGAATTTAAAAATAAAGAAAAGCAAAATTCTGTGCAACCATTCAATTAACTCTGCTGTATTATACTCTGAAATTGGTTCTTAAATCTTGTGTTACAGTACAATTTATGAAAGGCATATTAGCAGTATAGTAATATGCAATATATTATGCTGTTCATCATTTTTAAATTTTTTTATTTTTTATTTTTGTGGGTATATAGTAGGTGTATATATCTATGGAGTTGAGATATTCTGATACAGGTATACAATGCATAATAATCACATCAGAGTAAGTGAGGTATCCATCACTTCAATACTTGATCCTGTCTTTGTGTTAAAACAATCCAATTAAGCTCTTTTAGTTATTTTTAAATGTACAATAAATTATTGCTGACTGTAGTCACCATGTTGTACTATCAAACACTAGATCTTATTCATTCTATCTAACTATGTTTTTGTACCCATTAGCTATCCCCACGCCCCTACCCTACCCCCTACTACCTTACCCAGCCTCTGGTAACCATCATTCTACTTTCTATCTCCCTAAGTTTAATTGTTTTAAATTTTAGCTCCCATAAATAAGTGAGAACATGCAAAGGTTTTCTTTCCCTGGCTTATTTAACTTAACATAATGACCTCTAGTGTCATTCATGTTGTTGCAAATGACTGTATATTTTTCAAATAACCTGTCTTCAAGCTCACTAATTCTTTCTTCTGCTTGATCAAATCTGCTGGGAAGAGACTGATGCATTCTCTATTATGTCAGTTCCATTTCACAGCTCCAGAATTTCTGCTTGATTCTTTTTAATTATTTTCATCTCTTTGTTAATTTTATCTGATAGGATTCTGGATTCCTTCTCTGTGTTATTTTGAATTTCATTGAGTTCCTCAAAATGGCTATTTTGAATTCTCTATCCGAAAGGTCATATAACTCTGTCTCTCTGAGATTGGTCACTGGTGCCTTATTTAGTTTGTTTGGTGAGGTCATGTTTTACTGGATGGTCTTGATGCTTGTGGATGTCCATTAGTGTCTGGATATTGAAGAGTTAGGTATTTATTGTAGTCTTTGCAGTCTGGAGTTGTTTATACCCATCCATCTTGAGAAAGCTTTCCAGGTTTAAAGGGTCTTGGGTGTTGTGATCTAAGTTTCTGGTCACTGCAGCCCTATCTGCATTAGTGGGCATCTTAAGCCCAGTATCAGCTGTGGCTTTTGCAGACTCATAGGGGTATCACCTTAGTGGTCGTGGATTAGATCTGGAAGAACTCTCTGGATTACCAGGCAGAGATTCTCCTTCTCTTCCCTTACTTTCTCCCTAATAAATGGAGTCTCTCTCTCCTGCGCTGAGCTTCCTGAAGCTGGGAGAGGGGTAACACAAGCACCCCTATGGCCACTACCACTGGGACTGCACTAGGTCGGACCTGAAGCCAGCACAGCACTGGGTTTCACCAAAGGCCTGCAATAACCACTCCCTGGCTACTACCTGTGTTTGCTGAAAGTCCCCAGCCTCTACAATCAGCAGGTGGCAAAGCCAGCCAGCCCTGTGTCCTTCTCTTCAGGTTGGCAAGTTTTCTTAGGCCCTAGGCAGGTCCAGGGATGCCACCCGGGAGCAAGGTCCTGGAGTCAGAAACCTCTGGAATCTACCTAACACTGTTCTACAGTGTCTGAGTGGGCACACAATGTCACAAGACGAAATCCCTCCCACTCTTCCCTTCCCATTCCACAATAGGAGGAGCCTCTCGCCATGGCTACTACCACCCCAGGCCTGCAGCAAATACTGCCTGGCTGCTGCTGATGTTTATTCAAGGGCCAAGGGCTCTTCAGTCAGCCTATGGTAAATGCTGCCAGGCCTGGGACTGTCCTTTCAGGGCAGTGAGCTCGCCTTGGCCCAGAGTGGGTCCAGAAATGCTGTCCAGGAGCCTAGTCCTGAAATCAGGGACCCCCAAGAGCCTGCTGGGTGTTCTACCTTACTGTGGCCAAGCAGGTATCTAGGCTGCAAGAAAAGTTCCCTTTACACTGCACTATCCTTTTCTCAAGCATAAGGAGTCCCTCTTTATAGCTACCATAGCTGGGAAGATGCTGGGTCACACCTGAAGCCAGCACATCTCTGAGTCTTACCCAGGGCCCACAGCAAGTACTGACTGGCTATCGCTGCTGACTATTCAGGGACCAAGGGTTCGTTATTCAGTAGATAATAAATCCTGCCAAGACTGGGTCCTTCTCTTCAAGAGAGTGGGTTCCCTTTTGGCCCAGGGTGTGTCTGGAAATATTGTCTGGGACTTAGAGCCTGGAATGTGTGCCCCAGGATTCTGCCTGGTGCCCTATTTGTTATCCAAGTTGCAAAACCAGTCCTCTTTACTCTTCTTTCTCCTTTCCTCGAGTGCAAGGAAGGAGTCTCTATCAAAGCTGGGAGCTGCACTGCCTGGGGCTGGGGGAGAAGTGGCACAAGAACTTACTTGGCTGGCCTGGCTCATGTTTCCCTGGGTCGCATGCCCCTCAAGCCCACTGGCTCTGAGCCCGGCACAGCACCAGGGCTTGCCTAGGAATTGCAGCCCTTATGGCCTAGACTGCCTTTCAAGTTTATTTAGAACCTCAGAGCACTTTAGCCCTCAGTAAGTGAGGCTTGCTGGAACTCAGGTTACAACTGCTGGGATTGATGATTCCCCTTTGGCTAGGGCTGGTCTAAATGCTCCTGCCAGCTGAGTTCTGACTTGTACTGCTGTAGCAGAGCATCCCTGAGTTCCAATGCAAAGTCCCACAATCACTGTGCTGTCCCTTCCCCAAGCACACAGATTCTTTCTCTGTGCCAAGCACCTGCTGATGGGGAATGTGGGAGGGGATCAGTAACTCAAGACTGTCTTTCTTACCCTCTTAAGTGCCTCTTTCAGTGACATGAAGTTAAAACCAGATATTGTGATTCCTCACCTGATTTTTGGTTCCTATGAAGGTGCTTTTTTGTGGATAGTTGTTCAATTTGCTGTTCCTGCAGGGAGGATGATCAGTAGAGGCTTCTAGTTGGCCATCTTGCTCTCAGTTTTCTCTAAGTTGTTCATCTTTACAGCACTTTGACAGAAATTAACTCTTTTTCTGAGTGCAAAAGGTCAGTCACACAACCAATCAACAGAGAGGTCAAGTGATACTCCCATGAAATAGCTGGTTAAGAAACAGGTCTTTTAAAAGCTGATCTTATAAAATAAATAAATAAATAAATAAGCAAACAATACCCCCCCCAAAAATAACACTCTTGCTTGGAATTACAGATGCTAGTAAAGGAATAATTTTTGTTAACTAGCAGAGGTATTTACTTAAATCATTTCATTGTTATTAAAATTCTTTCTATAAAGTAAGTGGTTAGAGAGCTGCATTGTAACTAAAATAAACATTCCTGACTGGGGAGAATATCAGGAGATAAAACCATATTTACTATCTTCAAATGGAATGAATTTGAACAAAGAAAATACTGAATAGGAAGGAAAAAAACCCAGTAAAAGTGTTTTCTTCTATTTGGGATTCCTGAGAGACTATGTGCTCTAGAGATCAAAAGAACACAGTTACTACCAAAGATAGTCGTTGGCATATTTAGAGCAATACATAGTTTTTAAGGAGTTGCTTGCTACCTCCATTTAACAAAAAATAAAAAGCAGACCTATCATAAAACAAGACCCTAGAGTTGCCTACAGTTGGCCCCAACCCAGGCCTTCTGATTCCAGGTCTACAGCACTTTGCTCTACAACCCAGACCCTAATGTAAAATAAAATAAATTTTTTTTAAAAAAAAGAAGCCAACACTCATTCATTCAGTAGATTTTTCAGCAAATATTTAGGCTGTTCCTATGATATACCCTGTTTAGGTTGAGCAACATATGAGAAACATTTTATAGGGGGTCCCAACATGAAGGCCAGATTTATTATCAATCCATAATGATTACTTGCTGGCAAGGTCATTGGCTCAAAAAGATATAGAGTAAATTAGAAACAAAAAATTCTGTGTAGTAATTAATAATAAGCAAAATTAAAATTTAGAAAAATTACCTTTTTGCCTCTTTTCTTTAAATCTTGATATCTGTTGAATCTTTGTATTTGTTTATATCTTATGTTAAGTAGTTCAACCATTCATGTATGTATGACTTACATTATATAACATATATTATATGCATACATTCTATATATCTGCATGTATAAATAAATCATACTGGGAAATTTTATTTGGAGTCAAAATTGAATTTAAAATTTCAAGATATCACTAAGCAGTCCATGGGATTCATGCAAATATAAGTCACCAAATGCTTGGGGAAGACAAATTTCTGGAATAATGGAAGAAATTAGATTCTAGTAGTGTATTCCAAAGCCTTGAGGCTCTCTGAAGGACCTCAGAGTTTGCTGATGGGTGTTGGGAGAGGGTGGAAGGCTGGAATTGATGTTCAACATGAGTTTTCTGAGTATCCCCATGGGATTCATGCAAATATAAGTCACCAAATGCTTGGGGAAAATAAACTCCTGGAATAATGGAAGAATTTTGATTCTAGTAGTGTATTCCAGAGCCTTGAGGCTCTCTGAAGGACCTTAGAGTTTGCTGATGGGTGTTGGGAGAGGGTAGAAGACTGGAATTGATTTTCAACATGAGTTTTCTGAGTATCATCTGCTGCAGAATAATATTTTATTTGACAAAAGGGTCACTACTTATTAGAAAACTTGAAGACAAAAAAAGTTTTAGGGGGTTTCCTAAGAAATAAAATCCAATTTGAGCGTCAAAAACATCACCATCCCAAACTAACAAGCATTTCCCTGATTTGTGTAATAAATAATCATCCTGAGTGTTTAAGGCCCAAGGCAAGTTTTATTTTAGGAGTCATTTGAATCTCTTCTCTTAGTTTCCTGCCTATTCTTTCAGACATAGAATATTTCACAAATGTGCCCTTAATTGTCACATGGGCCCCACAAAAAAAAAAAAGTTATTATCGTTCTGTAAGCTATTATAAGCCTGTTCTCCAGTCACAAAGATTTAAGCAATGAGATGCCTCCTAAATCCACACTGTCAGCATTCTCATGCCTCCCAGTGCAGTGATCCTCTGCTTCCACAAGGATTTGGGGAAAACAGTTGATTCCAGTCTCTGCTCACTTTTACCTTCCCTCTATTACTACTTCAGGCTTTCTGTTGGGTAGTATGTTACATTATTTTGTCTAAATAGCCTCAGGAAAACCATAATTAGATCTGTAAGTTATGTCTTCAACATTCTTCATCACCCCTTTGAAATTTCCTCATTTCTGCCTTCCAGTTGGGAAATTCCAATTGCCCATTATGCATACTTCAGATCTTGGGCCTTCTCTTCTAGAAAATTGCCTCTGGCTCCCCAAGCCCTATTAGGTTACTCCCCGCCTCAAAAATGTTCTGCTCTCTCTGGACTATGTCCTACACCATCCATCACCCCCTCTGTCTTCTAGGGATTGCAACTGTTACTTGCTTATTTATTTATGTTATAGATATTAACTATTTGTCTAAAGAGGGCCTAACTAGGGAAATAAACTAAAATAATAAGCAAAATGGACATGATCTCTGTCCTCGAGGAGATGTGAATACAGTGGGAGAAACTTCCAATTAAAATGACCGAGGCAATGTGATGGTTTTTGATAGGGTAAAACAAAGGTGCTGTAGGTTCATATAGCAGAGGCTCTTAAACCTGACTATGGGTATCAAAGAAGGCTTACCCAGGGAAAGAAAAAGAAATAGTAAAGAAAAGTAGAGAATTGCAGTGGGGAAGACAAAGAGTATTTCGGGAAGAAGGAAAAGTATTGTGAAAATCTGGGAGAGGATAAAACATTGTACTTGAAGGACTAGTAGATGTACATTGTGTTTAAAGCTTAAATAATGAAGAGGACAGTGATCAGATATGAGGTAGCAGTCACATCTAGTAGAAGTTTGTGAACTACTTTAAGAGTTTGAACATTGTCTGTACAACAAAAGAAGCTACTAAAATATTTTTTTTAAAGGGAGAGAAATAATGATTTGGAGTTTTTAAAAGATTATTATGGCTGCAGTGTGGAAAGAAAAAGA
This sequence comes from Homo sapiens, assembly GCF_000001405.40. Taxonomy (NCBI): domain Eukaryota; kingdom Metazoa; phylum Chordata; class Mammalia; order Primates; family Hominidae; genus Homo; species Homo sapiens. Next base: position 117,234,787 of record NC_000003.12, on the reverse strand, counting down.
CTGGGGGTGATTCTGAAATACATGCACACATCCATTCTTTTTAGCACCAAAATATATTGGCTTTGAGACACAAGTTCTTAAAGTCTCTTTAATCTGTAGTAATTTGCATGTCTTGTTAGAAATAGATCAAAAATAGAGAAAGGGACTTGGTTTGTTTAAGTAATGGAGCTTTTCTGCTCCTCCCCTTTCCTTCCACTCTTCTAAAACCCTTATTACTCAAAACGTAGTCCATGGACCAGAACAATCAGTATCTCCTGGGAGATGTTTAGACATGTGAATAGCTGTTCCCACTCCAGACCTATTAAATCCCACTCTGCATTTTAACAAGTTCCCCAGTTGATTTGTATGCACATTAGAATTTGAGAAGTCTGTTCTAGAAATCTACTATAGGTTGCCTCAACCCTTAATTCTACCTTTATGTCTTAGAGACTAATGTAGGATTCTTAGTGAGATTACACATAAGCACATGTGTACACATTAAAGTAGCTTTTAAGTTTATATCTGCAAATACAATTAGTAATGCCCCAAATCATATATCACAACAGTCCTGACTTCAAGGTAGATTGATTACAGATTTTGTGACTTACAGAGGCAAAGGCCTACACAAATGAAGAATTTTCCCCAGATTTTTCTCTAGCATATTGTGTACTTGTACCTTTCAGTATGTCAACTGGGTGTCAGGTCACCCTGTACTCTGAGAGCCTTGCAACAACAAGTGCAGCCTGTGAGCAGCTGCTTCCAATACATGAGATGACCTCCCTTTAATCATATTATAAAATGTTTTCTTAGACAACTAGTTTATTTTTAAAATTTTTATCAAAAAATACTCTTTCTGCACACCCACAAAGCCCAATCACTTTCTTTTGTGTATTTTGCTCACTGACAGTTTATGAGAAATGATAAATGAACAAGTGACTATCATTAATAGTTTAATTTAAAAAGGAAGTTTTGGGGTACTGTATTTTGTGAGAAGAGATTTAGCCCAATCTCCTATGTCTATAACTTCTACCCTTTAGCCTGGTCCAGGGAGAACTGATATCAGTAATGATAACCTCCAAGGTACTTACAATTCTTAATCACCAAAAAATATCTAAGAATGGTAAGAGTGACACAATTATGTGGGATAGTGGAAATAAATATTGACCTAAAGGTGATGAAATCTGGATTCTGATCTTGACTAAAACACTAATTAGCTGTGACTTCACACACATGGTTCCTTACTGGGCCTCAACGTCCTAATCTATGAGGGGAAGCCATAGACCAGACAATCTCTGAATATATTAAGATTCCACAGGCATTTCATTTATCCGAAAATTGGTGATCCACATGTGCTGCATAATGATGGAAACACTTGGGAAAGCATAATGTCCAATTACCCGGTGCACTGCCATTTCCCAGGCATCCTGAATTAGTGGCAATGTACACTCTTGCATGCAAGCCGCCTCTCTCAATCACCCTCCTCTAAGTGGCAACTTTTGCCAAGTCTAACCAGCTCTTCCTTTGACTTGTTGCTGTTTTATTTTTTTCCTCCAAGCTAACTAAAAGATTATACCTTTCCTGAAACTTATGCCAGATGCTTTCGTCCCTGTCTTAAAAATCAGGATGAAAATGTGTCTTGGAGTCAAAGTCATTGAGTCTAGCAGCAACATTTCCACAATACCATCCTTACACAAACGCTTGCTAATGTCTTTCTCGTTTGAAAATAGTGCTGAAAATGAAGCAAACTCAAAATGTTTCAGCTCACTTGTCCTCCTCTCAAGGATTCTGCAGAAGCTCTTACTTCTTTTTGAAGGTGTATTCTTCCTGCTTCCTCCCCAGGGACTGCACACATGAGGTGCCAAAGACCCCTTTAGACTTTCCTTCCCTGTCATTGCATTTCTTAAATATTTCTTTTTGTTTACAATAATCTCACTTTAAAAAGCACTATTAAGATATAGCTAAATATTTTGTTTACAATAATCTCACTTTAAATAGCAATATTAAGATATAGCTAAAGCCAAATTTGTTACAGATTTGAAGTCAAGTAATTTAACATAGCATTTAACCAGGAGGAACTCACTTTGACTGCTTTTTTACCCAATCTGGAAACAACTATGGATTTTCTCTTCAGGTCCAGTGATCTTCCCCTGGCCTCCTAACAATAGCAATAAGCACAATGACATTTATCATCAGTGAGAACTCACCTTATAGTAGGGACTTTACATAAATCATGGCATTTTATCTTAATAATTAGCAAGAGAGTATTTTTATCCCCATATTATGAGTAAGGAAACTGAGACTAGAAAAAGTGTACTGTTTGCCTAGGGTTGCTCAGCTGGTAAGTGGAAGAGCAGAGATTTGAATCTGGGTTATTCTTACTTCAAGTCTCTAGTTCTACACTGTCAAATGTTGCTGCTTCTCTCCTAACATAGGTTATGTTATTGGGGCTCCAAGTCTAATGATGATTTAGTTGGTCATCCATATAAAATAAGATTCACCACGAAGGAGACTTAGTGTTTATGGTTAATCCGATGCCTCATTTTCCTTTTGGAATTTCTCTCTTAATCTAATCCCAAGCCCTCTGCCTATCTGTGGGCTTTAGGAGTTGAGTATGTTTTATCACTCCACCCATCTTCTAGAGCAGTGTTTCCCAAACTTTGATGTACTTAAGAATCTTCTGGGAAAATTGAGATGGAGTAGCCTAAGCCTAAGGTAGGGCTCAGTAATCTGCATTTTAAAGCACCCCTTATGCACACCCCTATGGAGAAACATGAAAAACATAAGAATATTGTGTTAGGCTGTTCTTGCATTGCTATAAAGAAATAACGGAGATTGGTTAATGTATTTCGAGAAGAGGTTTAATTGACTCATGGTTCTGCAGGCTTTAAGGGAAGCATGGTGCTGGCATCTACTCAGCTTCCGGGAAAGCCTCAGGAAGTTTACAATCATGGTGGAAGGTGAAGAGGGAGCCAGCGTATGACATGGCAAGAGCTGAAGCACAGGGAGGGGAAGAGGTGCCACACACTTTTAAACAACCAAATCTCGCATGAATTCACTCATCACCAAGAGCATGGTGCTAAGCCATGCATGAGAGATATGCTTCAATGTTCAGTCACCTCCCTCCAGGCCCCCACATCCAACATTGGGGATTATAATTCAACATAAGATTTAGAGGGGACAACATCCAAACTACATCAAATAGTCTGTTTAGTGTCTCTATTGTAAGTAAAGGATAGAATAATCCCAGGCCTAGAAAATGGTGAAGGATGAGTCCTAACACCTATTTCTTACTAAAGTGTTCCACTAAGGAGAATATTTTATGATAAGGATATTAATTAATGTTACTGACGAGATCCGTGCTTTTTCATTCTGTCTTTCATTCTGGACTCTTTTAGTTATCTCCTGTGATCCTGCACCGTCTTTATTTTCCCCACAGACTTTCCTGAATGTAATGAAAATATTTTCTTTTTTGGTCTCAGAGAGTTTCTCCAGATTTCATTACATTATCCTGCCAGAAAAGTAAAAAAAAAAAAAAAAAAATTGTTTCCCCATTCTAAAGATTTCCTTAATAGCTCTAAATTCTGTCTTTACCACTTGTTAACTGTGTGACTTGGGCAAATTACTTATCCACTATTAGTCTTGGTTTCCTTATATGTACAGCGGGATGGTAGATAGTAGTGATTACGTCATAGAACTGATTAACTAGTCAATGACCCTATGTAGCACATTTCCATCATAGTACAACTAAAAGGCTCCATCTAAAGTTTTGCAGTGTATTACCTGTACAGATGTATGAAGAGGCCTTCAAATGAACAAATGTTATTAAAGAGGTTAGCACAATTCTTGGTACTGCCATCCCAAAATTGTACCTATTATCTAATATTTATCCTTACCTTTGACTAATTCTTCTGATTTTCTCTTATATTCTTGAAATACATTTACTAGGCACTTGCTGGCTAAACTTGCCTTCTTCACTATGGGTCAAAAATAACTGGACTCATTTGGAGAGTGGCCTTAATCCTACCTCAATTGTGGATTTGCTTACACCCATTCTCTTTCTCTCAACCCAGTCTGCTTGTAACCAATGCTGTGCCTTTGTAAGATGGCTGGCTGAGGTTAAGGGTGCAGTCCATAGCCAGAAAACCATTTTCTCCCTCTTTGAATACCAGTTGGCCTACCCAGAGAGTGAACCAACTACCTTGACCTCATAAGCACTACACTGCAAGCAGCTGAGCATTTTGTTTTAATTATTATTATTATTTATATTTATTTTACTTTATTTTATTTTATTTTTGAGACAGAGTCTCGTACTGTCGCCCAGGCTGAAATGCAGTGGCGCGATCTCAGCTCATTGCAAGCTCCACCTCCCGAGTTCACGCCATTCTCCTGCCTCAGCCTCCCGAGTAGCTGGGACTACAGGCGCCCGCCACCATGTCTGGCTAATTTTTCGTATTTTTAGTGGAGACGGGGTTTCACCATCTTAGCCAGGATGGTCTCCATCTCCTGACCTTGTGATCCGCCCGCCTCAGTCTCCCAAAGTGCTGGGATGATAGGCGTGAGACACCGCACCCAGCCTTGTTTTAATTATTTTAATAATGTGATGATGATTATAAATATACAGCCAGAGCAATACTGAATTTAGAAATTTCATTATTCCTATTAATGATGCATATCAGAGGAAGTATGTACATGAGAGGGTAAATTAGAGTACTCACATGGAAATCATAGGTCTGGCAAATAGGTTTAAGAAGGAATATGTGGTTTATGAGTGTGTGTGCATGAGATGGGGTAAGGAAAAGAGAAGTGGGGAGCGGTGGAGAGAAAAAGAAAGAGGATTAACTATATTTCCTTTAGGCAAAAAAGTAAGAGGTACTGAAACAGAAATAATTACAGGTGTGATAAGACAATGGGATAAACCATACATTTACTTCCTTACTATTTTGCATTTTTATATCCTTGAAATACTACTAAAGCAAACAACTTGGCAGAAAAGAAGGAATGTTATCTGGTATTGGACTGACTTTGTTTTTTATCCTTTTGTACAAAAAAAGTTTAACAGAAAATTCTGTGTGCGTGAGTGTGTGTGTGTATTCAGCTTCTCTTTTGAAACACAGATCATAGGACTGGGAAAATTAAACAAACTGGACAAGATTTCTGACTACATGAAGCTTACATTCTAATGGAAAGGTTTAGACAAAAGAAAAATAGCTATATCATTGAGTGAATGAATAATGAAAAATCATGTACCAAGAAAATTTTTGACACAAATTGAAAATGTAAATGTTTAGAAAGTGGTGGGAGTGAGGGAAGAGGTGGGTTATTATTATTTAAATAGAGACTAACTTTTCCCAGGATATCATAATTCAGGAAATTACCTCCAGCTTTGGGGCACCTCATAGGGCTGTCTCTGGACTGTGGGAAAAAGTTTCTGCTATCAGGTATTTAAAAGAGGTTTGGGCTGGGCACGGTGGCTCACGCCTGTAATCCCAGGACTCTGGGAGGCCGAGGAGGGTGGATCACCTGAAGTCAGGAGTTTGAGACCAGCCTGGCCAACATGGCGAAACCCTGTCTCTACTAAAAATAACTTAAAAAAAAAATTAGCTGGGCATGGTGGCAGGTGCCTGTAATCCCAGCTACTTGGGAGACTGAGGCAGGAGAATCACTTGAACCCGGGAGGTGGAGGTTGTAGTGGGCTGAGATCACGCCATTGCACTCCAGCCTGGGCCACAAGAGTGAAATTCTCTCACAAAAAAGAAAAAAAAAAAAGAGGTTTGAGGCTCAAAACACAGAGCAATACACTATAAAGCCACCTACTCATCGACAGCCTTCCAGTACACCAGACAATCTTTGATTATCCTTTCCACATCTTCTGTCTGGCTAGGAATCTTGTGATCTGTCTGGCCAGGGCAGGCTCAGATGGTCCTGTTAGTGCAGTTTACAAATGGCAGTGAACAAAGCACACCACTCCAGAGAGGGCTCACTTCCAGGGATAATTCTGTCCATCTTCAGCTCACTCCAACTCCCTCCTCATTAGAATGGGCTTTGTCTGTATGACTTTAAGACTTTACAGTTGCAAGTTCAAGATTCATCACAAACCTTGACCTTTTAGTGCCTCAGTCCCCTCAGCTCCAGTGACCTTCAGTCCTTCTCCATTTCAGTCGCCTAGCAACACAGCCACACTTAAAGACCTGCCTCAGACTCATCCCACTTCAGGGCTCACAATCACTTTAACTTCACTTTCTCACTCCTATTCAATCTGCTCTGATTTTTTCCCATAACCTCTACTCCCCTGACAATTTTCCCATTCTCACAGTCCATGAGCTTCCTTCTGTCCTCATTTGTTTGGCTACCCAATTGTGGACCCTACTGTCAGGCACTTCAGTTCTTCATATGTTTGTATTTCCATGTTTTCCAATGCTTCTATCTCTGGAATCTTATACTTTCCCATTTTCTGTTATGATTGAGAACTGCAGAGTGGTGTTCACTAAAGATTTTTTGTTTGTTTTGTCACTGGGTTTGCTAAAATTCATGTTACCTAACTTTGGGTAAAAATCTTTGTAATTCATTTTATATCATTCCAAGCTATTGAAAATATTTTACATATTTAGTAAATGTTTAATAAACACTTGGTGAAGTCCACAGCTATTTTAGGTGCTCAGGTTACTTGACCATTACTGAACAATCATGTTATCCCTGTCCACAGTGGTTGATCCAAAGGCTCTAAAACCCCAAAAATAAAGTGGAAGAGGGAAAAAAGAGAGAAAGGAGAGAGAGAGTGAGAGAGAGAGAGAGAGACAGAAAGACAGAGACAGAGATAGAGAGAAGTAATTATATCAAATGAGCCCCTGAATTGAGCTGTGCCTGAAGATATATTCACAGCCTTTTCAGTTACATGAACCAATAAATTTATTTTCTGTTTAAGTGACTTTGCGTTTCGATTCTGTCGTTTGCAACTGAAAGAGTCCTGAATAAAATAATATAGTTATTTGCATATATATATTATCCTCCCCTATGCAATCATAAGCGGCTTGAGAGAAAAGACTATATTATGCATTTTCTGTCTTCCAGAATGCTTTGCACGTTGTGAGTGTCCAATAAATATTTATTGAAGGAATAAATCGGTTTTTAAAAGACCTTAAATTTGGATTAATGCCGTCTTTAGACTTCTCTAGGGTGATCTGGATAATGAAGAGAGCTACACCTGGCAGAAGTCTTAAAAATTTCCTCCAAATGGGAATGCCGAGCCCTCATCCAACCTTCCACGTTTCCACCATCGTCACTTTATCTGCATCCCCTTTCAGCTCTTAGAGAGAGACTAAGTGTACCTGGATGGATGTGTTCTTATTGTCAGCAATCAAAATCCCAGGCTCTGAATGTAATGTAACTGAGAGGCAAGAAAAATGCTGGCACTTCTGGATTTTAGTCTTTCTTGATCTACTTACAAGCCTCTTTTTGTAGGGATGGCAATGCTACTCCCCATCTACAGGCATATCCTAATAAATGAGGACAAGAGCAAGACAATGGAGGATTATGATTTTCAGGTTTTGTTTCTCTATCTCTGTCTCTCTCTGTCTCTGACACACACACACACACACGCACACACACACACACACCTCAAAGATGAAGGACTAAGGATTAAACAGAAATCCAACCAATGCCCAGGGCACCCATCTGTAAGGAAAGCTCACTCTGACTCACAGTTTCAGCTCTCTGTTTCTATACCCATGAAGATAAGTACACACAGAGACAAATCTTTTCATTTATGAAAGGTCCCCTGTGCATGTCTGGTGTCAACGAAGTCAAAAGGACAAAGAACTCTTCCCTGAAGCAGACAGAATGTGGGTAGAGGTAAACAGAATGATATATTTAAACATTTGGCAGGAAGAAAATCTCAAGACAGTCAAAACAGCATCCTTATTAATTGCCAATTTTAGAGGCACTGTAGCATACAACCACTTTCTCCTGTCTTATTACTTGTTGAAAATACAAGAGGATTTGGGGCAGGGAAAACAAAAAATCTATTTTTCTCTGGGTGTGCATATGTGTTTTAATTATCCCTCTTGAGATGCATCTTTGCATGGTTGTGCCTTCAATCTGTTGCTTGCAGTTTTGTTTTTGACAGCAGAGCTTATATTATCAGTAGTTGCCAGTTTTCTTTCATGTTTTGTATTTTGAGGGGGTGGGGGCAATTAGGATGGCCACCAAACCGTACTGTTTACTATTTAGAAGAGGCTAACTGCTTATCATTTAAAGAAACCTAAAGTACACGGGCTCTTCCTACACCCTGCTTCCTGGGGTCAAGAGCTCATGCTGCTGAGGCAGGAATAGATTGCTGGGCTTCTATTTGAAGACTACTTGTTGGTTTGATATTCATAGATTCCTTCTTTGAAAAAATAACCAGGTTACTGCCAAGACAACTAAAACAATAACAGTAACTAAGTCAGTGAAGTAGTGGAGTGCACACTAACAAGCAGTCAACTTCTTACATTACAAATATAAATAGCAATCCTCTCTCTAATAGCAAATGCTAAATATTCAACATTCTGCCTGTGGAGATGGAGATCTTTTTAAGATAAGGATGCACAGAATTTCCCACAAACTCTTGCCGTGTTAAGAATGCAAATCATCCTTGATTCAAAACAGGGAATGTTCTTAGAAAAGCAGAGCTTTCGTTCTAACAGATTTCCTCAGTAAGATGGTAGAAGCAGAAAACAGAGTTTGTGAAATAATGTGTATTATTAAATGAAAATATGAAAATCTTACTCAAACATAGACTGCCTCACAGTTGATGACACAAATGCATTTGGTATGCAAGACACATGAGTTTACAATGTCAAAAAACTGCAAAGATGCAGGGAAGAAAGTAAACTCATGCAGCAGTAGAAGTTAGGATGTAGAGATACTAGCTCATAATATTAAAATTTTAAATATGCACATGTCATTTTGGTTTTGCCTGTTTCCTGATTATAAAATAATACAAGAAATACTCCAGAGCAAAGCAGCTAGAAAACAGCCTTTCAGCTGAACATCCTTAGCTTAACTCAGTTAATGTGCTAGAAGATTTCCTTTTAGTCTTTTTCTGTGCACTTTTATATTGGTAAATGCATCACTACTTTAGACATGGTGTAAACTTTGGATCTGTAGTGACATGACTCACATTATGACCACCTCCTTCTTAAAGTCTTAACTTTGAGTCCTGCTCAACAGGAGCCCAATACTAGGTCCTCTCATTATCTGTCCCATTCTTTATCTCTAAGTCAAAATTGAGGAAATAATATGTGAATAATAACAGAGCCCCACCATATCAAGGCAAGGGGGACAAACATTTTCAGGGTAATGAACACAGCACCTTCTGACTCCTGCCCAGTGATTCTAGTAGTCACTTGAGTCCAACCAGAGGTGGTTAAGGTGCCCATTCTTTCCTAGATGAAGGCAAAGAATAGCAGGGAATGTCTGCGCTGTCTTCAGTGTTTATGCTGTATGGTGCCACTTCTCATCAAGTGAAGTGTTCAAGCCTTCCCTTTCGTCTTCTTCCAGTCGTGGTATCGTTTAGAGACTTTCTCTTCAGCACCTTTATATACCTATATCAGTCCTCTCAGGCTGCCATAACATGGTAGTATAGACTGGGTGGCTTAAACAAAGGGAATTTGTTTTTTCACAGTTCTGGAGGCTTGACGTCCCCGATCGAGGTGCAGAATGACTTGGTTTCTGGTGAGGACTCCCTTCCTTGATTGTAAACATCTACTTTCTCACAATATTCCAACAAGGCCTTTTTTTAATTGTGTGTGTGTATGTGGAAGGAGGGGGAAGGCGAGCTCTCTGGTGTCTCTTTTTACATAGGTCAGAGCCCCACCCTTTTGTCCTAATTTAACCTTAATTACTTCCTTAGAGGTCCCGTCTCAAATAAAGTGGTTTAAGAAAATGGATTTTGGAGTTGGTGAACACTTTGGGTAAGAGGGCAGGGAAAATAAAGTAAGAGCACAAATGTGGAGTTAATTCCATATTTGACGAAGGATGACTTGCCAATGACCAAGGAGATAAGGGGCAATACATTGCCGAAAGTTTACTTGCGCACTGTATGCTGTGAACTGAGTATGAATGGGATGGATAATTGACACAGTAAGCAAAGACAGCGTTAAGGTTTTAAAAATCAGCTTTCAGTGATCTAGACCTATCCCAACTATGGTCTGTGGCTCAGGTGTAGGTTAGAGGATGCAAATATTACCTGGGATATGTTTAATGATTAGACAGTAGAGACCACCTATTGGAAAAATCACTCTGGATTTTCACAATGAAAATTTTGTCTTGATGAAGTTCAAGGCATTTGCTAGAGAGGTAATGGAAGGACCAATTAAACATAAAAGGTGATATGAACAAAGGACAAGTTTATGATGATTAAAACTGCGTTTTCTCAGAAAGACAGTGTGATATAAGGCTGAGTAATTTAAACTTGCTGGATGGAGACTGTCAGGTGGAATTATGGGTACAGACTTGGAAAAGATTAGGAGCACAGGGGCCATTCTCAACACCCCGTGGTCACATCTCACCTGCAATCTCCTCTTCCACTCAGACTTACAGCTGTTGCTGACTGGACCACTTGAAAATATCGACAAGCATGGGCCATGCATATATTGCTGGTTTGAAGAACTTTTTAGACAAAATAAAACATTCTCAGATAAAGAGAACAATAGATATTTCTCTGTTGGATGCATAAGTAAGTGTCTTTCTCATAGGCAAATCAGGATCTCAGTGTCACCAAACAGGTGTGATATTGAAAACTTTCCTACTTAAAATATGTAAGTACTCTCCCTTACCTAGGCTAGTAACTACACGTGTTCATCAGGAAGAAACTGAAAATTTTGAATTGAAGCAATGATTATAGACATAATTGGAGCTTAAGGTTGACATGAGAAAACAGATCAAAAGGGAGTTCTATAATACAGAAGAATCAATAGAAAGATATTCTTGTCTAGAAATACACTGAACATATTTGAAAGTTGCAAAAGTAAGAAAAAATAAATTATAGAAATGGGCAGATAGGAGGGATGCTGATTGCTGATTGCCTTCTCTGCAATACTAAGGGCCAATGGCCAATGACACAATGTCTGCAATATATCTAGCTGGGAATAACATTCTGAGATATGTTTATTAACTCTTTTTTCTCTTCCGAAGATTTTTAAAAACTTCTCAGCTATTCAATAGTGTAGAAATATAATATCTATATGTCATTTTTAAATTACTTTAAAATGTACAACAACTGATTAAGAGATGAAACAAAATTAAGAAATAGAGTAGTGCAGTACAAAATTGCTAAACTCCTAATTTTACAATAGGGTGTTTCAAGAACACTATTTAATTATTAACTTGATAATTAGAGGAATACAGATTCTTATAATGAAAGGCTGAAAACGTGCATGGGACAAATACGCATCAACTTCAGGATAGTGTTTCTCCCTGGGGAGCCTGGAGCTGGCCTTTGGCTCTATATGTAATGGTTTGTGTGTTTAAGAGAAGGATACAAAACAAGTAGAGCAAAATGTTAACATCTATTAAATCTGACTGCAATATTGGTGTCTGTTGTCAGTTATAGTACTTTCTGTAGTTTTCCATATGTTAGTAATATTTTACATTTTAAGTGATTAGTTTTGAAAGTTGTAAAGATAACCACTAAGTAGAATTAAAAACAAAATATGTACTGGTTCATCACAGAAAAAGAACATCAAGTCACATACTATGCAAGAAATTAGAGCATAGCAAAATATAGAAAATGTGAAAAAAATACTCAAAATAAGATGACAAAAATAAGACCATAGATTCATTATGTGAGTCACCGTGAATTGTTTAAACTCATATTAAATAAGTAGTGATAATGATAATAATATTAAATATTTAGTAGTTCTTAATATATGTCTGAAATTATGCTATATGCTAATGTACATAATGTAAAGGTTTTTTATCCCTTAATCTTCATGACAACTCTGAATCAAATAGTAGTATCATCTAAAATTCTCATGATTTGAGTTGATAAAAAAATCAAATAAGAGATACATCTTTTTAAGACTTTTAAGAGATACATCTTTTTAACTTCTTTTAAGAAGAGTTAAAAGATTCCTAACCCCCAAGGTGGTGATGTTAGGAGGTTAAGCCTTTGAGAGGTGATTAGATCATGAGGGGTTAGTGGCCTTTATGATGGCAGAGAGCTAACTTAGCCCATTCTACCGCATGAGGACACAGTGAAAAAGGCATCATTGATGAATCAGAAAACAAATCCTCATCAAACACTGAATCTATGGGCATCTTGATCTTGGACTTTCAGCTTCCAGCACTATGAGAAATAAATTTCTGTTGTTCATAAGCTGCCTTAGCAATGGTATTTTGTTAGCACAGCCCAAATGGAAGAAGACAAGATGAAAAAAAAATTATGCACACATTAAACGTTTTCAGATATTTCTAGATCAAGGAGACAAAAAGAAAATAGTGACAGAAAAATATTGTTTAAGCTAAAATGTATGGGTTGGTTTTTTGAGTATTGAGAAATCTTTGAGCTCTATACAAATTATTATTTGCATGTGTGTGTGACTGTGAACTTTTCTGGGAACATGGTACTTCCATCAGATCCTCAGAAAAGGTCTGTAACTCCCCCTAGAATGTATATAAAGTACACACACACACACACACACACACACACACACACACACACACGTTTATGCCCATTATTATTTTTTTAAATCCATGAAATACTTACCAAAAAGAATTGCATAAAAAGTGCCAAGAAAAAATACCTTGAGTCATTCTTGAGATGATTCTTTAATATTTGGCTGTCTGACTAGGTTTCAAATTCCCTGATAATGGAATTTGACCATTCAGCACTATACACGATATGTAGATGAGACTCAACAAGTATCAATTGAATAAATCAATTAACTAATCTATGGAGAAGCTAGTATTTTGTCAGAGAGTTATCTATCTAAATAACTCTAGATCCAGACAGTTTTACAGGTGAATTCTAGCAAATTTTAAACTTATCCATAGTGTAGAAAATCAACAACAACAAATGAAACTTCCTTACTTAAAAGGTATTAAATCTCATAAACTAAAGTTTGAGCAACATAACTATAAAAATATTACATGCTAAAATCACATATGTACCCACACATAATACACATACATATATAATAGACAAAAATCAGATGTTATTAAATAGCTTCAACAATGTATGAAAAATACACCATAACAATATAACAAGTAAGATTTAATTCAGAAAAAATGTTTTAAAAACAAATATGAGGACAAATGTTTAATTCGGTAATATCAACACATCAAATGAAAAAATACGACATCTTGATAGAAAACCATAAATGTAATTTGATTAAAATTTTACATGTAAAATGCTAAAAAATGTTTTAGTGTGTTAGCAAAAGAAAGATGTTCTTTTAACCTGATAAAAAGTAAGCGTCTGAAGCTGGGCGCGGTGGCTTATGCCTGTAATCCCAACACTTTTGGAGGCCGAGGCGGGCGGATCACAAGGTCAGGAGATCGAGACCGTCCTGGCTAACAGGGTGAAACCCCGTCTCTACTAAAAAATACAAAAAATTAGCTGGGCATGGTGCCGGGCACCTGTAGTCCCAGCTACTAGGGAAGCTGAGGCAGGAGAATGGCGTGAACCTGGGAGGCGGAGCTTGCAGTGAGCTGAGATCGTGCCACTGCACTCCAGCCTGGGCGACAGAGCAAGACTCCATCTCAAAAAATAATAATAATAATAATAGTAATACTAAGCATCTGAAAAGATCAGTCTATTTAGCTTCTTTCGTATTTAATAGAGAAACACTCGAAGTATAGCCATTAAGAGCAAGGCAAGTATTCTATTATTTGCATCTATTGAAAGTAAGAGCCATTTGATGTTGACATGTATATGTAACAGGAGAATTGAAACAAGACAAATATAATAGGATATAGTTAGAAATAAAAATATTTTTAAAAAGAAAACTATAGGACTCAGCAAAATTAAAATTTAATTTTGTATACTACTTCTGCAGTAAGCATATAACAATGTACCTTTAGGTACTAAATAGCAAAAGCCCCAAGAAGGAAAGTCAATAAGCACCAGGTATAAAAATGAATATACAAAAATTAATAGATTTCCTATAATCCTATTAAAGATTATAAGAGAGAAAGAAATTCAATTAAGAAAAATAAAAATATAAACTATCTATATTAAGAACTGTTTGAGACATGACAAAAAGGAAAATGAATAGAACTTTAGGATATAAATTTCTTCCCATATTATTTTATAGGCTTAGTATAATTTCAGTTAAATGAGTAATTACAGTTGAGTGTGATACTCTTTAAACTTCTAATTCTCTGTGAGAAATGTAGTGTAATAAAAAAATCAGAAGTTTAATAGAATATTTCAGAAAGGGTGATCTTCGATTAATTTTTTAAAAAGGTTGTAAACAACCAAATTGCTCACAGTATCAGTATAGTTGGATAAGCTGTGGCACAGACAGCAAAATATAATACAGAGTCATGCTTAGGAAGAGCAGGAAAAAAGCAAGAAAATGCTCAAGATATAATAGCGATGTAAATCAAAAGCAGTTATTAAACCTTACATATGGTAGTATTCTACAATTTTTAAAAACATATTGATTTTTACATATTTACATAACTATAGAAAAAATAAGCAGAGGGAGATTCCACACTAGATAGGAGATGTATATTTAAGAGACTAAAATAATAGATTAATTTTATTTTCTGTATATATCCACAGTTTCCTTTTTTTGTATACAGTACAAATACATTTTACCGTTGTAAAAAAAATGGATTTGTGTATTATAGTTATTTATTTGATAACTTTATGTTTGTACTAGGCTTAAAAATAAACCTATAATATATTTTTATAGATTTTAGGAACCAAAGCTGAAAATTCAAAATTTTGAGGAGTCACTTATAAGAGGGTGAACTTGACATGGTCTTTTTATAAACAAAGAATAAGAATCAGAAATAAAAATGAATACTAACTCCAACAAAGGAAAAGAACAGTGTCATTTAAAAAAAAACAGAAATTTAGAAGCATAATTATCTCTGTAAGACTTCAAAATGCTGATATTATACATTAAAGCATTTTAGAAATGTTTATACCAATATTTGCCAGGCTTATAAACCGATTTAGCATTGTCTCACACTCAGATTGCATAAAAAATAAGTTTTGTATCTTTGAAATATAAAAACTAGGATGAGTAATAGATTGAAAGTTTTATGCTTATGAGCATAAACTGTGATTGTTTACTGTGCCTTAACAATGATGAAATCACTGAAGGCTTCATAGCAAGACACAAAACCCTAGGGAAGCTATTAAGAATTCAGTTTTAACAGTTCATGGAGGAAAATGGATTCCACTTACTAAAATGATTTTAAAATGTTTTCTATAAAATGCAAATATCGCAGCACTGTGAAGTTGGACATTTTAGATAGGTTTTATTTGCATCTTTGTTCTTACACAGTGTGATGCATTATTTTCAGTGGAATCAGAAGATTACAATATGTAGTTAATAGTGGGAATGTAATAAACTTCATATAAGTACAGAAGAAAAGATATTCTTTAGGGTGAAAAGGTGTGGTTCCTGAAAACCACTTCCAGATATCCTAGACTTCTCTAATAGCATCCCAGCCCTAAAAGTATGCAATAGATGGTACTTCGATCCAAACTGGAACACCTCCAACACTTCACCCACACCCATATCTTCGATACCTCATTTTATCCAAACATTTCAATGCCTCTGGGTAAACAGTAGAAATTCCTATAATCCTGACTGAGCTCAACTTTTGCATAATGCTCCCGAATTCTCTATTTATACCTTCAGTAAAAAGTTAAAAAAACACACACACACACACATACACACACAAAATACACACACAAGAAGGGTCAAAACTAACAACTGACAAAAGGAAAAGCAAGCACATTCCTTTGGCAATAATTAATCCATGCTTAGAAAAGACCGGCAAATGTTGCTTTGCTTCATTTGATTTTTAGTCATTTCATAATGACAGTTAAAGGAGGAGAGTGCCAGGTCCTGAAATTGCTCTTGTTTCGCTTCTGAAGAGCATTAGTTTTTTGCAAAAAGCTTGTTAGAGCATAACTAAAATGGAGAGCTTGTGTTTCTGGAATGGGAGAAAAACTGCATTTGCGATAGACTAGTGATTTCTGTGCTGGTGTTTTTTAATATCTTTCCAATTGTATCAATTCCTCTTAAAGCTAAATAGATGTCTTTCTTAAAAATATCATCCTATTTTTGGTTTTGAATTTTGTTCATTATACAGAATTTCCTAGTTCTTACTTAGAGTAAACATAAATGTTGAATACACTGAAAAATCTCTATTGGACAGAGATTTACTGAGGGTTCAGAAAAAGGAAATAAACAAGAAATCAGGAATAGTTTTGTTTTCTCTCTGTTGATGCCTTTCTCAGTTTGTCTGTATGTCTGTCCCTGTCTCTTTGGGCATCTGATTATGTTATGTCTCTATCCATCTTGATTCCTGTCTCTTTTCAGCTTGGTCTCTTTTTGCCCTGCAGCCTACCCTTCCCATCATTTCTCCCACCTTCCGCCCACCATGAGAGTAGATTGGTGAATTTATACTGAATTCAAAATTCACTGCTAGAAGCACCACCATGAGCCCAGCTCAGACAGTGCATCTGCCCTGGAAGTCTCTCTCGTACTCAAGTGTGTTAGACCCACACAGACTTGCTGTAACCTGACATTCCAACTCCATAGATTCCCTCAGGTTCCTCATTTCTTGTTGCAGAGCTTAGTGTTCCAGACCATTACATTCCATAGAATGTGCCAAGGACAAGAGCATTGATTTTCAATGGTAACACACGCCAGTGCAGTCACCTCTCTGTGTCATCCTGTGTCCTGTTTTGTCTCAGGGCCAGAAGAGAAATAGAAAAAGTTTTTGACTTGACAGAGCGGAAAAAAATTAAAAAGAGACCTTTTCTTAACACCCGAGAAGGGAAAATAAATTATGTAGAATTATGTCACATCAAGAAAAACATGATTAAAATAACCTGATATAAATATTCATCCATGCTTGACAGAAGGGTGGTAGCAAGATGAGTGCTTGCAGCTTATTGTTATCAGAGATCTCTTTCGGTGAATTGCATTTTAAAAGAATTTATGATTAGGGCTGTTGGCCGAAACTGTAGGAGCTTCTTTTTCTTTTTTTTGTTTATCGTTGTCTTTAATCTTGGCATTTTGGATGCCCAGCTTCCTGCTGAAGTGAATTTCTCTCTAATCACAACAATCCCAGGTGGTTTGCCTCACTCACACCAGGACCTTTCAGGCTGACTCATTGCAGATGGGAAGAAGCACATTATCATGGCAACTTATTACCTTTTGTACAGTAGTCTCCTTGTCCACAGAATGAAAATGATACTTTACTTGTTAATAATTATTCCTCCATCTCCAGTGTTTAAACAACAACCATTCTGTCAGCCACGTTATTTTTCCCCATTCTGAGAGACATTTTCTTCCCTCATACCCTCTCCCATTCCTACCTCAACCAGCACTGTCCATTTGAACCCTGTCATGGGGAAAAATGTTCTATGTCTGCACTGTCCAATACAGTAGCCACCGTCCACATGAGGCTTCTGAGCACTTGAAACAACTGAGGAATGGAAATTTAATGTTATTACAATTTAATCAATTCAAAGTAAACAGCCACATAGGGCTAGGGGCTACGACTATATTGGACAGCACAGCTTGAGACTCTTGAAAATGTCAGCAGAGAATTCCAGTGCACAAACCTGTTCTAGAATCCAAAACTGTCAAGCAATGGGAATATGTAAGTCTATACACATACACATGCCTTTATTCTCTAAGAACACTTTCTTTTAACTTTTATAATCATTCCAAATAATTCATCATCATTTGTCATTAAATCTCAGCCTTGCTAGTCAGCTGTTACAGCTGCAGAGGACTCAAGACGATAAAATGTGACATTATTTTTAACTTCACTCTACTGTTCTTCAAATAGCTAACATACAGGTACTGGGAAGGACAATTACACTTCACATCAAAATGATGTGCATTGAACAGGAGCAATTATTTCTGATGTGAATTTTTCATGAGAATTTTCAATAAAATTTGGAGAACCACTCTTTCCATTCTTTAACCTAGTATTACCAATGTTTAAAATGAATTAATGTCAGTAAATTGCCATTGTTGTTTATATATAAATCAATCTATGCCTAATAAAGAGGATTTAGTTATTCTTAGGTTCTGTCTATATAATACTTAAAGAAGTAATTCAATTCGGTCTGATAAGTTGAATGAAATCGCTCACTTAAAGCTGATGAAGATAATAATAGCAATTATTATTATAAATTATTGAGTGTCTATTATGGCCAGGCACTATCTTAAATGCTTTACTTTATGTATATATTACTTAATTTGTTTCTCACAACAAGCCTACAATTTTCATACCCATTGTACATATAAATGAGACACAGAGAAGTTAAGTGACTTCCTCAAGGTCAGCCTAAATTGACATTCAAATGAAGGCAGTCTAACCACAGAGCCTGACCTCTTAATTACTATCTAATCCACCTCATGCATGAGGGAAGCTACAAATCAGATAACCAAAATGTTTTGTTTTCAACAGATAAACACCAGCCTCCGCGGAAAAATTCTACTTACGTTGTCAAATTAGTTGTTACTGCATTTCTGGCTTAAAACAATTATGGTTTACACTTTCACCTGGAATAGTACACTTAACCAGAGCAATGAGATGCTAAAAGTGATGATGAACAGGTTGCCAAATACATAACATCAGACAAACTAGCCTATTGATAGCAATTATACATAGTATTTGTCCAAGATTTTTAAAGTATATATTGAAATAAAATTACATTGTATTCCTACCTTTTGCTAACTTTCCTATTTTTACTACATCACATTCTTACATTTTTTGGAGCTGATATTCCATTGATTTGGGAAGTGTTTCTGAAAAGATAACATGTATCCTTCTCTGAATATTCTCTCTTTTTCTTTCTAATTGGCCCTTCTTTCCTATAACATTTCCTACAACTACATAACATTTTATATTTTCTGCTGAAAACAGCTCTCTCTTACTCCAAGGTCAGAGGTTGCCTTTTTTGAGCTTAGCTGATGAGTGCTTTTTGCACTCTAGTTCATCTCTTCTCTACCCACTCTCTATGCCACATATTCAGCGTTGGCCTTTGAAGGGAGGCTGCCTAGGAAGAACTTATTTTCAGAAAACTTAGATTTTATGTGATTACAGATAATGGAGCTAAGAGTAATTAAGAAAAGATCCCAATTCTTTGTTTTTCTAAATCGATAGGGTAATATCAAAGTTAGAAATGACCTCAAAGATCACCTGAATCTCTTATACCAGGATTTCTCAGCCCTGTTTGAATACCTTTAATGATATAGGAAACTCACTACTGTATCAGGCAGGTCACTTTGTTTTTTAACAGCTCTAATCATTACATATTTTCTTTCAAAAAAATTTTCCTTTCTCCAACTTTTCCAAGTTGAATTTAATTCTGCTCTTTAGGTCAAAAGTAAGATATCTTTTTTTTAAAATGATGGTCCATCAAGTATTTACGAGCATTTCTGATATGTTCCCTAACTCTACCCTGCTCCAGGCTAATTATGCTCTTCTTTTTTTTAATCAAGTGTTCCTCATTTTCAGAGGGTCCTTCATTTCACTTTCCTAAATGGTCCCCCCTAACTCAGTTGATCAATGTCTCATTTCCCGCCTAGAATCAAACTTATGATATAGCAACACTTGATCACCAAGGTAGACTGGGAAGATCTCTTTCTTTGTCCTGGATGCCATCTCAAATAATGAATCTTCAGATCAACTAAAGGAGCACTCGTGTGATTTAAAAACAAATCTAGTTGAGTCTCTTATCAGTTCCCTAATCATTGGAAACCTGGTGGCAGCTTGGATGTCAGAAAACTAAAAATCCCACTAATGGCAGTGTTTTGCTTGTTCTCACTAATGCTGCTAAAGCGTCTAAGCTTTTGATCATCTGTTTCTATTTAGGGGCTAAATATTTTGCTGACATGGGTTTTAGTTTTGTGCCTGGCTAAGAGTAGGGGTTCTAGAAACAGATTTGCCCAGTTCTATCACTTGCTAGCTATGTGAACAAGCATGTTACTTTAAGCTTAGTTTCTGTTTTTCCCTCTTCAAAATGGAATAATAATTGTACCTTCTTTATAAAGTTGTTAGAGTCAAATGAAATCATGTATAAAGTACTTAGTGTAGTGCTCAGCATGTAGCAAGTGTTCAATAAATGTTAGCAATTATTGTTAAGATATGAACTTACTTGACGCTCTCATAGAAGAAGCTCATGATTTAGTCATTTCTAATCATTGCACCTTTGATTACGGCCTCATCCTTTGCACAAAATGAAGTCCAAAGAATTCAGAAACTACAGCTGAGGAATTCTTCAAGGCCCCTGTTGTAGCTTATCATGGTGAGTGGCAGACTAAAAAAAAAAATAAAAATAAAAATAAAAAAACATCTTTCCCAAGACTAGTGTGGGGACTCAGACTACAATATCCTTGTCTTCAGGTCGATCTCATGGCCCATTAGCTGGTGCCTCATTTACTTACTTTCCTGGTTCTAGTATTCAGTGGGAGAAAATTGGTCATACAAGCCAAATGCCATCTACAATATTTGGGGCCCACACTTGGTGCAAGGATCTATGATTAGGGGTGACCCTAGGAAAGTAGCCCAGTATAGAATATGGCCATAACAAATAAGAGCTGTGCCAGAGGGGATTAGTGAGAAGAAGACTGATTTGTCTAGTATCATGGTTTCCTTTTCTACTTTTTGGAGCATAATTCTGAAGCTTATATTGCTTAGGTGACTTAGACAGTAATCAGTAATGTGCTAGTAAGTGTTTATCAACCAGCTCTCTGGGTTAGGCAGAGAACCCTGATTTCTAGTACAGGCATGTCTTAGAGATATTGCAGGTTCAGTTCCAGACAACTGTAACAAAGTGAATATCACAATAAAGCAAATCACAAAAAGGTTTTGGTTTCCTAGTGCATATAAAAGCTATGTTTATACTATACTATATTCTATTAAGTGTGCAACAATAGTATTATGTCTAAAAAAGTACATATCTGAATTAAAAAGTACTGATAAAATACTGCTAATGATCATTTGAGTCTTCAGTGAGTCATAATTGGCTGGTGGAGGATATTGCCTCAATTATGATGCCTGCTGATTGACCAGGGCAGTGGTTGCTGAAGGTTGCAGTGACTAGTAATTTCTTAAAATATGATAGCAATGAAGTTTGCACCATCAATTGACTCTTCCTTTCATAAAAGATTTCTCTATAGCAAGTGATCTCTTTACCAACAGTAGAATTTGTGTCAAAATTGGAGTCAGTCCTCTTAAAATCTACCACTCCTTTATCAACTAAATTTTTGTAATATTCTAAATTATTTGTTGACATTTCAATAATATTCACAGTATCTTCAGCAGGAATAGATTTCATCTCAAGAAACTACTTTCTTTGCTCATTGATAAAAAGCAACTCCTCATCCAACATAAGCTAGGTTTGTCAGAATCCAATGCTCATAATTACCTTGCTAATATTCTCCTCCTATAAGCTTTTTATTGTGTTAAAAACTCATAACATGAAATTTACCATCTTAACCATCCTTAAGTGTATGATACAATAGTGTTAACTGTATGCACGTTGTTGGGTAACAGATCATTGGAAATTTTTCACCTCGCAAAACTGGAACTCTATACACATTAAACAATTCCTCACATTCCCCTTCCCCACCATCTTCTGGTGACCACATTCTACTTTCTGTTACTCTGAGTTTGACCACTGTAGATACCTGATATAGGTGTAGTCATGCAGTATTTCTCTTTTTGTGATGAGCTTATTTCACTTAGCATAAAGTCTTCAAGTTTCATTCATGTCGTAGCATAGGATAGAAATTTCTCCTTTTATAAGGCTGAATAATATTCCTTTGTATGTGTATATATATCACATTTTCTTTATTCATTTATTGATGAACATTTAGGTTGCTTCCATCTCTTGGCTGTTTTGATTAATGCTACAATAAACAAAGGTGTGCAAATATATTTTCAATATTCTGCTTTCAGTTCTTCTGGATGTATACTAAAAAGCAACTATATGTCTGTATTTATGCAAGTACCATACTGTTTTGATTATTGCAGCTTTATAATATGTTTTGACAGCAACTGGGAGACCTCCACCTTTGTTATTCTTTCTTAGGATGTTTTTTGCTATTCAAGGAGTTATTCAGAACCTCACTTGAAATTCTGTGTGATTTTAGAATGTATTCTATTTCAGCAAAAAATACCAGAGATTTTCATATGGATTGTGCTGAATCTGTAGATCGCTTTGGGCAGTTTGAACATTTTAACAATATTAGGTCTTCTAGTCCATGAACACAGAATAATATTTTCATTTATTTCTATCTTCCTCAATTTATTTCAGCAATGTCTTATAGTTTTCAGGGAATCAGTCTTTGACCTACTTGGTTAAGTTTATTCCTAAATATTCCAGTTTTGATGCTATTGTTAATGGGATTATTTTCTTACTTTCTTTTATAGATTGTTCACCATTGGAATATAAAAACAATCATGTCTTCTGCAAACAGAAATAGTTTTATTACTTGCTTTGTAATTTCCTTTTATTTCTTTTTCTTGTGTAACTGGCCTGGCTAGGACTTTTAAGTACTATGTTGAAGAAATGGTGAGAGTGGTCATCCTTGCTTTGTTCCTGATCTTAGAGGAAAAGCTTTCAGTTTTTCACTGTGGAATACGATGTTATCTATAATATTTTCATATATTCCTTTCATCATGTTGAGTTACTTTTCTTGTATTCCTAGTTTTTTAATGTGTTTTATCGTAAAAGTATGTTGAATTTTTTTCAAATTCTTTTTTCTGTATCAACTGAGATGATCATGTAATTTTTATCCTCCATGTTCTTAATTTTATGTATTACATTGTTTGATTTTTGTATGTTAAGTTACACTACATCTCAGAGATATAGCCCACTTAGTCATGGTGTATAATCTTTTTAACATGCTGTTGAATTGTTTTGCTACTATTTTGTTGAAGTTTTTTTTATTAATATTCCTCAAGTATATTGGTCTATAGTTTTGTTTGAGTATCTTTGTCTAGTTTTGATATTGAAGTAATGCTGACCTCATAAAATAAGTTTGGAAGTGTTCCCTTCACTTCAATTTTTGGAAAAAATTGTGAAGAATTGATGTTAATCTATTCTGTGTTAAAAAAAAAAAAAGAAAAAAAGTTCGGTAGAATTCTCCAGTGAAGCCATCTGGTGCTGGGTTTTTCTTTGTTGGGAAATTTTTGATTACTGATTCAATCTTCTTACTCATTATAGATCTGTTCAGATTTTTTATTTCTTTACATTTCAGCCTTGGTAATTTGTATGTTTCTGGAAATTTCTCTATATCTTCTAGGTTATTCAATTTGTTGGCATATAATTATTCATAGGAGTCTCATAATCTTTTTATTTCTTTGGTACTAATTGTGATGTTTCCTCTGTCATTTTTTATTTTTGTTACTTGAATGTTCTCTCTTTTTTTAGTTAAAGGGTCTGTCAATTTTGTTGATCTCTCGAAAAACTAACTCTTAGTTTCATTAACTCTTCATAACTCTTTTTTTTAAATTTTATTATTATTAAAGTTTTAGGGTACATGTGCACAACGTGCAGGTTTGTTACATATGTATACATGTGCCATGTTGGTGTGCTGCACCCATCAACTCGTCTTTTAGCATTAGGTATATCTCATAATGCTATCCCTCCCCCCTCCCCCCACCCCACAACAGTCCCTGGTGTGTGATGTTCCCCTTCCTGTGTCCATGTGTTCTCCTTGTTCATTTCCCACCTATGAGTGAGAACATGCGGTGTTTGGTTTTTTTGTCCTTGCGATAGTTTGCTGAGAATGATGGTTTCCAGTTTCATCCATGTCCCTACAGAGGACATGAACTCATCATTTTTTATGGCTGCATAGTATTCTATGGTGTATATGTGCCACATTTTCTCAAGTCTATCATTGTTAGACATTTAGGTTGGTTCCAAGTCTTTGCTATTGTGAATAGTGCCGCTATAAACATACGTGTGCATGTGACTTTATAGCAGCATGATTTATAATCCTTTGGGTATATACCCAGTAATGGGATGGCTGGGTCAAATGGTATTTCTAGTTCTAGATCCCTGAGGAATCGCCACACTGATTTCCACAATGGTTGAACTAGTTTACAGTCCCACCAACAGTGTAAAAGTGTTCCTATTTCTCCACATCATCTCCAGCACCTGTTGTTTCCTGACTTTTTAATGATCACCATTCTAACTGGTGTGAGATGGTATCTCCTTGTGGTTTTGATTTGCATTTCTCTGATGGCCAGTGATGATGAGCATTTTTTCATGTGTCTTTTGGCTGCATAAATGTCTTCTTTTGAGAAGTGTCTGTTCATGTCCTTTGCCCACTTGTTGATGGGGTTGTTTGTTTGTTTCTTGTAAATTTGTTTGAGTTCATTGTAGATTCTGGATATTAGCCCTTTGTCAGATGAGTAGATTGCAAAAATTTTCTCCCATTTTGTAGGTTGCCTGTTCACTCTGATGGTAGTTTCTTTTGCTGTGCAGAAGCTCTTTAGTTTAATTAGATCCCATTTGTCAATTTTGGCTTTTGTTGCAATAGCTTTTTGTGTTTTAGACATGAAGTCCTTGCCCATGCCTATGTCCCCAGTGATATTGCCTAGGTTTTCTTCTAGGTCTTTTATGGTTTTAGGTCTAACATTTAAGTCTTTAATCCATCTTGAATTAATTTTTGTATAAGGTGTAAGGAAGGGATCCAGTTTCAGCTTTCTCCATATGGCTAGCCAGTTTTCCCAGCACCATTTATTAAATAGGGAATCCTTTCCCCATTGCTTGTTTTTCTCAGGTTTGTCAAAGATCATATAGTTGTAGATATGTGGCATTATTTCTGAGGGCTTTGTTCTGTTCCATTGGTCTATATCTCTGTTTTGGTACCAGTACCATGCTGTTTTGGTTACTGTAGCCTTGTAGAATAGTTTGAAGTCAGGTAGTGTGATGCCTCCAGCTTTGTTCTTTTGGCTTAGGATTGATTTGGTGATGTGGGCTCTTTTTTGGTTCCATATGAACTTTAAAGTAGTTTTCTCCAATTCTGTGAAGAAAGTCATTGGTAGCTTGATGGGGATAGCATTGAATCTATAAATTACCTTGGGCAGTATGACCATTTACACGATATTGATTCTTCCTACCCATGAGCATGGAATGTTCTTCCAATTATTTGTATCCTCTTTTATTTCCTTGAGCAGTGGTTTGTAGTTCTCCTTGAAGAGGTCCTTCACATCCCTTGTAAGGTGGATTCCTAGGTATTTTATTCTCTTTGAAGCAACTGTGAATGGGAGTTCACTCATGATTTGGCTCTCTGTTTGTCTGCTATTGGTGTATAAGAATGCTTGTGATTTTTGTACATTGATTTTGTATCCTGAGACTTTGCTGAAGTTGCTTATCAGCTCGAGGAGATTTTGGGCTGAGACAATGGGATTTTCTGGATATACAATCATGTCATCTGCAAACAGGGACAATTTGACTTCCTCTTTCCTAATTGAATACCCCTTATTTCCTTCTCCTGCCTGATTGCCCTGGCCAGAACTTCCAACACAATGTTGAATAGGAGTGGTGAGAGAGGGCATCCCTGTCTTGTGCCAGTTTTCAAAAGGAATGCTTCCAGTTTTTGCCTATTCAGTATGATATTGGCTGTGGGTTTGTCATAGATAGTTCTTATCATTTTGAGATACGTCCCATCAATACCTAATTTATTGAGAGATTTAGCATGAAACGTTGTTGAATTTTGTCAGAGGCCTTTTCTGCATCTATTGAGATAATCATGTGGTTTTTGTCTTTGGTTCTGTTTATATGCTGGATTACATTTATTGATTTGTGTATGTTGAACCAGCCTTGCATCCCAGGGATGAAGCCCATTTGATCATAGTGGATAAGGTTTTTGATGTGCTGCTGGATTCAGTTTGCCAGTATTTTATTGAGGATTTTTGTATCAATGTTCATCAAGGATATTGGTCTAAAAATTCTCTTTTTTGGTTGTGTCTCTGCCAGGCTTTGGTATCAGGATGATGCTGGCCTCATAAAATGAGTTAGGGAGGATTCCCTCTTTTTCTATTGATTGGAATAGTTTCAGAAGGAATGGTACCAGCTCCTCTTTGTACCTCTGGTAGAATTTGGCTGTGAATCCATCTGGTCCTGGACTTTTTTTGGCTGGTAAGTTATTGATTATTGCCTCAATTTCAGAGCCTGTTATTGGTCTATTCAGAGATTCAACTTCTTCCTGGTTTAGTCTTGGGAGGAGGTATATGTCGAGGAATTTATCCATTTCTTCTAGATTTTCTAGTTTATTTGCGTAGAGGTGTTTGTAGTATTCTCTGATGGTAGTTTGTATTTCTGTGGGATCAGTGGTGATATCCCCTTTATCATTTTTTATTGCGTCTATTTGATTCTTCTCTCTTTTCCTCTTTATTAGTCTTGCTAGCAGTCTATCAATTTTGTTGATCTTTTCAAAAAACCTGCTCCTGGATTCATTAATTTTTTGAAGGGTTTTTTTGGTCTCTATTTCCTTCAGTTCTGCTCTGATCTTAGTTATTTCTTGCCTTCTGCTAGCTTTTGAATGTGTTTGCTCTTGCTTTTCTAGTTCCTTTAATTGTGATGTTAGGGTGTCAATTTTAGATCTTTCCTGCTTTCTTTTGTGGGCATTTAGTGCTATAAATTTCCCTCTACACACTGCTTTGAATGTGTCCCAGAGATTCTGGTATGTTGTATCTGTGTTCTCTTCATAACTCTTAGTTCAACATAAAAACTTTTCTATTATTCTTCTATTCTTCATTTTATTTATTTCTGCTCTAATATTTATTACTTCCTTCTTCTACTAACTTTGGTTTATTTTGCTCATATTTTTCTCCTTTCTGGTGGTATAAAATTAAGTTGTCAATTTGTGATCTTTCTTCTTTTTTAAGGTCGTCTTTTACTGCTCTAAACTTCTCTCAGTACTGCTTTTGCTGCACCCTATAATTTTTGGCATGCTATATTTGTGTTTTCATTTGTCTTAAGATATTTTCTAATTTCCCTTCTGACTTTATCTTTCACCCATTAGTTGTTCAAGAGTATGTTGTTTAATTTCCACATACTTAGAGAATTTCTGGTTTTCCTTCTGCTAATGATTTATTATTTCATTCCATTGTGGCCAGAAAAGATACTTGGGATGATTTTAACTTTCTTAAATTTGTTAAGACTTGTTTTGTGGCCTAAATGATCTATCCTAGATAATGTTATTTATGCTTTTAAGAAGAATGTGTATTCTGCTGTTGTTGCTTGGAGTGTTCTGCATTTTTGTTGGGTCCAATTTGTCTACAGTGTTGCTGAATTTTTCTGTTTCTTTATGGATCAACTGTCTGATTGTTTTATCCATTATTGAAAGTGAAGTACTGAAATATCTTACAATTGCTGTGTTACTATCTACTTCTCCCTTCAATTTCATCAATTTTTGCTTCACATACATGGATATCTGAGGTTGATTTTGGTATATATATATATATATATATATATATATATATATATATAACTGTTAGATTTTCTTTGTGATTTATCTTTTTATCATTATATAATGTTCTTCTTTGTCTCTGCGATTATCTTCAACAGGAGTAGTTTCCATCTCAAGAAACCATTCTCTTTGCTCATCCATTAGAAGCAACACCTCATTTATTAAAGTTTCATCATGAGATTGCAGCAATTCAGTAACATCTTCAGGCTCAACTTCTAATTCTATTTATTTTGCTGTTTCCACAACATCTGTAGTTTATTCCTCCGCTGAAGTCTTGAACCCCTCCAAATCATCTATGAGGGTTGGAATCAACTTCATCCGAACTCTTATTAATGTTGATATTTGTTCTCTTCCCATGAATCACAAATGTTCTTAAAGATAACTAGAATATTGAATCATTTCTAGAAGATTTTTAGTTTTCTTTTCCCAGGTCTATTGGAGGAATCACTATCTATAGCGGTGATAGCCTTACAAAACATATTTCTTAAATAATATTATTGCAAGTCAAAATTACTTCTTTATTGATGGGCTGCAAAATGAGTGTCATGTTAGCAGGCATAAAAACAACTGTAACCTCCCTGTACATCTCCATCAGAGTTCTTACATTACTAGGTGCATTGTCAGTGAGCAATAATATTTTGAAATACTTTTTTTTCTGAGATGTAGGTTCCAACAGTAGGCTTAAGATATTCAGTAACCCATGCCGTACTGTATCAAAACATCTCATGTACCCCATAAGTATATATACCTACTATGTACCCAGAAAAAATTTAAAAACAAATAAACAAACAAACAAAAACAAAAGAACATACTTGTGGGCTAGACAAGTGGATATCTTCCTCTTCAAGGTTTAACCAAATATATAATTCTTTTTTCATTAAAAAAAAAACATGCTGTGAACGTACGTGATGTTATCTAGGTTTTGTTTTTCTATGTATAGAGCGCAGACAGGGTAGATTTAGCATAACTCTAAAGGGACTAGGATTTTTCAGAATGGTAAATGAACATTGACTTCAACTTAAGGTCACAGTTACATTGCCCCTAGTAAGAGACTCAGCCTATCCTTTGCATCTTTGAAGCAGGGATTGACTTTTCTTTAGCTATGAAAATCCTAAACGGTATCTTCTTCCAATCTAATGCTATTTCATCTACATTGAAATCCTGTCGTTTAGGGTAGCCACCTTCATCAATTATTTTAGTTGGATCATCTCTATAACTTGGTGTACTACTTACTGTTTCACCTTGCATTTTTTTTTTTTGTCATGGAGACAACTTCTTTCCTAAAACCTTGTGAGTCAACCTCTGCTAACTTCAAATATTTCTCCTGCAGCTTCCTCACCGCTCTCAGAGTTCATAGAATTAGAGAATTAGGGCCGTGTTCTGGGTTAGGCTTTAACTTAAGGGAATGTTTTAGCCGGTTTGATATTTTATCTAGACCTTAAAACTTTTTCCACATCAGCATTAAGGTTGTTTGACTTTCTTATCATTCACATGTTCACTGAATAGCACTTTTAACTACCTTCAAGAGCTTTTTCTTTGCATTCACATCTTGGTTAACTTGCTTGTTTGGAGCAAGAGGCCTAGCTTTCAGCCTACCTCAGCTGAGGAAGGCTCAAATGCCTTCCTCACTAAGTGTAATCATTTCTAGCTTTTGATTTAAAGTTAGAAACATTTGACTCCTCCTTTCCCTTGAGCACTTAGAGGCCAGTGTAGGGTTATTAATTATCTAATTTAAATATTTTTGTGTCTCCAGCAAAATAAACTTTCAGCAGAGTAAACAGACAACCTACAGAATGGGAGAAAATATTTGTAAACTAAACATCTGATAAAGATCCAATATTCAGGATCTATAAGGAACCTAAACAAATTTACAAAAAAACAAAAAACAAACAAACAAAAAACCATTAAAAGTGGGCAAAGGACATGAACAGACACTTTTCAAAAGAAGACATACATGCAGCCAAAAAGCATATGAAAAAATGCTCAAAATCACTAATCATTAGAGAAATGCAAATCAAAAACACAGTAAAATACCATCTTACACTAGTCAGAATAGCTATTTTATTAAAACATCAAAAATGACAGATGCTGGAGAGGTTGAAGAGAATAGGGAACACTTAAACGCTGCTGGTGGGATGGTAAATCAATTCAGCCATTGTGGAAAGCGGTTTAGTGACTTCTCAAAGAACTCCAAGCAAAAATTTGATTCAACCCAGTAACCCCATTATTGGGTATATAATCAAAGGAATAGAAATAATTCTACCATAAAGACACTTGCATGCATATATTCATTGCAGCATTATTCACAACAGCAAAGACATGGAATCAACTTAAATGCCCATTAACTGTAGACTGGATAAAGAAAATATGGTACATAATACACTGTGGAACACTACACAGACATAAAAAAATGAGATCACGTCCTTTGCAGCAACATCAATGGTGCTAACGGTCATTATTCTAAGTGAACTAACATAGGAACAAAAACCAAATACTGCTTGTTCTGACTTCTAATGAGGGCTAAACATTGAGTACTTATGGAGACAAAAAGGTGAACAACAGATATTGGGGCCTGCTTGGAGATGGACGGTGGGAGGAAGATGAGGCTCAAAAAACTACCTTTCAGGTATTATTTCACCACCCAGGTATGCTTATTTTATTTTATTTTTTTTTTTTTGGGCAGAGTCTCACTTTGATGCCCAGGCTGGAGTGCAATCCAGGTATGCTTATTGTCTGGGAGCTGAAATAATCTGGACACCAAGCTCCCATGACACACAATTTACCTCTATAACAAACATGCACATGTACCCCAAACTGAAAATAAAAGTTAAATAGATAAATAAATATTGTAGTATCTCAAGGAATAAAGAGGCTTGAGGAGAAGGAGAGGTGTGGGAACAGCTAGTCAGGGGAGCAGTGAGAACACACTCAACATTTATTGATGAAGTTCGCAGTCTAATAATGAGCATGGTAGTGGCACCCAAAAACAATTACAACAGTCACATCAAAGATCGCTGTCACTGATCACAGATCACCATAACACATATGACAATAATGAAAAAGTTTAAAATATTGTGAGAATTACCCAAATGTGACATAGAGACATGAAGTGAGCGCATGTTGTTGGAGAAATGGCGCTGATAGACTTGCTTGACTCAGGATTGCCACAAACCTTCAATTTGTAAAAAATGCAATCTTTGTGGAGTACAGTAAAAAGAAGTATGCTTATATTTGCTGATTTCTGTGGTATGAATATTCCCACCATGGCTACTTTCCATGTATTATCATGAAATCATTGAATGTGAAATCAGTGAAGATGAAGTTGTGAAAAGATGCACAGCGGCACATCATTATATGGTATTTGCAACATAAAATATAATGGGTTTAAATAACCTCCAGATCACAGACAGTAGTAAATATAGAAAAATAAAAGATAATGAGTTTTGACCATTTATTCTTTCGCTTTTAGCATAATTTGTCTAATTGTATGTCTATGTATTTTGATTTTTAATAATGGCTTTTAAAATTTCCTGAAAATTTTAAATTTGGCTCTCACAAGCTGTACAAGCCAGCTGCAGCACGCTATTGCTGGCAAGATGAGACCATTCAAGACTTGGCCTCTTCCCTTAAAAACTAATTGGGAAAATGATGTTTTAACATGTGAACTAATTAGTGGATAACGCAAGTCATCACATGCTTAAATATAAAATGGGTAGGTGTAAACAAGAAAGGTATTTCTTGGGAGGCCAAGGTGGGCGGATCACGAGGTCAGGAGATCAAGACCATCCTGGCTAACATGGTGAAATCCCGTCTCTACTAAAAATACAAAAAATTAGCCAGGCATGGTGGCAGGCACCTGTAGTCCCAGCTACTAGGGAGGCTGAGGCAGGAGAATGGTGTGAACCCGGGAGGTGGAGCTTGCAGTGAGCCGAGATTGTGCCACTGCACTCCAGCCTGGGCGACAGAGCAAGACTCTGTCTCAAAAAAAAAAAAAAAGAAAGGTATTTCTGAGAAGGGAGATCTCACACACACACACACACACACACACACACACACACACACATACAAAAAGCAAGAATGTCTTCTGTACTTTTGGTATCAATATGCTATCTATCTTGAACTTTTCAATACATACTCTAAGCACTCAAACACAAATCTAGACAAATCAGTTTCTCATGAAATAAAGTGAAATAATGTTCTTCATTAGTTATAGTGTCTTCTGATGATCTTTAATTGGGAGCTGCAACAAAAGATTAGAAGACTGTTTGGGGAGAGCTGAATTGGGAATTATGAGATCCCAGAGATCAGCTTAATAATTCATAAAGTCTGGGCTTACAGAGAATTATTTGCAGACTGGATTGATGAATTATTAGAAATAGTCGATGACTGCCCTTGGGAGACCTAGAGAAAAGTGATCGGGAAAAGTGGCACTTGGGTTTAATAAACTTCAGGCTGCTCAGATACATCTCTTAACTAATGGATTGTGACATACATAGTCTGGGCCTTGGCCAGCAGTGATACTCAGTGCTGTAATTGTCTTGCATGCAGAATGTCGGTTTCCAAAGAAAGTTGTTGCTGTATTGAGAGAGTAATTACAAAGCTGCCAGAAGGAAGAGCAGTCACCCTACCAAGCTCATCATGATTTATTGGGTGTATTTGTACTTTTAAATGGATCTGTCTTTTTTTTCCTAAAATATTTTCACACCTCAATATGAATCTCTCTTCCCTTGAGCTCACCTCATTTGTGTCTGAAATATTGATCTGCTTCACAAAGGACAGTACAGTGTGAGAGTGAGTGAGTGTGTGTGTGTGTGTGTGTGTGTGTGGAGAGAGAGGGAGAAAAGGAGGGCGGGAGGGAGGAGAGAAAAAGAAAGGGGGTAGAGAGAGAGCAAGCATGCATATGTACTTGCACAATACCCAATGACATGATTCTTTCTTTCATATAATTTTTATGAGTTAGGAGGATTTGGCACAGAAGTTGCCCTTTCTCCTTGAAAGTTCTGCTGATTGTTTCTGCCTTTGAGAAACAAATTCCACCGTGAAAGTGAAAAAACCCTTCAGTCTTTTCTATGGCATGTGTCCATGGAGTTTGCAATAAGCAATGATTTATGAAAGCACACCAATGCAAGAAAACCATAATGGTTGTGACAAATTCTTTTACATCCATTGCAATTCAGCAGTTTTAGGAATGTAGTCCCCATGGTATCCTAAATACCAAATATCTTCTATCAAACAAATGCATCTTGCTAAAATTGAGGAGAAGCTTAGAAGGCTTTAGTTACCCACCTTCCCTTTGGGGAAATAATCAGAAGTTGCTTTTCATTTTCCCTCTCTGAGTAAAGATCTTCACTTTTCCCAACCTAAAGTCATTCAGCAGCATAGAAGACATTGCAAACGAAACCCTTGCTAAAACTATCCATTCTGCATCTGCCTCCAAATTTTTTTCTTCTTTTCACAAAGGGGAAGTTTTGTGTTTCCCATTTTTCTTTAAAATTTCCAATTGCAGTCTTAGTAAATTAAGTACCTTTGGTGAAAAAAAAAATGCTTACACTCTATTTGCTAAAAAGGTCAACTGTATGACATTATCAAAAATTTTATTCCAAGCTCAAGGTTATAACTCAGACAATTATGGGTTCAGCATACCTCTTCTGTCAGAAAGAGCTTGTTGGTAAATTTTTCCTGTTGCTAACCAGTACAGAAAAGTAAAATGCATGAAATAAAACAAAATCATGACATATACTAGAGATTCCTTGTGTTCAAAAGATAAAAAGAGGTGACCACTATTTCAGAAAAGTTTAGGGGTGGTCTTGTCCCCAGGGCAAAAGAATAAATTAGTAAGCTCTCTTGGTCCCTTCTGCTCTCTGCAATAACAGATACTGTGTGATTTTGATTCATTTTTGAAATTATTTTCCTTTTTATAAGCAGCTTCTCAACCCTGTGTCATATCCGGCCCCACCCAAGCTGAACTGACCTTACTTCCTTCACAGGCTGTGGGTACAGTGGAAAAATAAAATTGATATCGAGCTGGAAATCAGGAGTCTTGGCTTTGCTTCTGCAAATATATTCTATAAGAAGGTGAATATAATATCTTTAAAGGAAAATTTGTATTAAATTAATCAACTAGTTTCCTTGAGGCAATTTATAAGTACAGAAATATTGGATATGCTGTAATTAAGGCTTCATTTGGACTTTGGAAAAGTGTATTATAATTTTTACAACAAGATTTACCACTTCCATCAATCAGAGGGTTGAGAAAAATAATGAAATTAGCTGAGAAGTAGAAAACTCCATTTACAGATAATTTTTTTTCTCATAAAATAGAGAAATGATACAGTGGTATTTCCAGGAAAAAAAGTGTTATGATTACTTTAACTTAATACATGAATAAATGATTCAGAAGAGGTGTTTTATAGGGAAATTGTTAGGTTTGCAGAGGGCTATGTCAAACAAATAAATTAACAAAGTATTTGTAAAGTTTATTCAATAAATTTTTTTGAACACCGATCCTGTGTAGGCATTGTGAGGTATATAAACAGTTCTTATTTTCAAGGGGCTTATATCCTGGTATATAATTAAAATATTACTTTTAAAACTAGAAGATTAATGAGAAGGTATTTCCTACTTCACCAGAAGAGTAGGTAAATTACTATTAAATTCCAGAATGTAAAGCATTTCTTTCTGGCTTGAGGGAAGAGGAGGAGAGTCAAATGTTCGTAAAGGTGAGGACATTTATCTCTGACCTTTAGACCTCTAGTCTGCATAATAAAGTACTGAGGATTTCTAGGCAGAAGGAGCAACGCAGGCAAAGGGAGAGTAGAAAAAGCCTATATAAGTGATGTATGTGAGCAACAAGGAATTTAGGATTTTGTGATTATTGCTGTTTTCTTGTCAGCACGTAGGGTATGTAAGGAGAAGTAGAGAACAAGATTGGGGCCGAATTGGGAAGAGCCATAAATGTTATAAATCTGTTATAATTTTTAATGCAAGTTATTGTCAAACATCACCATTTTAATGATCAATGATGACAAATTACTTTGACACATGTCAAAATAGATGACAACATCCTAGCATGTTGAGGTGACTGAATTAAGGTCTATAGGACATGGAAGCAGTCTATTTCCAGCAAGAAAAGTTTTTCAGGAATACTTTGTAGTTATTAGAGAGTAAATAAGATTGAATATGGGAGAAAAATAAAGAAAAACAATGAGAAGCTATTATAATACCAAATTGAGTAATAATGAAGACCTGAACTTGGAAAGCAGCAAGGGAAATGGAGAAGTACCCAGGAAGCTTTGAGTTATTACAAGACGGTAATTCTTGAAACCTAATTGGATTAGGTAAAAGAAGGTTGTTGTGGTGAGTGGCAGAAGTAAGGAGAACAGGGACAAATTAACAAAAGGGTCAAGTGGGTTTTTGAGTGGAAAGATGGTACCATTTAAAAAATGATGAATTCAGGAGGAGGAATGAATTTAGGAAGTAAGAAAGTAAGTTCAGTTGGGTATAGACTGAGTTTGTAGGGCTTAAGGGTTCCCCAGATATTCAAGAGGCAAGTTGAAATACTGTAGACCTAGCAATCCAGAGATAAATGAAGGCCAGATATTATGACTTTGGAGTTGGCCATGATGTGTGATAATTGAAGCTATCAGACTATGTGAGGTTACTCTCTTTTTGCCTCATATATTACCTCCCTTGATAATTTGTTTCTTGAGGTTCAATTCGGAGCTTCATTTAGACATTTAGAGTTCCGGAGGAGGAAATCAAATCACAGAAATTTCAGTTATAGAATTGGTAGGAAAAAAAACTGCAGCAAAGTAGAATGCCACAAAGGCCAAGAAACCAGAGAAATTCAAGCTAAGAATGATTCATCCTGTCAAATGCGCCATAAAATTTGGAGCAGAAGGGAATGGATAAAATATTGGGTTTGGAAAAAACAATCAGTTTGAAAAAGCCGTTAGCATAGAAGCCAGATAACAATGATTGTTAGTGGGCATGTAGATAGAAATATAGACTCTTATTTCAAGAAATTCAGTAATGATTGGAAGTGGAGAGAGAATGCTCCTGTGCATATATCAGGGTAGTGAGCCCATTTTATGATATA
Organism: Homo sapiens; assembly: GCF_000001405.40. NCBI lineage: Eukaryota > Metazoa > Chordata > Mammalia > Primates > Hominidae > Homo > Homo sapiens. The sequence continues at coordinate 117,199,027 of NC_000003.12, read as the reverse complement.
GGATTTGAGAAAATATGAAGTGAAAGTAATAGAAAGTCAATAATAGAGTAATGGCAGTGAAAAGAGTGTAAAAACATACATGAGTCTGGCATAAGAGCCATCAAACAGTGTGGTGTTTTGAAAGATGAGAAGCCATTTGGGTAGTTGTATTAGTTTAGATCCTCTGAGCATTTGTTTGGATGTGCAAATTTGTTTGGATGTGCAACAGATCCATTGGGGAAACATGTTTGAAGGATGAAAGGAGGGGAAGAGAATAAGCAGGAAAAGCCCTACATAATGTAGGTCTCACACCTATGAAAGGAGTTGAAGAAGGAAGAAGGGTTGAATAAGAAGACTCTCAAACTGTAACAGTTCTAAGAAAGTTTTGGCCAGACTTATTGGTACCCCTTACTCCAAAGTCACTCATCTGAAGAGTCCTGCATACCACAGGAATGGACTTGCATCAGTATTGTCACCATCCTCAATCTTTGACTGAGAGCTGGAAAATGTAGCCTTGGTGTAAATGTGGTAGTGGTTCCAGGGAATAGCAGCTAGGGCTCTCAGTCAATCTCACTTTCTGCAACAAGAGACCTAAGCAGCTCATTTCATTGACACCATATTAGTCAAATGAATGTTCCTAATTTTATAAGAAGAGCTGATATTGAGATTGGTCAGGTAATTGTGACAAAAAGCAAGAAATGGGTCATCTAGACCACCATGTCCTCCTAACCCTATGAGTTTGAAGGAAATGGAACAGATGCTACTAAAGAGGGTTTTATTAACTAGATGATCCTGGAGGAGCATCACAGTTCAGATTTTTCAAGACGCTAGTCTCAGAAACAACATGTCTTGAAGGTATGCTAGAACAGAGGACTGCCATTAGTCCCAAGCATCACAATTAAAGCCAACTGAGATAGCAAGTACATGTTTCATGGGATTTGCTAGACATTGATTATTTCTGCAATTCCAAACACTATTTTAGTTCACATTGAAGCTTGGCCATTTGTGATTGTGTTATGTTGGATGCATTGCTTAGTTTTTCTGTTTTCCATTTTCTTCATCTACAAAGTGAGAATACAATAGCTTAGGGAGTTATTGTAAGAATTAACTTGGAATTTTTAATGAACTTTACTTTTAGCTATAAAACTGCCATTTCCCTTCCATTAAAATTTTAGTCCTAGGCTTCGGGTTGTTTTCTTCCCTCCAAAATCGAACTACAGACATTTGATTCCCAACTCAGTCCTTTATCATTTCTTATTCTCCACCTTTACTATTCACATTATCCCAGGTCACTATTACAATGATCACTACCACCAAATTTGCCATTTTCTACTTCTGCTCTACCACTAACATCTGTTTTCTTTGGCTTCTCATCAGCTTACTGACCTTCCTTGGAAGAATTCCTATGACAGAACAACCTGATGCTAAATTTCGTTCATGCAAAACTTAATGAACATGTGGAAGAAATGTTTCAGGAAAAGGTGGAAGATAAATGTATTTGTTCACAGCAGATCAGGATTCCACAGTACACACTGGAAAGGAAAAAACAGGAACACATAAGCATGGTTTAGACTAAGCAGTGAAGAAATAGAGTCCAGGAAGAAAGAGAAGAATTCAGATTTGTCGATACGGTGGTTAATTTCAATAATAGGGATTGAAACAGAAAGCTAGAAGATACTTGGAAAATATAAATTCAATTTCCCACTGATAAAACCAGTTAACAAAGTAAGACATTCAGGAAAAACAATGCTCTCCTTAACTTCTATTAAATATGGAAGTTATACTTTAAGTTTCCCATATAGTTCATATCTCTACCCTTCAAAAAATATATGCCATAGCAAAGAAACCAAAGAGAATTGTTTGAGAAATCCAATAAAAATGATCAAGAAAAATAGAAAATATTCATCTGAGCATAAATGAAGAGTTTATGTTATATAACATGGCTATTACTCTTTTATTTAGAAATACAAAGATTGAGAGATAAGACAAATTAAAATCATGAAGCAAATTGTTTATGTATTTGTTTATAAAGTTTATTTTACATACTAACATTAGAAAGTGTCAGTAATATTCGAATGTATTTTTATTACATGCAAAAATTAGTTCTATTTTACTTAGGAAGAAGAAAGTTTATAGAAATAATTATCTCTATAATCTATATATCTCTCTATAGAGAGATATAATTTATATCTCTCTATAGAGAGATATAATTTATATCTCTCTATAGAGAGATATAATTTATATCTTTATATCTCTATATCTCTATGGAGATATAGAAATAACCGTATCTCCTCAGAAGGCATGGAGAGGAGAAAGGAAGCTGATATTTATTATATATCTACCAAGTTTCGGGCCCCGTGACTGAAAAATCTACTTGTGTTCTCTCATTAAATTCTACCAGTAAACGGATGATAGCAGTGTTAATAAAAATATTTTATACATGCAAAATTTATGGTCTAGCCCAAGGTCATTTTGCTATTAGCACATGGTAGACTTAGAATTGAAACCCAATTCTGACTGATTTCAAAGTCAATTTCTCATACACCACACTACCTACATTTTTTAAATTCCATCATTAAGAGATACAACGTTTTAGGATACATTAACTGTGTTCATAGTTTTGATCCATTTTGAAATGATGGGACTTAGGAGATCTGTTCACACATGGCTTTTGTGTTTTTCTTAGATAAGTTGCAGAACTGAATGGATCAAGGAACTAATAAAGTATAACATTTTCCCTGTTATTGAATTCACTATCTAGAAGGGGGCCTTTTGAGCAGACTAGTACAAGCATCATGCAATACATACAATACTCAGTAAATATTCATTATTGATGCTGAAGATGACACAGAAGAAACTAAAATATAAACTAGGCAGAACTACGCAGCATATCAGACCAATTAAGACATCCTCGGTGGGGGCCGAGTGTGGTGGCACATACGTATAATCCCAGCTACTTCAGAGGCTGAGGAAGGAGGATGCTGGAGCCTGGGAGTTTGAGACCAGCCTAGACAACATAGCGAGACCCCATTTCAGAAGAAAAAATACATCTTTGGAGGGCAATAGGAGCATTAGAATTAAAGTATTGATACATACTCACATATGTGTGCACATGTATGAGTGCTCACATGCACACCATTTACCTCCCTAAAGAGACAAGTGTCATTTGATTCCAAACACATCTATGAAGTTGTACTGACATTTCAAAAATGTTCTTAATAAACTTATCTATATTTCTTTATTTTTAAACGTTTTTCCTATCTACAACAAGCAAATATTCACTACAAATGGTTTTTAAGAGAAAAATTGAATGAAAAAAATAGCAAAAATATTTTTTTAAAAATATTTAATGAAGAATAAGCTCTGCCTTTTCAGTGAAAGCTTTCTCTGTCCTCTCCTTGATCAAGGCCAGTCTCAATAAGCTCTTTTTTAGCCCAGTTTATAAACTGTTGTTGACTCGAGTAATAGAATTTCATGAATAAAAAAAGATGACAGAAATTACCTTACTACGGCAAAATGAATCAATACGTTCTGAATTTTGACTTCCAAGAATGTTGTTCAGGGACATGTTATTTACTCTATGGAGGACTACAGGCATTCGGGATAAAACTGGTCTTCTTTAGTTTGAATCACTTCTGTTATTGAGCTTTTCTGGTGAAAAGAAAAAAAGCATTTAAAAAATTCATCATGAAGAAATGTTTTTCTTCTGCCACCAGTCAAAAATATGCTGCTACACATTAGTTTTTAGTAAATATGCCATATGAGTGAAGATTACTTAAATAAAATTTAAGGCTTATTGCATCATCATTTAAGACATTTAACATATTTTTCTGTATATGAAATTTCACTTCTCAACTATAATATGTTCTTTTGTGTAGTGTTTTCTTTCATTAAGAAAGACTGTATTTGAAGTCACTGATCAACTTTAATCAAACTATTTAGCTTTGTCATAGCACACATAGAGCTTCTTAGAATTGTCACACAAAATGTGCTAGGATCAGATATTGCTAGGGTTTTGCCAAAAGGCATTTTATTTTCATATCAAATAATGGCCTGAAATATAGTCAGAATTTTTGTGTTGTGGTATGTAATCTGATATTTCTGTCTCTGTTTTTAGAAATGCTCCTGTTTTATTTGCAGTAGCTGATAGTTTGAAGGCAGTTCTTGATAATAATTAAGAGAAATAGATTTGTTATCAAATTCTGTGTTTCTGATTTAGTCACTCTTGCTGCCTGGGCTTCCTCCAAAATTCCTCCCAGTATAGTCCAGACTAGACTTAGCTCAAGAAATTTAAAGACTTTTTTCAGTTTGGCATCTCCTTATGAGATTTCCTCCAGCCCCCAGTTGACTACTGGCTGAAGTCCTCTCTGCTGTACTCTAGAAACTTGTGCATGTTGCCTTTCATTATTCCTAATTGCTGAGTGCCAGGGATTTCTCAAGTGTCCTATAGGACTCATCATTCTCTCAGACAATTTTACGTTTTACACAAATCAATCCAAACCAGATTGTATCTGTCATGGTGTGACCTAGTTGGCCATGTGCTGTCCAAGCAAGGTATTAGGTTGATGCAAAACTAATCGCGGTTTTTGTCATTACTTTTTATATAATCTCAAAGTACCATGTAATCTCATGGGAATCTCATATGACTAGAAATAGTAGGATACCTTATGTCATCTTTTTTACTCAAAAATTTTATTCTGCCATTATGTTTATTCAAGTATGACATCATTATTTTGATGGCTTTTGTGGGTTCTAGTCATAAATCAACAAGATGTAAATTTAGGAATTCTGTTAAATAAATGTTTTCGTGTGTGCTTTTTTTTTTTTTTTTTTTTTTTTTTTTTTTGAGATGGAGTCTTGCTGTGTTAGCCAGTCTGGAGTGCAGTGGCAAGATCTCGGCTCACTGGAACCTCCGCCTCCTGGGCTCCCGGGCTCAAGCAATTCTCCTGCCTCAGCCTCCCGAGTAGCTGGGATTACAGGCATGTGCCACCAGGCCCAGCTAATTTTTGTATTTTTAGTAGAGACAACGTTTCACCATGTTAGCCAGGCTGGTCTCGAACTCCTTGCCTCAGGTAATCTGCCCACCTCGGCCTCTCAAAGTGCTGGGATTACAGACGTGAGCCACCACACCTGGCCCTTGTGTGTGGTTTTTAACGATCCTTGATGCCACTTAGTAAAAACAAAAGGAACATTTATTAATACATTTGCAATCTCTTTTTTTTTAATGAAAACCTAGATGCTTAAGCCTTATTAAGTAGTGAAAGAGCCACCCTTTTGCTGGTACAATAAGCTAAGTAAGAGTATTAGTTTTCTAGTGCTGCCATAACAAATTATCACTAACTTAGGAGTCTAAAGCAATACAAATTTCTTATTGTACATTTTGTCAGAAGTCTGATGCAGGTCACCACACTAGTCTAAAATCAAGATGTTGGCAAAGCTGCATTTCCTTCTGGAAGCTCTAGGGGTATCTGTTTCCTTGCTTTTTCTGGCTGATGTCCCTATTCCTCCATCTTTTTTTGTTTGTGTATTTTTAAAAATTGATATATCACAGTTGTATACGTTGTGGGGGTACATGTGATATTTTGATACATATATAAAATGTGTAATGATCAAATCAGGGTAATCGGGATACCCATTAATTTAAACATTTATCTTTGTGTTGGGAACATTATCATTTTTCTAGCTGTTTTGAAATATACAATAAATTATTGTTAAGTATAATTTCCCTTGATATGGTTTGGCTCTGTGTTCCCACCCAAATCTCACCTTGAATTATGACAATGCCCACGTGTCAATGGTGGGACCAGGTGGAGGTAATTGAATTGTCGGGGGGAGTTTTCTCAATGTTGCTTTCCTGATAATGAGTGAGTCTCGTGAGATCTGATGGTTTTATAAGTATCTGGCGTTTCCCCTACTTGAGCTCATTCTCTCTCCTGCTACCCTGTGAAGAGGTGCTTTTCGCCGTGGTTCTAAGTTTTCTGAGGCCTCTCCAGCCATGCAGAACGGTGAGTCAATTAAACCTGTTTTCTTTATAAATTACCCAGTCTCGGGTATTTTTTCATAGCAGTGTGAGAATGGACTAATACACCCTTACTGCACTATCAAATCCTAGAACTTATTCCTTCTATCCAACTGTATTTTTGTACTCATTAGCCAACTTCTCTTCTTTCATCATGAAAGCCAGCCATAGCAGGTAATAGACCTCTTCACATTGCATCACACTGACCTCTTGTTCTGTAGTCAAAAATCCCTGTTCTTCCCTTCTGCCTCCCTTTTCGAGCTTTAAGGAAATCATGATCACATGGGACTCAACCAAATAAACTGGGACAATCTCCCCATCTCAAGATCCTTAATTGCATGCAAAGTCCCTTTTGCCCTGTAAAGTGACATATTCATAGGTTCCAGTGATTAGGACATATGCAAGTTTGGGAGCCTATTATTCTTCCTACCACAGCAAGTAAAATCTCAAATAGACTTAACAAAAACCACAAAAAACACTTCCCTAAATAATCTCTTTCCAGTGTCAGCTTTTTTTTTTTTTTAATCAATAGTAAGATATTTTGTGGAGTATACACACTACCATTGTGCCTTTAAATACACAATTATATAACTGTTGCTATCTAATTTCAGAATGATTTTTTCTCCTCCATTTATGGAAGCAGCCCACTCATAGTGGTTGCTCAATAAGTTTTGTAACAAATTTAATTACAAATGAGGGCTGTCTCCTTAATCTCTTTTGTCCTCAAACTAAGAGAATATTGTTGAATCCAGAATAAAGATCTAGTATGGGATAGATAGACATATCAGAGGGCTTATAGAATGATTTGTAGATGGTTCATTCAAACATGGATTGTTGGTACATCTGTTGCATTTTGTGCCTTTCATGATGCAGAGTATGCTTTTCATGTATAAAATCTTGTGTTGTTGTTTTAAATTTGATATTAAAAACCCCTTGAAAGCAGAATCATTCAAGAACAGAACTCATATAACTTATGTTTGTATAATTAAAATTTCTATAATGGCCTTTTCTTATAGGTTCAAATTTTTAGATCACTGCAACCAATTGTCCCTACCACTCCTCTTTTTAGAGTTTTCCAAGATAACAACCCTGTGCTCATTGTCTTCATTAAGGGAAGTGTAAAATACTCAGGCCAGGTCACTCCCCAGTCCATTTCATGAATGTGGGGTGGTGTCTCACCTATTACCTGCTCAAGCTCAACTGTAGTTTTTCTTTGTTAAAAGGACAATACTTGCAAAATTTGCTCCTCTTGCTAGGAAAGAGTTGAGTGCAGGCAGTTCTGATGTGCCCTCCCTCTCAGCCCTGCTCTTCAAGGCCTTTGCTCCTAGGGGAACCTTGAAGATATGAATGGCAATGAAATGTGAAAATAAATAACATCAGACATCTCTGAGCATTGCTGGGAAAAATGCTGTGGAACTCTATTATGCCAGCCTAAGTGGTGATTGTTGACCCACCTTTCAGCATTTCAGAAAAAGAATGAAAATGAAAATATGTATTCTTATTCCTCTGCCTGGTGTCAGTTGAGGCACTTTAAATAGTACACCCAAAAGAAGACTGGCTGAGTGATTTAGAATATAGAAATAACCTGGGGGAATCTTGCTAAAATGCTGATTTTGACTCATTAAGTCTAGAATGGAATCTAAGAGTCTACATTTCTCAGAAGCCCAGGTGATGTGAATGCTGCTTTCTCTCAGATCACACCAATAAAGATTTAAAGCAATACTTAATCCAATAAGACCTCTACTATACAAGGAGAAAAAGTGAACACGGACCACTAAACTTTATTATCACCTTAATATTACAGGATAAGGAAGAATCTGGGTGTGACTATTTTGGGGGAGTATATTTGTGTTTTCCTCATGACTGACCAGAAGCAGTTTGTCTTAATGATTATAGCAAAGGATAAAGAACAAGTCTCAGCTGAGCTCCCAACGCAGTAGAGAAACCCTATGCAAGTCACTTCACCATCCTGTCTGATTTTTTTATTTCCAAAATAAGGATTTGGATACTTGTTCCAGGCTTCTCTCATGTCACATGTAATATGCATGTCACTGGGGTTTGATGTACAGGTTATTCCATCACCTGGGTAATGAGTATATTATCCAAAAGGTATCTTTTTCTGATCCTCTCCCTCCTCCAACCCTCTACCCTCAAATAGGCCCCAGTATCTGTTATTGCCCTCTTTGTGTCCATATGTTCCATATGTCCATATCAGAGATGCTGTAAGTATTAATAAGAGACCACTGTTAGGAAACAATAGATGCAAATAGAAGACTTTGTTAGTACTCTCTGCCATCTCTTTCCTACTTATCATCCAATTCACTTCTTACTACTTGTACCTGATTTATCTTTAGCACATGTTCTTTCCATTTTCTTGGTATTATTCTCATCTGACCATGTGATGTATTATTCAAATGCCCAACTCCTTTTATTGCTAATTATATATTAACCAGGTTCTGACTTCATTCTTCTTTGTGTGGAATCCTGGTCCAGGCATGACACTGACAAAAAGGATTCCTAGAGCTCAGAGGGAATTCTGGCAAATGACAGTTCTCTTTTAGGGCTGTTAGTCTTAATGGAATATTTGATAAGATGGTAATAACCCCTGAGATCCTTTTATAGCAAACCCAGGGGCAATATATATATATATATATATATATATATATATATATATATATATATATATATATATATTTAGCAGTTTCAATGGCTTTTATTTATTCATTTAAGTTTGCAGTGAGGTCAGTTCTTGAAGGCATTTCACAATGACAATTTCTTTGAACATGTGAAACATGTATGATCCAAACTTCTTCCTTCCAGTTATATGTATTGATGCATAGAGAAAATTTTTCTCCAAATTTATGATTTAGTTGCAGTTTAAAAATCATTTCCTCAGCTCTCATTTAGAAGTGTATAACTACTCACTGAACTCTAGAATATCCTCTCCACTAGAATCAGCAATTTGGTTAGTAAAAAATATATTCTCACACGTGTCATCTATGTACTCCATTTTAATCGCCCTTCTCAAAGAATCTTTGTGCCTCAATTCCAGTATCCAATGTTTAAAATATGAGTGTTTCCTTTTGGAAAAAAAAAATGTTTATTTGTCAATTTTACACAGCCTAATACAATTATTCCTCTGTTTCAAACATAAGGTCCAATTAACAATATTAAAGGGCATGCAATATAAATATTTTGAGGATAATAATGTGTTAGCATTCATTGAATACTGTCCCAGACATCATGCAAACTGCTTAACACAGGAGTTCTAATTTAATTCTTACAACAGTCATATAAAGAAGCAACAATTAATACCTTCATTTTGCAGATGTTGACACTAAGGTTTAGAGATGCTGTGTAAAACTGCTCAAGGTCATACAGCAATAAGTAGCAGAGCTTCTAATAAAAAACAAACCAGTCTAATTTCAAAGCCTGTGCTTTCTTAATTATTGTACTAAATTATTTTGGCAAAAGCTTATTAATTCTGGATCTGGACATTGCTACTGTCCAAACAGGAGATACATTTTCATCTCAGGTGCAATGCCCTTTAATGTTCAAAGCTTCACTCTGAGACCTTTACTGGAACTGAATTGTTTCACATTCCTCTTATGTAACATGTGTGAAGTTAACAGTAAACCTGTTTCATTACACCATCAACCTTAATTAATATGTTTATAATAATGGCATGGAATTTATTTAACCAAAATAATAACTTCATTTAACTTAACGACTTGATGCACAGGCAGCATTGTGACGTACAGCTTTCTTGCTGCTGTTTCCAGAACATTTACCATGTGGCTAATGGGAAATCACCTTCATGATCCTGCAACACCTGTTAATGTCTTGTTTCACCTCTGAAGCCTGATCTCTTTATGTGAAGTTAGGCAGCCAAAGTGAGTTAAATAGGGACCAAGTGAATTTTTAATTATTTTAATAGCATTGTTATGCTTGTTTTGTTATTATAAAATTTGCAATGCACATCCTTCATAACTTTTTAAAGTGGTTTGAGGAGCCAAAAGATCAGTGTTGAGTATGACATAGACTAGCAAAAATTTTGTTGTGTTTACATTAAGGGATATCATTTTTTTACTTCAAGCCTCCTCATTTTTGAAGCCATTATGAGTTGTAGGGAGGAAGCAGAAAAATTATTAATCTCCTAACTCTGTACCTTAACTTCATCTTTCATGCTTGGTCAGTACAATAAGTAGCATTCATATTCTTTAGAAGTCAGTAAGACAATTGAAAGATCTTTAAATGTCTCTCAGGAGACCACATTTGTAGGGAAAGTGTTGGAGATTACATCCAAGTATAAAACATTAAGAGTTAGAAAAAATTATCTTCCCCATAATTGAGGTGAACTAGCTTAACTTGGTCAACTTATTTGATAAAGTTGGCAAGTGTAGCAGAGATAGCTAGTTGTCCGCTAACTCATGCTCTCCTTCCTCCCTAGAGAAAGAAGTGTAGCCAGCGACATGACTACTCATTTGGAGGTCATTTCCCACCTTTTCTTTCAGTGACCAAGTACTTGCTAATGAAATATGAATGGAAGTGATAACTGGCATTTCTTGGTCTGGGCCTGGAGACATTGGTCTTCTGCTCTTCCACGTTCTCTTTATTTTCTTCTCACAAGCAGCAACATGGAAGTGCCCACAACCTAGTGTCACCTAGGCACACAAGGATAGGTAGCTAAAGGCAAAGGAACATGATGAAAGAAACTTGACTTCTTGAATGATTACATGGAGCAAAGCTGCCACCAACCTGAACCACTTATCTCAGGATTATTATATAAGCAGTTAACAAACATGTTTCATTTATAAGCTACTGTTTAGTCATCCCCTGGTCCTTTTTATTTTTATAACTATTTTTAATTGTAACTTTTATTTTTGGTTCAGGGATACATGTGCAAGTTTGTTATATAGGTAAATGCATGTCACTGGGGTTTGATGGACAGGTTATTCCATCACCTGGGTAACAAGTATAGTATCCAAAAGGTATTTTTTTCTGATCCTCTCCCTCCTCCAACCCTCTTCCCTCAAATAGACCCCAGTATCTGTTATTCCCATCTTTGTGTCCATATGTTCACATTGTTTAGCTCCCACTTATAAGTGAGAATGTGTAATATTTGGTTTTCTGTTCCTATGTTTGCTTAGAATAAGGATCTCTACTTCTATCCATGTAACTGCAAAGAATGTGATCTCCTTCTTTTGTGTGGCTGCACAATATTTCATGATGCATATGTACCACTGGATTTACTTTATCCACTCTACTGTTGATGAGTATTTAGGTTGATTCCATGTCATTGTTGTTTTGAATAGTGCTGCAGTGAACATAACGAATGCATGTGTCTGGTAAAATGATATCTATTCCTTTAGTTATATACCCAATAGTGGGATTGCTGGGTCAAACAGTAATTCTGTTTCAGATTCTTTGAGGAATCCTCACACTGTCTGAACTAATTTACATGCTCACCAGTAGTGTAAACATGTACTTTGTCTGAAACCTTGAAAGCATCTGTTATTTTGTGACTTTTTAATAATAGCTATACTGACTGGTGTGAAATGGTATCTCATTGTGGTTTTGATTTGCATTTATCTAATTATCAGTGATATTGAGCTTTTCTTCATATGGTTGTTGGCTGCAGGCATTTTTTGAAAAATGCCTGTTCATGTCCCTTGCCCACTTTTAAATGGAGTTGTTTTTTGCTTGTAAATTTGTTGGTTATTTATAGATTCTGGATATTAGACCTTTGCATGATACATAGTTTGCAAAAATTTTCTCCCATTCTGTAGGTTGTCTCTTTACTCTGTTGATAGTTTCCTTTGCTACGCAGAAGCTCTTTAGTTTAATTAGGTTCCATTTGTCAATTTTTGTTTTTGTTGCAATTGCTTTTGGAGTCTTCGTCATGAAATCTTTGCCAGGTTATATATCCAAATGGTTTTTTCTATGTTATCTTCTAGAATTTTTATAGTTTTTTAGGTTTTACATTTAAGTCCTTATCTCATCTTGAGTTGATTTTTGTATGTGGTGTAAGGAAAGGGTCCAGTTTTGATCTTCTGCGTATGACTAGCCAGTTATCCTAGCATCATTTATTGAATAGATAGTTCTTTCCCCATTGCTTATTTTTGTCAGCTTTTTCAAAGATTGGATACTAGCAGTTGTACAGCATTACTTCTGGACTCCTTATTCCATTCCATTGGTCTATGTGTCTGTTTTTGTACCAGTACTGTGCTGTTTTTGTTATTGCAACCTTGTAATATAGTTTGAAGTTGAGTAATGTGATGCCTCTAGCTTTGTTCTTTTTGCTTAGGATTGCCTTGCCATGCCCCACTTTCAACAGCAGCTTAGCCTTCACTTTAACTAATGTGATAAGTCTGCAAAAATGGCCCAAGCAATTTAGTAGAATGAATCAAATCTAATAAAAGGTCACAGCCAAACAGCCAGAGATCTTACGGGAGGCAAATATATACACTGAAAGAATTTAGTTTGGGCATAAAAACCTCCTGGAAATACCAAGAGAATGTTTGGGGGAATATAATTAGGATAAAAGAGGATGTTTATCTAATTTCAAATATTCCATTACCTGCTTTCAAAGAATGAGGCACTGTAGTATTTCTCAGAAAATACAGTTATCAATAATTAAATCTATTTTCTGTTATAGAGATGAACAAAATGAATTTTCTGTTCATGGACCATAACCTAACCTGGCTAAACAAGAACATATTTTAACATGACTGTCTCTGCTATTATGAAGCTCAATAGAGTTACTAAAATAACGTTTAATGAGCAATTATTATATGTGAAGTTATTCTTAGTATTGTTAGTGCTTTTAATTCCTGAAGTTACATTCAAGTAAATGAGTTTTCCAGGTTAGACACAGCCCAAATAACTGTGGTAAACCAAAACATCAGTGTGGGACTCAGATATCGAAGGCTCCAATTATTGTTGAATTTTTTTATGAAGTAGAATAAGAAGACCTTTTATCTACTACGACCATCCTTACTGCTAATAAGTGTTAGTAGAAAACATGTATGAGCGTGTTGGAATGGTTTGTTAAAGCAGAACAAAACTACATAGGGAGTATAAATACAAAAAAAAATTCTTTCCTCCTAGAGAAAAACGTTATTTAACATTTTATGTTCCCTTAAGTGCAAAAACACAATGCCTCTAGGCTCTAGGTTTCTTTTTCTTTCCTTCTTTTGCCAATTATTGATTGCCTGAATCAAAAATGCCAATACTCCTTTGGTATGTAGAAAAGAGAAAAATATTTCAAAAGTTTCTGCATATCGGGTTGGAAAGGGTAGAAATCTCAGGATGGGGTTATTTTCTAAGCCCTTTCCACAAATGCTATTCTAAGCTTAAACGGGCAAATCTAATACATGAAACTATATATGAGCATAACTCAGAGGAAAAAGTGAAGCAAAGAATTCAAGAAATATTAAATGAATTGAGCAGTGTGAGCAGCAATCAAAATTATTGAGACTCTGCATGGAATGTAATAAAGTCATTAACTCACTGGAGCCTGGTTTGTGGGTGCTCGATTCTCTATTATTAGGGAATTTTTTAAAAAGATGATCAGAAATGACTTTGGATACCTGAAAAATCTGTAATCTTGTTTAAATTCTCCGTCAGCCAATTTTAGATCAACTTTCATGAATAGTCACCACTCTGCATAAGATACTGTTTTCCCAATAGTGAATTTAAGCAAAGGTCCAGGCAGCTCCTCTGAATCAGCCTTAGATGTCTGAAATTCCAAAAATAGATATTATAACAATAATTATAATCTCAGTATGTATGACTCCATGTTGAGGCAATATCTAGAGTAAGAGTCCATCACAATTTTCTAAAAAAGCAAAGAGGTTACCAAAAAAGAGCCTAGATATCTCCATAAACACATTTGAGAAGATTGAATGCTCCTCCACCTTGGCAGATAGAGAAAAATGGACTGTGTTATTTGATAAGTATTTTTATTTGCATATGATAGAATCCAGTCTGCTCTTTTAAAGCATAAAAGAATTTATTAGAAGATAAAGATAGTTGAGAATCACTGAGAACCCTGAAGAAACAAATTCCAGACCAAACTCCGAAAAATAACTTCTAAAACCACACCAGAGAGCTAGGCCACTAGGTAAGCTGTTATCTTTGCCGTGGTCTAGAGTCTAGAAAGCTACTGAATCAGAAAGCCACTCACCCAATTAGAAAGCTGCTATCACAGCTGCCAACTCCAGAACTATCTCCATTCTACTTTGATCAAGTTGTAGCAATGTCAGGAAGCTGCCACTGAAATTACTCACTCCAAACTCTACTTTCTTTGCCAGACTCCTTACTAAAACTATAGATATGCTGTGACTACCCCACCGTTCCAGTTCCCAATTAAAGTCACACAAGTATTCGTGTGATTGTTGATGCAAGTAACAAGAGCACTAGCCAAAAAGAAGCCCAGGGAATGGAGCTTTTTTTTTTTTTTTCTTAGTGCTCAGTTTTATCTGCCAGGATCATGTAGGTGTAGACGTTTAGCAAGCTATTCATTGTATGTGCTGTAAAGCTTTAGGACAGGGGCTTTAACTTGTGTATCTCTATATATTTCTATTGTATTGTTCATGTTTCCCAGTGGGCTCTATCATAGAAATGGCAGAAGGATATGGAAGAAGGTTTGAGAGGAGCGTGTTCCCAGAACAGAATGCTCAGGAAAATTGTTCTTGAAGATACCTGCTCAGAATTTAATACTAGAGTACATGTTTGGTCCTTCTATTGTCTAGGCGATGTTAAAAACCGTTGCCCTACATTCGGCTTATTCAGCCTCAGCAAGACTGAAATATATCCACTTCACAGATTCCTATAAAGTGTACATTTTTAAAAAATGGTACAGAAAATGATATGAATTAGGACTATGTGTAGCCATGTATATTTTTCCCTCAATGAATTCAGTTAGCCGGTATTTCTAGAACTTCTATTAGTTGTCAGGCACTGTAGAAGCATTAGAGAAAAAGACATTGTGCCTTCTATAAAGGAAATCAAAACCTTAATTGGATAGATTCCAATTACATAAATTCATTATAAAATGGAAACAGGATAAAGAATACTCTCTTCTGAATCCTGGTAGAACTGCAAGTATCCTTTAACTACAAGCTGATGTAAATAACATCCCCTGCACCCCTAAACAGAATGAAGGATTTTCACTACCACTGGTCTCCACAGTGTGATTTAAGAGATGTGAACTCAGCCATGAACCCATCAGAAAGATGCAAATCCCTGATATTTTTGAAAATATGGTGCCACTATACAGCATCTCACACTTAGTAGAATGTCAGTCTCCTACAGCCATTCAGAGATTCCATTCTGGGTATCTAAGTGGGAAAACATGACATAATGGGTATGTCTGTATTATCTCTTCACTCTTCTGTAGTGTTTAAGGTAATACTGTTTGGTTCCAATTATTTGCAAAAAAGTTTATAAATTTTACTCAGTGAAACATGGTGAATTGTCATAATTTGTCAATTAATGCTTAAGGAATTTCATGTTCTTAAATCACACCTATCATAACAACTTTTTTCTAATTCATTTTTTTCCATGCATCGTGATCTTAACATGTTGTCATTAGTGTTTTGGTGTGTTGCTTGCACATAGTAGTTCAGTAAAAATATATTTCAGTAAAATTTTGAAAACAATTATTTCTTCCTACTGAGTGTCATACAGCAATTGGCTTGACCTTGGGGCAGTTGGCTGTAAGGGTCAGGAGGGACAGCTGCCCCATGGCCTTTAATGAAATCAGTATGAAGACTTTTCCTGGCAGTCAGCACCTATGTTTACCATCATACATAATCTTTCCTGGGACTATCCATGACTGCAATGCTCCATTTGTTTTTTCTTTGACCACAGGCATGGCTGTCTGAATATCCATTTGACTGCATTGTGATTATAATTATTATTTCTTTTTGGTTCAACTAATTGTGTTTGCAGCCTTTTCCTTTTTCTTGATCTGCAAAAAGTCCCTTAGATGGTGTTTAACAAGAATGCATGTAACAAGAAACAAATTCTTTCTGAGGAGTGCTATTTACCTTTTTTATTTTCTGCTTTGTTAGCGATGCAGAGGTTTCATTAGCAAAGAACAAGTGAATTACAAAGACAGCTAATCCTACACACACACGAAGACACACACATACAATAGAGAAGAAAACTAACCCATTTTCTCATGAGGTAGAATAAAGAAATGAGAGGTACTTTTGGGGTAATGAGCTTATTTTTGCATCATTATTTGAATAAATTATGTTCCAGGTAATGGGTGATCCAATCACATAATGGAGTTCTGTATTTTTACCTGTGAAGATATGGAGCCAAACTTGTGGTATGTCACAAATGTAATGAGATTGAGCCCAACAGCCTTTTTATTGGCTCAAAAAGCTCGTATATTCCCATCAGAAGAATATCTTATATTTGGAATAGTAGATAAGTACAAATAAAGCTTAGATTATGAGGATTGATCTGTGTAAAAGTTCCAAGACAAAGACAGAAAAATTCCAAAATACGAATGTGATGACTAGGGCTCTTTGAAAGAGACCATTCATTGTCTATTCCACACTGAAATGTATAACAGCCACTCAGTGCTAAACTAAATTCCCATAGAACGTTAAAGAAGAAATGCAGTATACCCCAAACATCTCAGCTGAAAGAGGAGGAAAAATATAGAACCATAGAACTGAAGAAGAACATACAAAATTTCATAGGTGGTCTGGAGAGGCCCTCCCTTACTAGGACCCATTCTAATCAGCGGGTATAAGATCCAGAGTTATCCCTGCAGTAATTGTCAAAAACCTTTCAAGGATTTATCCCAAGAAATACAGAAAGAAATAATTTAAAATCTACCAAATAAGTTCTTAGAGGTTCAGTAAGCCTGGTGCACAGAAGGGAAGAGATCGTCAAATCAAAACTATTGACTTCTAGCCATGGCAATTCCTAATGGAAGTTGCCATGAAGAAAATATTGGCTCATTATAAGGAAAAAATAGACTAAAAAATAAAACACTCTTCAATAGTGGGATGGGTTTTCTTATGAACTGGTGAGTTCCTCATCACTATAGGGATAAAGCAAAGATGAGATGAGTGTTAAATGTCAGTCCATCGATTTATTCAGTCATGCATTTATTTAACAAATATTTATTGGGCTCCTACTTATGTGTCAGGGGATGTTGATTGAGCTGGAAATATCAAAGACATATCAACTCAAAAATTTTATAAAAGTTCTGAGTTTAGGGCAAGAATTGTAAATGCAGGAATTAATCAATAATGGCTGAGGCAATTCTAAATGTATATCTTAAATACCTTAATATCTATACTTTTACAACCCAGAGGATTTTCATCCAATCTATGTATTGGGGTAAAATTACACAATGCTCCCAATCTCCTCACTTGTGGCTTTCTCTTCACCTTTATCTTATTGTTTAGTAGTTACATTTCTAGACAAATTGAGTCAGGAACATTGCTTTGATGTTCTTGTTTGCATGGAAAGTTGCCAGGCCTGATACGACCTGCCTCTCCATCAGGATTATAAAGGTGATGGATAGTCAATTTCAGGGATTCATGATCCATTTTACCACAGTGCTTCACCTAGCAGCTAAGTAATACAGCTGTGATAAAATCAGCTATAATCACTGCATCTTACTCAGCCCTGCTTTGGCCATAAATACTAGTTTCATAACAAAAAAGCAAGTGGAACAAGAGAGGAGATAGAAGAAAGATGAAGGCAAATGTGAAAGTTTATTTATAGTGACTAATGGGAGAATATGTTTATGGTTTTTTCCCTATTCATTTTTTCTATAGAGAGAATAGGAGCATATACCACACAATCAAGAAGTTTGCTTGCAGTTAATTTATCAAAATCAATTATAAACATTTAGTTAAATACTTACCTGCATTCAGAACTATTATTCACCTATACATTATGGGATAGACAGTTAAATCCCAGGCACGAAGACCTTATAATTTAATATACACATATGCATATGCACATGCACACATATCAGCCTTTTGCGGGGGGACAAGTACACAGGCAATAACATAAATATTAAATATAGGGAGAAGGGAACAGAACGATAAAGAAGTCTTAGAGCCAAAATGTATTATCTCACTCATTCAGTGTTGAGCCACACATTGTTATAGGTGGAAAAGGCAGTGATGGAAGCAAAGAAATAAATCAGGTATGGAGTAATTTTCAGATACCCCAGATGATATTTTACATGCCTTCCTGAAATGGTAACAGCTGAGTAAAAGACTTGAAATAAGTGAGAAAATCAGCCATCCAGATGTTTCAGAGGCAAAATAGCAAGTTCAGAAAAACTAAGGTAGGAGTATGCCTGGTGCCTGTGAAGATCTATGAGCAGGCTGGTATGGCCATTGCAGCTTGAACAATGGGAAGATGAGGCCATAGAGAAGGGCCCCTGGTGCCATTCATAAAGACTTCAGCTTTTCCTGTCAGTGAGATGGTTGATATGGTTTGGCTCTGTGTTCCCACCCAAATCTCATCTCGAATGGTATTCCCCACATGTCAAGGGAGGGACCTGGTGGGAGGAGATTAGATCACGGGGGCAGTTTTCTCCATGCTGTTCTCAGGATTGTGAGTGAGTTCTCACAAGATTTCAAGGTTTTATAATTAGCTCTTCCCCCTTTGCTTTCTATTCTCTCTCCTGCCACCATGTGAAGAAGGTCCTTGCTTCCCCTTTGCCTTCCACCATAATTGTAAGTTTCCTGAGGCCTCCCCAGCCATTAGGAACTGTGAGTCAATTAAACCTCTTTCCTTTATAAATTACCCAGTCTCAAATGCTTCTTTATAGCGGTGTGAAAACAGACTAATACAATGGCAAACCACTGGAGCCTTTGAGCAGAAAAATGGCAATATCTGACCTATATATTTGAATAATCACTCCAATTGATATAAACGTAATATAGAGTAAAAGGCAAGAGAGGAGTTAGCTTGGTTAAGAGACTATTGCAATATTCTGGAGCAGATGACCCAGACCAGGGTGGCAGGCAAGATGGTAGCAAGAAGTGATCAGATCATGGAGATCTTTCAAGATAGATCAAACAGGGTCTCATAGCAGAATGAATGTGGAGTAGGAGAGAGATAAGTCCATGAAGGTAGCAAGGTGTTTGACCTTAGCAACAAGGATATGTTTGCTGCCAACTTGGATGGGGAAGAATGAGAGACTAGAAAATTTGAAGAAGACCAGGAGCTCAATTTTAGAAATGTTAAGTTTGAGGTGCTTATTCAGAATCAAAGTAGAGATATCAAATAAGAAGTTGCATATAGGAGATTGGATTCCAGGGAAAGGGTCAAGACTGAAGATTCACATTTAGGAGTCATCAACACATTAAAGCCATGAAACTGGATGAGCTCACCAAGGTAGACAGAAAAGAGAAGTTTTCTTATGACTGAGCCCTGAGCCCTCTAACTCCTAGAGATTCTCTTCTGGAATTTATAATTTCTAGTTTTGTATCTCACCTCTGCAAGTCATTAGCCCATCTAGTTTTGAATTTGTTCTTTCCTTAGATGAGCTGTAAGCATATTAGTTAAAAAAAAAAGTTTGGGGTGACACAGGTATTTTAGATGCGGTAACATTAGTAATACTAGCAACATCAATAGAGGCAAGAATTAATTGTTAGTAAGTATTTACTAGGTGGCAGCCACTGTGTTAAGCATTCCATGTATATTTGCTTTCTTAAGAGTCTCAGTTCCATGGGTGTGGAATTATCCCCATAATTATTATGATCCCCATTCTGCAGCTGTGGAAACAGGTTTTGAAATTTTAAGACTCCTTCAGGATCACACGTTGAGCAAGGTTTTCCGATTCCAAAGCTGGACATTGTGGCCTATTGTAACTACACTGTGATGATGTGCCTTTTCATGAGAATCTAGCAATTGTCTTCTGTTTTTATTAAGAATAATTATTTCTGTACTTTGGTTCCCCTAACTGTATCCCTGTAGAACTATAAAAGAGCTTCACATTGAGATTGCATGATGTGGGTTGTTAAGTGGAGAGGGGGAAGAAATGTTAACTTGGCAAAACTGGATTTGAATCAACTTACTAGCTGTGTGATTGTGAAGATTCCCTGAGCTTCAAATTTTATGTCTGCAAAAGGGGAATAAAACACCTACCTAAATGATCTTTAACCACAAGATGATGTGAGGATTAAATAAGAGCATCTACATAAACTACCCTGTATAGTGTCTCAAACAGGCTGGATATACAAGAAATGTCACTATTGCTATTGTTATTATCCTCACCATCATTATTTGAGCAACATGCTATCTCTTGCCTCTTTAATATTCTCTCCAAAAACTGTGCTCCACTGGTTGCACTTTATCCTGCTGTCTAAAGTTGGGCTTTCCCTCTTCTTCTGCTCTCTAGGAATCTGCTCCTGTCCCCTTCACCTTAGGCAGTTTCCAGATTTCAGTCCTTATGCAACTCACACTTTTTTCCCATTATGCTCTATGTTATGACATCTTTCATCTTGCGAAGAATTCTAAGTGTGTTATAAATCCTGGTAACAAAACCATGAGGCAGATTGACTTGATTATGGAACACATTACAGGGAGAACCAAGGTCTTTATCATCATTTCCTCCAATATTGAATGTTTACTGAATTTATATTATGTATTGGCTGCTCAAAAAGCATAACGTACACAAGCAACATTATCATCGCCCCTTCTAGAAGCATCTGTTTTAAAAACATGAGTCTCCTAGTCTCTCATTGAACTAGAGTGTCCCTTCCTTCCCACTATACCTAAAATAGCTTCATAAAAAATCTGAATTGGATTAATAATTTTCAGGAAATTTATTTTACTTTATAACTATTTATTCAGTTCATGTTGAATTATTTTTATTAGACAAAATATATATAACATTCTTGAAACTGCTGCTGAGGCTGTGAAATTAGACTTCCCATGTTGTAATTGCCTTCCTTCTTTCAGCACACCCTAGATTGCTAGATTGCATTCCACTCTTCTATTCTTTGTTAAATTTGAAAGTTAACAATCAACTCCTTCAGGCTTGTCTCCATTCCATTGACTTCCACTATGACTTTTTAATACACTTTAGGCTATTTGTTTTGAAAAGTATCATTGCCCTCTGCCATCTTCCACTCCATTTCCCTCAGGCTTTCCTTTCATGTTCCAGTTTGTTTTATTTGGATTTTCTCTGTGAGTTTCTGCTTCTTTCCAGTGTAATTTTCCCACTTCTCTATGTAGTCTCCCATTCTCCTTCCCTGAAGTTCTTTCAGTACTCACTGTCAAAATCAGAGTGACATAATGTGCTTTAAGGATCTCGGCAAAGTGCTATAGGTAACCAAATGTTATTTTCTATTTTACTGTTTAATCTTAGAGAGAAGCAAGATGAGAGACAGGAAATAAGGGGTAAAGTTTAATAGGCACATCTTCGGGAGAAAAAAAAAAATAGCAGGCCGGGTGCGGTGGCTCACACCTGCAATCCCACAACTTTGGGCAGCCGAGATAGGCGGATCACGAGGTCAGGAGATCAAGACCATCCTGGCTAACACGGTGAAACCCCGTCTCTACTAAAAAATACAAAAAATTAGCCGGGCATGGTGGCGGGGGCCTGTAGTCCCAGCTACTCGGGAGGTTGAGGCAGGAGAATGGCGTGAACCCGGGAGGTGGAGCTTGCAGTCAGCCGAGATGGCGCCACTGCACTCCAGCCTGGGCGACAGAGACTCCGTCTCAAAAAAATAGCAGGATTGCTGCTGGATTCAGTAACTTGATAGGAGCAAATCGAAAAATCTCCAAATGAGTTGTTATGAAAAGTGAATCAAATTTTCCAGTTGACTGATATGTTTCAGAAAGATTACAAACATTTTGTAAATGAACTAAAAGGTAGCTGCTGAACACCATTGTTGTCTACTGAAGATAACTGATATAAAAAAAGGAATCCAAAACATTTGCTAAAATAATGAGTTATAAACCCTCACTATTGATGTAAGAGGAACTTGGTACTAATTGTAAGTCTATAATTTAAACCCAGTATATTTCTATAGCTAAAAAAGACAGCTGATGGGCATAATTGGAAAGGTTATAACAAACCAAACTGAAATGTCTCTATACAGATCTTGCCAAAACACAAAATACATGATTGAGCCCATGAGCTTTGGTGCTCCTAACAGAAGGGTTATGTGTTGAAACATCACACTGTACTCCATAAACGTGTATAAGTATTATCTGTTAATTATAATTAAGTAGATAATAATAATTTTTAAAAAAGAAACAGCCAAGTAATAAAATATACCATTATTTTTTTCAGTTTGGAAAGGCAAATCCTGAGATGGATTGTAATATAAGCATATGAAATCAATAAGTGCATATTTTTCACAAAGTGTATACCATGGAGTACTACTTCCACTAGTGGCTAATAACTAATTTGTGAATTTAAGAATTGAGAACCATTTGGGTACTACAGAACTTCTTAGAGATTTCAATATTCTCATATGTATTTTAAATCTACAAGAAACGTGTGGTATGCTTAGTTTCTCAGCCTTATTTGATCACAAAGTTCTTTTTTTGTGTGTGAAACAGCTTACGAATTTTTCTCCTATGTTAGGGATACCACTTAATATAGGAAGAGTAAATGTCTAGACTCACTGACACTTCAAAGTGATAAAAACTGACAATAAAAATAAGTTTAAGTAAGCTTTTATTAAATATTTGTATGATCTATCCATGAAGAAATCTACACTGCTGAGGTACATTTTAACCTTTTTTGGAAACTTCAAGAAGATCAACTGACCTTTCAAATAATACTCTTGGCAATTCAGGAAAACTAGGAAAGTGAGTTTATTCTGGCTCAGTGTGTAAATATTTATTTTCTTTTTTTTAATTAAATAAAGTATCTGAAGCTGGACTTCTCAAAATGGAGATTTGGATAATTCAAGAGTAAACGTTGCAAAATTGTTTTCTCTGATAATACATAATTTAATAATGTTATTCTTGGTATAAGAGCAAGGTCATATGTATCCTGGAAAGTCCAAGATTTAAAATAATTTTAAAGATAAATACTAGATGTTAGAGAACAGGTAAAGTTTTGGTGAGCTGTATATCCAAATTCCTGGGGAAACAGTATATTTCTTTTATGTGATCAGTAATTTTTTGTGCTAAAATTTGAGCTGCATTGGCCTAGATTAGAAAAATAACACCTGATAGTGCTAAAAACAATTTTAATGTATTTGAATAAAATGTATAGAGAAAACTCATGCTTTGAGTAATGTCCCAAGACATATCTCTGCCTTACTGGTAAGCTCCATATGTCAAGATTGATGGGGCTATACAATCCATGGCCTTTAGTAGAAAACTGCTTTTGCAGTGAACTTGAACTGAACTGCATTGATTCGTGAGATCACGAGATCTGTTTTATATATTAGAAAAAAGAATGAGATGCTTTGCTTGATATTATCATGTCTCCGATGTGAACTTAATTCAGATTTAATGCAATTACTCTGTGTTGATTAAATCTCAAAGTGTTATTTAAAAACTGAATTATTGAGGTTTACCATTTATATAACAAGTTTGGCCTTCTACATTGCACCATAAACCTTAATCATTATGTTGGCAATAATCGCTTTGTGGTTATTTAACATAAATAATTACTCCAGCTACTAAAATGAGATGATGCAGCATTATAGTGTCCCCACAACTTGTGGGATAGCATTGCTATTTCTACTTGTGTTACTTAACTCTTAGCATGCAGTTATTTTCTCAGTGTCAATCTAGTGAATACTAAACAGAATAAGGTTCTGGTCTTTGTCATTGAGTCTTTCTGTGCCACATCTTAATGTTATGAGGCAGTGCGTTTAAAGACTGTCATCCACCTCTTAAGGCTCTTTCTTTTTCTCTCTCTTTTTTTTTTTTTTTTTTTTTTTTGAGATGGAGTCTCGCTCTGTCGCCCAGGCTGGAGTACAATGACGTGATCTCTGCTCACCGCAACCTCCACCTCCTAGGTTCAAGCTATTCTCCTGCCTCAGCCTCCCGAGTATCTGGGATTACAGGCACGTGCCACCACACCCGGCTAATTTTTATATTTTTAGTAGAGACGGGGTTTCACCATGTTGGCCAGGCTCGTGTCAACCTCCCAACCTCAGGTGATCCGCCTGCCTCAGCCTCCTAAAGTGCTGGAATTACAGGCGTGAGTCACCGCGCCCAGCCAAGGCTCTTTCTTTACCATGGGATTGGAATAATCAATATAAATGGACCCTTTAATAATAAAGAATCAAGAATTGGAAACTAGTTCTTTACTTTGTAATGTTGGTACAAATTATCTGTCTATTCCCCATGTTTTCACAACAAATTAAAATAAAAACATCCATCAGTACATTTTTTCTGTTTTCTTTTCTTTCTTTTTTCTTTTTTTCTTTTTCTTTTCTTTTGTTTTTTTGAGACAGAGTCTCGCTCTGTCGCCCAGGCTGGAGTTCAGTGGCGTGATCTTGGCTCACTGCAAGCTCCGCCTCCCGAGTTCACGCCATTCTCCTGCCTCAGCCTCCCGAGTAGCTGGGACTGCAGGTGCCCGCAACCACGCCCGGCTAATTTCTTGTAATTTTAGTAGAGACAGGGTTTCACCGTGTTAGCCAGGATGGTCTTGATCTCCTGACCTCATGATCCACCTACCTAGACCTCCCAAAGTGCTGGGATTGCAGGCGTGAGCCACTGCGCCCGGCCTCTGTTTTCTTTTTGTTTGTTTGCTTGTTTGTTCATTTTTTAATACACACTTAGATAACAAACATTCATGTAGGGATTTTTAAGGTATAGTGCTTGGTGTTACATGTGGCAAGGAGAGGATAAAAATGAGACTATGGCCCCTTGGCCTTATGAAATTTACCATCTAGCAAGGAAGGTCATAGGAACCAATATTCTTATCTTCTGAAATCATAGTATAAAACTAGAAGGTGACAGGCGCGGGCTGAAGCAGGCGAATCGCTTGAATGCAGAGGTGGTGAGCCGAGATCGGCCACTGCACTCCAGCCTGGGCAACAGAGCGAGACTCTGTCTCAGAAAAAACAAACAAACAAACAAACAAAACTAGAAGGAAACAATCCCTAGTTTTACTCATTTTATCCTAGGTCATAGTCGTAATTCTAACTCTTGATAATGGTTTAACTTAAGGTTAATATAAAGTTTTATATCTAGCCCTCGACTGTTTTGAATCTGAGATTATATTTTGCACATGAACTCAAGTCCCTTCACTTGGCTCCCCTTGTCACTTACAAAATAGAGACTCTCCTTTAAGGATGCAGTGAAGTCCATGATGCTTAGGATTTCTGTTGTTGCTGTTGTATACGGTGGTGAAAATAAGGCAGAATGTAAATTGTGCTTCTGCTACTCATTTATTTACATAGCTTTAAAAAGCCTGCTCAAATCCATTGTGCCCTATTTTCTTATCTGTAAAATGTTTATAGCAGTGCCTACTTTGTGCAGTTTTACTGAAAGATTTGAACTAATGCATGTAAGCCACCAAGCACAGTGGCTGGCACATTGTTCTTGCTCAGTAAACGACAGCTGCATTATCCATTATTGATGATGGATTTACTAAACAGGCAATCTATAGGTAAAAAATGATTTTTGGACACAAACAACATGTCAGGATATCCATTTGTTGTCCATTTGTCTTAGAATATTGCATGAGAAATTATCAAAGAATGGCACATGCCCTACCACCTCACCATCGTGTACCCACTGAAGGCATTTTCAATCAATCACAGTGAGCCCAGACATAGCCTTATAATCTTTCTCAAAACAGTGTTCCAGGAAGCTACTACTAATAAATTGCTATTGACATGAAAGATAAATCCTATTTGTCACCTAATAACTGAACAGAGAAGTGAGGCAGATAGAAAGCTGTGTTTAAAAATTAGGAACATCAGATTATAGCGGCATGCAAAATCAATTAAATTTTTAAAATTAAAAAGGAACAAGTAGAAGGAAGTTGGGTCAGAAGTACAGGAAACTGATGCAGGGATCCCCTCGGGAAATAGTGAAATAGTAAGTAGAACAGCCTGGAGCCCAGCACAATAGAACATGACTGTAAGTGGACAAAGGTTTGACAAGTTTACCAGTATGCAATGATTTCCCACTATGGATATTGTGCAAATGCCAGCCACAGCTAGCTCACTTAAAAGGACATGGATATACATAGCAATTTGCCTGTAATGATTTAGCTCTGTTTGGCAACCCATCTCAAAGCAAAATTCAAAAAACCCAAATTAAAAAAAGAGAAATTGTTGAATTTTTTTTTCAGAGATAGTGTTCAGATGGACCTGACATTGATTTAGAGTATGAGTCTGGACTGATTTATCATCTCTAATTCCCAGATTCTAGCATATCCAAGCCCTGGGTTGTGCCCCTGGCATGCCTCTCTCTCGGAGTTGGACAGAGTTAACATGAGATAATCCTCCCACATGGAGCCAGGGGAGATTTATAGCACCTTTTTAGGTTTGATAAAGTCACACTCTTTTCTCCAAAGAGAAGTCTTCTTGTCTTAACTATGAACTCATACACAATGAATTGTAAGCCCAAATATATAACCATTTGAAAGATGCTACAAGAGATCAAAGGAACAATGTTTTCCAAACAATGAAAAGCCCTTGCTGCCGTCGTGGTCTGTAAGCCTCTCAGACCCAATCAAATATCCATTTTCTTATAGCTGGTCAGAGATCAAGAGTTAAAGGTTCATGAACATGCCAAGTGGAATAGCAAAACACAATACTGCATAGGCTGCTCCAAAGCTCAGTTAGCTTTTCCTGTGGTATTTGGCAGAGTGGACTGTGCACTATCCCTTTTGATCTTGTAATAGGATCAACTGGTAACACAGCATCACCCTATACCTGCCTGAGGACTCCAAACTTTGGGGAACAAAATACACTGAGCTGTCTTGGCCTTATCTGGCATATCAGATTCAAAGTCTTTGTGGCATGAGTGGCTATAAAGAGTCAGACCTAGGTTTTGACCTCTGTAAAATAATAATCTTGACAGTTCCACCTAGGGCTGGGTTGAGTTGTTTGACTTTGGATGAAATGATACATTTACAATGCATCCATTCTTTGGGTTGTATGTAGAAAGGGGGTGATATGTATAATTCTGATTGAACTTAAAATATTATGACTTGCATAGATGCCTAGAATTTTAAAACAAAAAGATTTCATTTTCTCTTGATGTTGTTAATTTCCGGTTTAGGCCAAGATGGGAGATAATGAGTTCCACAAGTATTCTAGTTTTTATTGTAATTTGTCTTACAAATAAGTACTATATACTTTATAACTTAGACCACATCTGGAACTTTAAGTTCAATTCTGAACACCATAATAAAGTTGAGGTAGTGATAATGGGGCTGGTTCAAAACAATGTCAGAAATGTGCAGGATCTCACTTATGACAAATATTGAAGAGAATGCAAATATTTAGAGAAGACTGAGGAAGGACAGGTCTTCTAAAATTTTTGAAGTTATATTAAAAAGGAAAGAGATCAGCCTTCCTTTACACAGTGGAACTAGTGTCCCTGGTGACAGTTATTAGGAAACACATTTCATCTAAAAGGAGAGACTATTTGCATAAATCAAACTAAGAATAGAATGATGCATTGCTATCATATACAGGGTAGTGGAGTTATTTTCAACTGAAGTGGTGAAGTAAAGACTGTCTAATCACCTATCTGAGATATTCCAAAATGTCACTGTTTTCCAGTGACACATGTCTTAGGATGTATAATTGCAATAAGTACTCAATAAATGTAAGTAAATTGTCATTCTGTCTTTGACTCAAAAACAAGGTAATGTATGTGTAGGAGGCTTAAATTTAATACTGAATAGGTTGGAGTACATAAAAGTACTTTCTACTGGTGAATTGAAACTAGAGAATTAAAGTTGGGCTAAAGGTACAAGCAGAAATAAAGAGTTAAGAAAAAGCCTCTTGGTTGTTTTCCAAATTTGGTGGCTAGTGATGCAGCATTGCTTCCAGTCAGCAGATTTGCTGCTGGCTGCTATAGAAAAGTGATTGGGTGCGGAATGGTCCAAGGGGAAAAATAATCTCAAAGTTTATTTTTGTGTTCTGGAGGTGTGCATGTGTGTGTGTGTGTGTGTGTGTGTGTGTGTGTCTGGAAAGAGAGTGAAAGCAATTTCTTTTTATTTATATATTTATTTATTTTTGAGACAGAGTTTCACTCTGTCACCCAGGCTGGAGTGCAGTGGTGTGATCTTGGCTTACTGCAACCTCCACCTCCCAGGTTCAAGCAATTCTCCTGCCTCAGCCTCCAGAGTAGCTGGGATTACAGGCGCATACCATCACACCTGGCTACTTTTTGTATTTTTAGTAGAGACAGAGTTTTGCCATTTTGGCCAGACTGGTCTCAAACTCCTGACCTCAAGTGATCCACTTGCCTCGGCCTCCCAAAGTGCTGGGATTATAGGCATTGAGCCACCATGCTCAGCCAAAATCAATTTCTAATAGGCAAAGATAATAGCCAATGAAGATAATTCAAAACTCAGGAGGAGAATCAAGAGTGAAAATGGGGCAAAAAGATTAGAAAATGAATCTAAAAGAATGAGTAGTATATATATGGAAGGAAAAGTGATGAGGAAGTCAAATCTAGTCTGGCTCAAATGGCAGAAGGAAAAATTCAATCTATGAATGGATTCAGCTGCCTCTTCCAGCCAATGGACTTATTTGTGAACAGGCTGTGCTGGGACTCAGCTGCAGATGTTTACTCAGCAAGTTCTCCCTAGGTTTCCTTAACAATGTTGATCTAGGCAGAATTAGGATGTAAGATACTTGACTTTCCCCCTCCCCTTTCTCTTGTGGATAGATGATTCACAGCTCAGAAACAGGCTCCACCAGTAGCCCCTCATCCAGGATCTGTGGTTTCTAGTACTACATCTCCACTAGGAATCCCACAATCCTGATCCCCGCTTTCATCCAGGTGGTGCACTCTCCTATGTGACTGTTCTTGACCTGTGTTCCACAAATGAATATTACCAGAGAAATATCTCATAAGCATATAGTTTATATTTCATATGCTACTATAATAAATTATCCATATTCTGTGCTAATGAGATCAGGTTAGATGAGTCCTTAGGGTGTTTCTTTCCCAACTATGCAATATACAATTGGATAGGGATTTTTCATATAAATATACCCCATCTTTTGTTTTCCAAGCCAGAGTAACTGCTCTAACCATGGACATCATGCCCAGTCAGAACGAAGTCTGGGCTTGGCACTGTGGCTCACGTCTATAATCCCAGCACTTTGGGAGGCCAAGGTCGGAAGATCACTTGAGCCCAGGAGTTCAAGACTAGACTGGGCAACATAGTGAGACTCCATCACTACAAAAATTTAAAAATCAGCTGAGTGTCGTGGCATATACCTGTAGTTCCATCTACTCAGGAGGCTAAAGTGGGAGGATCCCTTGAGCCCAGGAGGTCGAGGCTGCAGAGAGCTGTAATTGCACCACTGCACTCTAGCCTTTGAGACCCTGTCTTGAAGAAAAAAAAAAAAAGAAAGAAAAACCCAAAAAGTTTGGTAGGGTTTGGAAGAGATAGGTAAGAATCTTTGTCACAATTGGATCTAATAAATTGCCATGTTTCTTACTAAATCTACTTTATCTACTTCGAATAATACAATCTACCTAAGCACTGGATTATGAATCTTTCTTTGCAGCAACAGAAAATTATGAAAAGGCCATTAAATATCTAACACTGAATTTTAAGATCTTGTGTGTCTTGTATATCTGCGAGCATGACTTAATTTTAAAATGAAAGAAAAATAAAAATTATTGCCAGCATTATTATGTTGGATAAGGTTTATAATAGCAATAATCCCCCATGAAAACAGTTGTTATCATAGTTAATGCCCATTTTGTCAGTGTGTTAACCTTCCCTGGCTGTGCCTCGGGCCATTAAACGGCCAACCATTTGTTAAGCACCCCAGAGCATGCAATTTTAAGAGGAATATTGCTGAGCTCATTTGCTAAGTAAAGCACTTGTGATGACAGTGATAAACTCTACACAGGTTCATGTACACATGTATATCCCTGTACATACTTTTCCCAAGTTTTTCCTTCGGGAAGATCCTGCCCTATAATTACTTCTGGGACAGTCAGAACAGTTCCACAGTGCCTCAGTAACTGTTCTTACTCATCCAGGCTTCCGCAAATTTGGGCTCTTAGAAACCTGTCCTAGCTGTCTCCTGCGATTCTTTTCCATGTCATAACTAACTGACATCAGTGTTTAAGGTGTTTGTTAATTTCAACTCTGACCCTCAAGTATAGATCATATCTTTAAAATGCTCAAAGCACATAATTAAAGAACAAAAAAAGGATGTAACTTGCAAGTAAGGACAAGACAGACAGGAAAATAAAAGGAGCATATCTTTTAACATCCAGGAAGAGACACATCCCTTAAATAGATACAACATTGCAATGAATCACTTATATTGTTAATTTATTCAGTGTTAGATGCAGTAAATGTTTTACATATGTAATCTCTTTCATCTCTACAAGGTTGATATGGTTAGTAGCCCCAACTGATGGATGAAGAAACAATTTAAACTCAGGCTCTCTGACTCCACATCTAAGCTCTTCACTACTCATAATACAGTATATTGACCTACATTTCAAGACAAAACAGAAAAGATTCTTTAAAAGTGATTAGCTCCTATCTCACTTGCTTTACATGTCAATTCTGTACCAGTCCAGACTGGACAATGGTTATTACTTTTATGATGGTCACTGATCATTGTTAAGCTCACCTATTTGTTATTGTCCAGGGAGGCTCTGTTGAATAAATATTGCTCAAGTGTGAGCTGCTTTTAAAAGTCTTAACAAAGCAGAGTTCCACAAGGTAAATACTGATCAAGGATATTATAATGAATTTTTAAAAACTTGCTTATTATTTAAATTATTAGAGATAATTTTATACTGTGTTACTATAAACCCTTGTCTGGTCTAGAATTATAAATATCTACTTTTAGGCAGGGTTGACCTTACTAGTTAAATGTAGCTGCAACTATGTTCAACTACTTTCCTTCAGGGAAGAGCTATGTTAATCTAATCTCATTTCAGGGAAAAAGTATACTGGTATATTACATAGGTTTTGACATAATTAGTCATTTCATTAGTGAAATAATTGGACCTTCTTAATAAATGGTGGAACTTTTTCCTTAAAGCTTAGTTTGAAGAATCAAATGGGCATAACAGTAGGAGGCACAAAAATTGGTTCAGAAGAGACAGGAAAAATTTTAATGAGAAAGAGATCTTTTCTCATTAAGCTTCTAATTTGATAAGTCTATATTCTATTTTTAATTTTTACTTCCGATCATCATTTTACCATAGTTAACAATGTCAACTGCTAATATTAGATGAATACCATACATAATACATGCAAGATGATACCAAAGGGCAGGCAAGAGAACCACGGATTGTTTGCCATGATTATGGTTAGTCTTTGATTTCTTGTGCAGACAGAGAGAAGCGTGAGAGCAAATTGTATAAGTTCAGAGATAATCTTAGATGCTCCATTAGCTATTGCCTTCAACTCTCTCAGCATCCCAATATTTTCAGACTAGGAGAGTCCAATTAGGATTTAAAAACCATGAAAGTACTGTTCTTGATTTTCCCCCAAACACCTAAAATAGCCACATGAACTAATTTGAAGTTATGAGCAGATCTCAAACTCACTCCTTCCTAAGCACTTGAAATCCATTAATACTCTGGCAGAAGAAATGAAAACTGATTCACTAGCATATGCTTATCAACTCTCTCTATAAATGGCTCTTTTTATCATCACTTTGTTGTCCTGGGTCTTTCTCACTTTGTGTTCTGGCTGGCAGAAAAAGTAGACTTTCCCTCTTCTGTATTCCCTGGTATTCCATAGAATCAATATGTTAAAAAAAAAATCATAAACAATTGTCCAGTGTAAGGATAAACTGGGGCATGGACTTCCTACAAACTTAGTAACATAAACATACAGAATAGCCTTCTAGACAAGTATGACACTATAAATTGTTCATTCACGCTAAACTCTAGTGAATGTTGTCAACATCAGTTGTAAGGTGTCTGCAAATAATGTGATGTAATATTAAGGTATAAAAGCTTGCAAATACTTTTTTCATAAATTTGAACAGATTCAAGGTAATTCCTGTAATAATGCCATTCTCACTCCTTTATGTTCTGATCCATTTTCTTGAGTGGGAAAATGATAAAAAGGCAAGTAGACAAAAAATGCGTAGAATTACTGGTATATTCTTCAAAATGTGTTCTGTTTGTTGATGCCGTGCCATCTGTACAGCCACACTGAAAAATGTTAACAACATTCGCTTTAAGGAGGACCCACAGAGATAGGAGTTGTGATAGAGTGTGAGGACCAAATGGAACCCTTAACACAATGGGCAGACATAGCTGGGGTTAGGACTTTGAGAGGGAGGAGGTGAGGAGTAAGATTCTCCTCTTTGTCCCTCTCTTGCTTCTCTGGAATAGCTTCTCTGGGATGCTAATGTTGGATGAAATTTTCTTGTTGGGGTAATGCAAATATGAGGTGTGTATTAGTCCGTTTTCATGCTGCTGATAAAGACACACCCAAGACTGTGTAGTTTATAAAGAAAAAGAGGTTTAATGGACTCACAGTTCCACGTGGCTGGGGAAGCCTCACAATCATGGCAGAAGGTGAAAGGCACATCTTAAATGGTGGCAGGCAAGAGAAAAATGAGAGCCAAGTGAAAGGGGAAACCCCTTATAAAACAATCAGATCTTGTGAGACTTATTCACTGCCATGAGAACAGTATGGGGGAAACTGCCCCCACGATTCAATTATCTGCCACTGGATTCTTCCACAACATGTGGGAATTATGGGAGCTGCAATTCAAGATGAGATTTGGGTGGGTACATAGCCAAACCATATCAATGTGCAAAGTCTGATTTGAAGCTAAGCCTTATGCTATGCCCTCAAAAGAGATGCTACCTAAGTTAATCACACTCTGAAAGGAAGAAGGCAAACCGCCCCAGGGAGAGATTATTAGCATTCCTGGGAAACTCAGTGGCCTATTGCCTGTGAGAAAGACAGTCTGACGCGAGTACAGATCTCTGATGTGGTAGGGGACCAGCCCAAATGGAGGCTGGCCTAGAGTCATCAAAAAATGTGTTTGTGTGACTGGAGTCTACATTTCTACAGGTCAAGAGTCAAAGAGGGGCTGTGACACTTCATCTCTGTGCCAAGAGTCAGCAGAGTGTTTTTTGATCTGAGCACATAGGCACAGTTCTTTTGTTGCCTCTTCCCTTTTGTACCTCTCCCAGCTGCCTGGAGCTTTTCCACACAGCCTCCACACCGCCTCCCATTCAAAGCCCTCAGTCTCCGTGTGGCTGCCTGTTGTGTCATGCATTCCATTTGGACCTCACACTCTATGAGAACTCTTGATAAAAGAACCCATAAATGACATGGGTTCTTAAAAGTACAATTTAATAAAAGCCTGGAACAACAACAGCCATTGCTCATCCCTTTTCTCCTTCTCCATCTGATCAAATTTTCAGTTATTTAGGTTAAAATGAGGTAACATTGGTGTGGAAAAATAGAGACCTTATGCTATACGAATGAGGTCCAACCTCAGTTTAGCCTCACATGGTAGTAGTGCTGTATGGAAATAATTTATGCTACATAAGCTTGTCGCAAGCTTTCTGCAAGCTGATTTATTGCTCAGCACATGCCTTGCATCCAATTCCCCAGATTTCTCTCCTCTTAGGAAAAAAGAAAAAAACAAATCTTCTGGAAGACAAAAGTCACAGATAAATTAGAAAAGGGCAATGGATCAAAGCCACAATTGTTCATTCATTCATTACACAAAGTTTAATTGAACAGCTACTATGTGTGCATATATGTATGTATTAATAAATTATTTGCTGAACATCAACCATGAACCAGGATAATTGCTGAAAATATAGTTAGGAGAAGACTCAGTTTGTTGTCTCTGATAAAGACAATAGGACAAATTCCTCAGCTCAAGAAGGGATGCGTTAGGTTCTGATTGAGAAAGCCTGGCTGTACAAAGCCATCAGAACAGGGACCATGCAGCTTTAACAGTTGAAGGCCGAAAACATCTATTGAACAGCTGCAGTACAGATTGCCACAGCACTTAGAAAAATGCATGGAACATTATAAGGACTCCATGAACATTGAAATGGATGAATGAGTTAATACATGGATAAAGAATAAATGAATGTTAGTGTTATAGGGAAAAAGGAATAAATAATTATGATACTCT
Source organism: Homo sapiens (assembly GCF_000001405.40). NCBI lineage: Eukaryota > Metazoa > Chordata > Mammalia > Primates > Hominidae > Homo > Homo sapiens. Next base: position 117,164,749 of record NC_000003.12, on the reverse strand, counting down.
ACTTGTTAAAGCTCTCCCTGAGCCTCAGTTATATAATTCATAAAATGGAGATCACATCACCAGTTTCACTGGATTATAAAGACGATTAAATGATTTAACATAGCATATAGCACAATGCTTGGCATTTAGAATTTACTTGATACTTACTAGCTGAATCTGACTCTGGAGTGATTTCAGAGATGCATTTGAGGTGTGGCTATGGCCTCAGGAGGCTAGCCAAGTATGGTAGTAGATGCATCTCAGAGGAGGTGAGAATTCAGCTATGATGTCCAGAATAATTCCTGATCTAGTATTTGGGGAAATTTGGCGCAATAAATGGTTGCCAGTTGCTTTTCGGTAAAAATTTCATGATAAGGGCTAATGGGAAAGTCATTGGGAAAATAGATTATGGCCAAACTGTACAAGTTTTTGAAGCTGTAAACTCTATCTTGTCAACACTAGGGAGCTTCTGAATATTTGGAATAGAGAAATGACAGGATGAATATAGTTTTGAAATTGGTTTAATGGGAATTTATCAATTTGTTTTAAGGGCAACAAGAATTCAGTCAAGAGGACAGTAGCTGTTATTAGAATAACACAAGTATAATATAGTTAATATTTGGGCTGAAGTAGTGGCAATGAAAACTGAGACGCAAAAGCCATTTCAAAGGAAGAATCAATAAAAGGACTGAGTAATTGATAACATTCTAGGAATAAAATAAAATTTAAATAAAAAAATTTAAATATCCATTATTTCAGGCTTTGAACTAGTTGCTTTTATAAATGCGTTCTATTTTTAAAGTAATAATCTTGCTAGTGATCACCTTGCTAGTGATAAACACATATATCACTAGCAAGATATATATATATGTATATATATATATATAGAGAGAGATGTATATATATATGTGTATATATGTGATTACATGTATACACATGCACATACATATATATATTTATATAGTTGAGCCTTGCACAATATTGGGGTTAGAGATGCTATGAAGTAAATTCAGAGATGCATTTGAGGTGTGGCTATGGCTTAAGAGGCTAGCCAGGTATGGTGCAGTTGAAATTCTGCATATAACTTTTTACTCTCCAAAAACTGTACTGATAATCTATTGTTGACAAGAAGCCTTACGAATAACATAAAAGTCAACATATACTTTGTATGTCATATGTATTATATACTGTATTCTTACCATAATGTAAGCTAGAGCAAACAAAATGTTCTGGAGAAATTCATTAGAAATATAAAATATATTTACTATTCATTACATGGAAATGGATCATCATTAAATGTCTTTGTCCTCATAATCTTCATATTGAGAAGGAGAAGAAAGAGTAGGGGTTGATCTTATTGTCTCAGAGGTGGCAGAGGCAGAAGAAAATCAATGTGTAGGTAGATCTGTACAGTTCAAACTCATATTGTTCTAGGGTTTTATATATATAATTATATATATAATTAGCAAAATTATATATACGCAAATTTCCATGTATATACAGTACACATATGTATGATACGTATGAGTATAAACCTATATATATGTGTGAGTGTGTGTGTGTATCTGGTTTATATGATATATTTATACGTTGATAGACTTATATTTTCATTTTTATTGGTGCCTCAAATCAAAATAAGGAAGCTGGGATCTGAACCCAGGTCTCTCTGATTCCAAAGATTGCTCTCTTTCCTTCAGCACAAAACTTTCTCAGCAAAAAAAAAAAAAAAAGAGGTCCTCAATATTAGATCTCAATGGTTGGGAAAGATATAGTACTCTGAACAATAAATAAAATAAATACATACATAAGAGAAGCCACCTGTGCGTGAATAAGCAGGAGTTTGTTTGGGGGTAGCAAAACCCTGGAGGCTTGTCTGCTCTGTATTACTTTCCTAGGGTCAATTACATGCTGAGAAACAGGGACTGGTCTATCTACCTGATAGGACATTTACTGTTTAGTCAGAAACATCTATACCCTTGTTAAAAGATTATTATTCCTTTTTCAATATGTATCTGATCTTTTTAGATCGTGAATTTAGAAAAAGGGAAATATGTATTTCTCTTTTCCAGATCTACTAAAAAAAAGCTTTCCACCATAGAGGCCATCAGATATATACTCGGTATTAGAAACGAATCAGGCACCTACACCTTAGCTGTTGTTAAGTCTGAGTTCCAAAACTGACCAGAGTTTGTAAACTAACCTCCCTACTAAAAAATCTTGTTTTTTTTTTGTTTTTTGTTTTTTTTTTTTGAGTTGGAGTGTCACCCTCATCACCTAGGCTGGAGTGCAGTGGTGCGATCTCGGCTCACTGCAACCTCCGCCTCCTGGGTTCAAGTGATTCTCCTGCCTCAGCCTTCCAAGTAGCTTGGATTACAGGTGCCCGCTGTGACACTCGGCTAATGTTTGTATTTTTTTGTAGCAATGGGGTTTCACCATGTTGGCCAGGCTGGTCTTGAACTCCTGACCTCAGGTGATGTGCCAGCCTTGGCCTCCCAATGTGTTGGGATTACAGGCGTGAGCCACCAAGCCCGGCCTAAAAAATCTATTTAAAAATCACCAATGGCTGATGAAAGCTTGACAGGTTAAAATAAAAAAAAGCTCTATTCATACATTTTGTTTTTAAAATCAGAAGCTTTATAAAGCATTACAGTCAAGGCTGCTTCAACATTTTAAAGAGCTTTCCAAAGGATCTCTTTATGAAGGTACATTAGCATGTGCAAATTAAGATTCTTCATGTACTATGCAGCAGTTAAGGGAAAAGGAAAAAAAATTAAGATGAACATTTAGAGACAGCCCAAAGGCTAATTAATTCAATATCTTTGAGCTTCAGTAGACAGCAATGCATGTGTCAATGTTCCCTTACTCTCTCTCCATGAAGGGTTCTTGTTTTTCATTTTGATACTACCAAATCTTGGGAAAGGCAACTATCACTCGAAACAGATCATTAGCACTGTCGGTTTTCCTCCATATATGAATAGTCAGTGTAATTCTAATTAATGTATTTGTGAGATATTTTTCCTCATCTTGGATTCTTTATCAAGTCAGTAACATGGTGTTTTAATGACTCAACAACCCAAACAAAGTAGAGTGAAAGTCTACCTTAATACACACAGATCATTATGCTTTACGTGTGGGGAACTGAGGAACTGTGGGAGAATTTAGGAAGCCTTGTCCTTTACCACACAATACAGATGATGCTGGGCATAGGCTCCTGGCCCCATACTCAATACGCTCTTCCACAAAAGATATGATTATTTGCACAGGTGACTAAAGGCCTTTTCATTCAGAACCTTTGTATTCACATGAGTCGCATCAATATCCTCCTCACCCCACTCCCCACAGAAAAAAAGCTGAAGCAAAATAAATGTAAAACAATTCAATACAAACTTTCTCCACTAATATGCTAATTAAGAGGAAGTCATTTGAGAGTGAAAATTGATACACTAAGATAATAGACATGTAGTCACAGACACTTCTCAGAAGGCAGAGTTTGATATATTGTAATTATTGTGTCTTTTTCTCTCCAGGAGGTCATCCCCTCCCTATTTTATAACCGTTTTCATTAATATAGGCATGGAAACAAATGCACTGCTCTTTTCTCCCAGATTGGTGTAGACTTAATAAAACGTGTTCCCAACACTGCTAATGCTCATTTCTTATATTTTCAGATTAAACATAAATGCACTGATATTATTTATGATATAAACCCAAGACAGGATGCTTTGCATTAAGAACACTTACTATATTTTTAAAACTGCATAAGAACAAAAACAAAAAACAAAGAATATATAGATTATCAACATGGAACTGCCCTTAACAAATGACCTGCTGAGTGAGTTTGCTTCTAATTCCCTTTCACAATTGAAGAGTTAGAGAATTTAGGGTGTGTCTTGGCCAAGGTTACACAAAGAATACAAGTAAAATAAAGAACAATGGCCAGGCACGGTGGCTCATGCCTGTAATCCCAGCACTTTGGGAGGCTGAAAGGGGCAGATCACCTGAGGTCAGGAGTTCAAGACCAGCCTGGCCAACATGATGAAACCCCATCTCTACTGAAAAATACAAAAAACAAACAACAACAACAAAAAGCCGGGTGTGGTGGTGGGCACCTGTAGTGCCAGCTACTTGGGAGGCTGAGGCGGAGAATCGCTTGAACCCGGGAGGTGGAGGTTGCAGTGAGCCGAGTTCATGCCACTGCACTCCAGCCTGGGCAATAGAGTGAGACTGTCTCAAAAAACAAAAAAACAAAACAACAACAACAACAAAAAACAAACAAAAAAAAACTACTGGATGAAAGAATTCTTTAAGAATCTTTGCTCTTTCTTCAAGACTCAGTTCGGCCATTTCTTGCAGAAACGGTTACTGACCTCCATAAGGTGAACAAGCTGCTCCTTTGTTCTCTCATACTATCTTTCTGTCTTTGCACTCAGCATGTGATCTTGACATTTTTTTTTCATGCATCTCTGTCTTATATAAACAAAGATTTTTGATGACAGGAACCAAATTATATTCATCTGTAAATTCATACAAGCTAGTTCAATGCCTGCAGCAGAATCAACTATTAGTAAAAGTTTTCGAATTCCATGAAATCATTTTAGTCAACTTTCATAGTGTATTTTACACGGTTTGATATTTCCAGAAATATTTACTCATAATTTTCAGGTTCATATTACATAAAGTGAAGCATAGCATTAATATCTTTCTATTAGAGGTTGAAACTTGGCAAGTTTATGTGCAAGACATTCATTTTGTGCAAAATGAGCACTTCTATTGCTATGGCATTATTTTCAATAGTTTTATAGGGAATAATACTGTAAGCATCAGAATTATAGTATCCCTAAAATCAGGAAGATTATACGTAATAACTTATCCATACCAGGACATCCTGAGGGTGCCAAGAATTATAAAAAATATATATTTACCTTCAGGGTTTTGTTTGTTTGTTTGAGATGGAGTCTCACTCTGTTGCCCAGGCTGGAGTGCAGTAGTGCGATCTCGGCTCACTGCCAGCTCCACCCCCTGGGTTCAAGCCATTCTCCTGCCTCAGCCTCCCGAGTAGATGGGATTACAGGTGCCCGCCACCAAACCCGGCTAATTTTTTGTATATTTAGTAGAGACGGGGTTTCGCCGTGTTAGCCAGGATGGTCTCGATCTCCTGACCTTGTGATCCACCCGCCTCGGCCTCCCAAAGTGCTGGGATTACAGGCGTGAGCCACTGCACCCAGCCGGTTTTTTTTTTTGTTTTTTTTTTTAAGAATATCTACCATATTATGCCAATAATAGCATGTTATCAGTATCAGTTGAGTAGGTAGATAAGGGCACATCTACTAATATGATGTCCACAAATGACTCAGAAAATGATCTCAGATCTTAGATTTCATCCTACATGGCCATCACTGGTCCCAAACTCCCCTCTTCAGGACAGCAGCTTTTTCTGCCTAAGAGGACTAGCATATTTCAAAGAATATGGGACTTCATCTCTACTCCTCTTTATGTCCTTTATCTTCTATGAAAATCCATTCCGATTCATCTGACAAAATCGCCCTGCATCCTGACATGAATTGCTTCCCCTCCAGTAGGTGCCACATGTACAGTTGGGACAGTCTGCTACCTTTTCAGCATCAATATATATAAATATGTCTAGACTTGTGTCAGGAAGGGCAGCTCACATCAATTATCTTTTTGTGTCTTTTAATATTTATATAAAATAAGCACTGGCAGATCACTTGAGGTCAGGAGTTCAAGACCAGCCTGGCTTACATGGTGAAACTGCATGTCTATTAAAAGTACAAAAAAAAGTAGCTGGGCATGGTGGCACATGTCTGTAATCCCAGCTACTCGGGAAGCTGAAGCAGGAAAATCACCTGACCCCGGTGACGAAGCTGCAGTGAGCTGAGATCACGCCATTGCACTCCAGACTGGGCAAAAGAGGGAAACTTGGATTAAAAAAAAAAAAAGAGTACATATTTTATATTGACCATAGCCGAAACCGCATGAATCACATCCCAGCTCAAGTGAAAATATCTGAGGATTCTGAGATAAGGTGAAAATAGATCTTTTACATTTCATTGGCCAAAGACAAGAACGTCCCTTAAGATAGAATCACAAGCAGCTTGAGAGCAGGAGCCATTTCATTATTTGTCTCTACCTTCCATAGCTTCTTGCATGATATTTTGGAAATAAGTACTTGTTCATTGATTAAATATTAGATTGGTTATTAAAGGCAGAAAGCAATAACATGAAGTTTTATCACTACAGTTCTCATTTATTAATTTATCTTAACTTCCAGAATTGCTTTTGGGACATATGCATGAGCATGCTCCCTTGTGTGGGAGCCTTAGATGGCCTTAGATCTAAGGTGGCCTTAGATGGCCTCTCAAGCTGCCAATCACACAGTCCACATGAAATCACACAGCTTCTTAATGTGGCAGCTTCAGGGGCTGAGAAGAAGCCAAGGAGAAGGCATGGATTTGCCAGTCAGATACCTTTAAAATCTTTGCTTTCTCTACAAATTGTGGTTTCTTTGATGAGGCATGCTCTAGAATTCTTCTCTTGGGTATTTCAGAAACAGTAGAATCTACAGGAAACATTGGACTGAGAATTGAAAGCTCGGGGTTTTATTTTTGCTTTTCCTTTAGCGTTATCGTTATAACTCAATGAAAGGCCTTGAATAAGACCTTGAACATTCCGCTTTTGTGATCTGTAGAATAAATGAATAAAAGAATAAAAGTCCTTAGTTCTGCATAAATAATAAAGCTAGAACCATGTGATAATATGGCTTATAATTATGTAGATCCAGAGCACTCTGCAGCTCAACCAATAAAACCACGTATGTAGAGAATCTGAAAGAATAGTGTTAGTCCTCTAGCACTGAAAACACAACACCCCATTTTTCAAAGATTTCAGATATTCTAATAAAAACTTGAAAATTACTCATGACTTAGTATATTTCTTAGACCCCCAGTTAATACCTAAAATAATTAGACAATGTCTGTCATTAATGCCTCTTCTTTTTATGACATATTATTAGGCATCAAAATAGAGTATTCTTTTACCTTGATTGTTTTCTTTGCAATCACAAAACAAATTTTTTCCTTCTACTTAGTGACTTCGCAAAGTGCCTGGCAGAACACATCTGTTAATAGCTTCAGGTATTGGATTATTAATTGACAGTTGAATAGAACCTTTATGGGAATTCACCATCCTTATACACAAGACAACTCTGGCCTCAGAAATACAGGCTGGTGGGAGATACTTTTAGATTTAGAAAGATGTGGAGCCCCTTAATTTATTACCCAATAAACAAATAGTCACTGGTCAACCATTAAAATCATGTCCTCTTCTTCCCGACCCTGGGACCCCAACAATTCTGACTCTCACTCTATTGGAAGAAAACTAAATGAATCAAGGAATGAAAATATTTTGGGAGCAATAATATCATTAAAAAGTATTTGCTGATTTGATTTAAACTGACATGTTACTTGAAGAAAACAAATACAGTATTTGTACTTTCACATGTGACTAACTGCTGTTTGCTGCACTTGGCTATGAGTCTTAGTCTAAATCTAGTGTAAATCACTTCATGATAGAAATATTTTCTTTCCTTTCTCCATCTATTTACACCTGGTTGTGAAATATTTCCTAGTTGCATTTCCATTCATCTTCACCCCTGCAGGGTGCCTGTGCTTTACTGCTACTTCAATGTTTGTTCCACTTAGCCAAGTCTTCAGGACAAAACATGCTATGTTCATGGCAGCTTGTAGGTGAGAAGGGACTATATATGAAAGGAAGTAAATTTTAGCAGCAGTTATTAAGGGGTGGCCAATGAAACCCAGTCTCTCAAGAAATAAGGAAAACAAGACCATTTTGCGATGAAACCTGCAACATCTAAGAGGCACTGCCCATCCCCAAGGTCTTACCCATCCCTCCCTTGTTCTGCCTCCTTGTTGCTTACTTTCAGGGCCCATTGTTCTCTTGGTTTGCTCAACACTCCCTTACTCTTTCATTTTTCCAGACCAGCTCTACTATTCCTGGGTTCTTCTTTATCCTTCATTTCCCAAGGACTTGCTTGATCTCCATATATATGCACGCCTCTGGGGCTGTCATGTGGGGAGGGTTGGAGACATTTTCCTTGCTACAGTAAGGTCAGAAACTGTTAGCAAAAGAATGTCCTAGGTATCAGTTACTTGCCTTTAAGGCCCGGCTCAAAAGAGTTTTCCTCAGGCTAAATGGCCTCTCTCCTCTGTACATCCATAGCTCTGATCAATCTGCCTGGTGTTAGATGTACTGTTGTAACAGAAATGTTAATTCTTCTGTGTTTAGAGTCCTGTCTTCTTCAAAGCAGGGCCTTCATCTTTGAATATATAATGCTTAGCACTGCCAAATATGCGGTAGATACTCAAGAAGTATTTCTCAAGTTGCACTGGCTTTCATATGTCACATCTTTAAATAGTGATTATCTAGGCTTACAGTTTTGTCTCTTCCATAACCACAAGCTAAGAGCATTAAAGGATGAGGGCAAGTGCCATTCCGCTGGAGTGACTGGGACCAGGTCAGACTTTATCTCTGTAGGTTTGGAATACATAACATTAGAGGGCCTGAAATACTTTCTAAAAACAGGTGGGCTGAGTCAGATAAAATATAAAGTACCACATACTAGAAAATTCCCTCTCCTCTTATCCAGATTGTAAGTGAGAAGTGGGAAAAACAAGACCTATCAACTACTTGCATCTGCAAGACAGAGAAAATGTGCACTGAAAGATGAATTATATTCCTTATTTCATTACCACGTCTTGCCAATTATGTGGTGGGAGAAAGAATGATGTTTCATAGAATTTTATAGATTTCTGAGCTAGAAGGCACCTCTGAAATCATCCAACACAATTTCCTTATTTTATAAATGAAGAAACTGAGGTTAGGAGAGGTTAAGTGGCATGCACAGGAGAGAAGTAAATGGTGAAGCAGGGCTAGAATCCAATTTTCCTAATTGCCAGTGCAGCCCTCCCTCCCGTCACCTCTGTGCAGTACAGAGAAGCTCATAGTTCAGCATTGCCCCTCTCTCCCTCCACATTGTTTTCCTTTGATCCCCTAGGTCTCCACTCACTGTTAAGGGACTTAGGGCCCCATGATTCTCTATTCTCTTTTCATCTTTCAAAACTCATTTTTAGGAAAAAATGACTGGCACTACATATATATATATATATATATATATATATATATATATATATATATATAGTCTGTTAAGCCCTCAATATTAGGGCATTTTAAAACAAGCCTTATAAAGATATTGAAACACAAAAATAAATGAAGTTCTTTAAAATATCAGAGCCCAGTTAACCTCAGTTGACATGATATCCTTTTAAAAATAAAAGCAATATCTGCACAAAGTTAGAAATTTTTAAAAACATACAAAGGTAAACTATAAAATGTAAGTTTCTCCTTACATCCCCAGAGGCTGTTGCCATTAATAGATTTTTGTCTACACTCTCAGCAAATATAAAAATGTTTATACACAAACCAGCATAGGTAGCTAGATGGATGAATGAATGGATAGATAGGTAAATAAATAGATTGGTGGATGGATAGATAGATAGTAGACAGATAGATTTTAAAAAATTAACAGAAGAGTTTAGCCTATACAAATGCTTTTCATTTAATAATCTAGACATTTTTCAAAATTATGATTTATATGTCTTCTTCATTTTTCCAATAACTGCATAGTATTCAAGTCTGTGGATATACAATAATTTATTTAAGTAGTCCCTGAGTGTTTTTCAGGTTTTGCTATTACAGTTTAGCATAATCATGCTTGTATGTACATGTCTGTGTACATGTACACACACCCACGAATGCACACACACACTTTTTCAAGCATAACTATAATGGTAGAATTGTTGGGTTAAAAGGCATGAACGCTGAAAATCTGATAAATAGTTTGACATAGGGACTTTGAATGTTTAAAGAAGGAGGAACCTGGCTGGGCACGGTGGCTAACGCCTGTAATCCCAGCACTTTGGGAGTCTGAGGCGGGCAGATCACCTGAGGTCAGGAGTTCGAGACTAGCCTGGCCAACATGGTGAAACCCCATCTCTACTAAAAATACAAAAACTAGCTGGACGTGGTAGTGGGCGCCTGTAATCCCAGCTACTTGGAAGGCTGAGGCAGGAGAATCACTTGAACTCAGTAGGCAGAGGTTGCAATGAGCTGAGATCGCGCCACTGCACCCCAGGCTGGGTGACAGAATGAGACTCCATCTCAAAAAAAATTAAATAAAAAAGGAGGAACCTTAAGTAAGATAAGAAGTATTTTCCTGTATCCTTTTCAGTCATCTTTCTGAGAGCTCAAAAAAGGTGTCGAAGAATGAGCAGCAGGAGAGAATTGCCAGCAGAGCAGCCTCCAGTATCCGGAGAAGGATATAGGTTCAGAGTCTGCAGACCTGAGCTTCAGTAATGGCTCTGCTATGATTTTTTTTTTTTTTTTTTTGAGAAGGAGTCTCGCTGTGTAGCCCAGGCTGGAGTGCAGTGGCGCTATCTCAGCTCACTGCAAGCTCTGCCTCCTGGGTTCATGCCATTCTCCTGCCTCAGCCTCCAGAGTAGCTGGGACTACAGGAGCCCACCGCCACGTCTGGCTAATTTTTCTATTTTTAGTAGAGATGGGGTTTCACCGTGTTAGCCAGGATGGTCTCTATCTCCTGACCTCGTGATCTGCCCACCTCGGCCTCCCAAAGCACAGAGATTACAGGCGTGAGCCACTGCGCCCAGCCTCTGCTATGATCTTTAGATGGGAGGTTAACCTGATTCATTTCAGCAAAGAGAGGTAGACAACTTACATAGTGTCCAGTGCATGAGTTTTCTCAACCTAAGTATCCTCAGGTGGAATGATATAGCTACATCGTAGGTTGGTGGCAAATATTAAATAGGATTATAGAAAATCTAGTACAAAATTGATACTTTGATCTTTATGTGGAACATTTAGAAAAAAAAACCCAGCTACTTATACACTATGAAACAAAGAATGGTCTTCCCTATATGACAGTATCATTTTCTTCATCCAAGCAGCCCTTCACTACCTGGCATATGGACCACCCAGCCTGTGCACACTGAAGCTGTCTGACCAAATGAGCAAAGGGATTCTAGCAGGAAAGCAGGTAGCATTTATTAAAAGTTCCCAGGTGCAGGCTATGGAGTTGTCATCCACTTGCTTTTTAAAAGGAGGTCGGTCGGCTCTCTTCATCGTCTTCTCTTACTAGCTTATTAGTTACTAGTACAGCACCAGCAAGCTAACAGCAGCAGCCAAAATCTGATCAATAATGTATCTGTCTGTATCTGAATCAAAGGCACCATGGTAAGGAAAGGAAAGCATAGAGTACCTTAAATCACAATGCCCAACAGCAGGAGCCAGACAGCTGAGAGGGAACTGAGGTAGAACACAGAGAAGAGAAAATCTGGGCAGGGGGTAGGAAGCTGGAGAGAGAGACCCAGTTGTTAAAAACAATACAGTTTTTATTTTGAAAGGTTGAAGCTTCAAAGACACAGAAGGCTCAGAGCTTTGGGGAATCAGAATGTGTGTGTGTGTGTGTGTGTGTGTGTGTGTGTGTAACCTACTTCACCTATTTCAGAAGTAGAGGGGTCAAATGAAGCAAATGGGACATAATTGAAGTGCACGTCTTCCTGGGCCGTTTTTTGGATAATTCAAACAATCCCTGCATCATCTGGAATTTTCCAATGTTCCTTTAGCCTTTTTCTGGATGGTATGTCAGGCCTGTAACAGAGAGCTCACATACTGAGTTCCATCTTTGGAACCTATAAACCATGCAGAATGTCTCCCAAGCACTGCATTTAAGCCACACTTCTACGAGTTTTTTGTCTCCCTCCCCTGAAAAAAAAAAGTTGGAAGCTGGAAATGTGAGAACTGGGAGGAATCCTACAGGTCAATTAGCCAAACTTCCAATTTAGTAGATGAGGAAACTAAGGCCCCAGAAGTAGCTACCTTAACTAACATCAAGTAATTAGGAGCAGATATTAGACCTCTTTAATTACCGCTTCAGCATCTTTCTGTTGCTCTACCACTAGGCTATGTATTCAGCATTTCTATTCATGCCTATGGGAGAAAATTAAAAAGCCAACCAATGTTTCATTATTGCTCAGAAAAAGATGCAGCCACAGTTTTTTATAAGAGGGTTGTCATACAGTAAAGAGAATGGTGAACTGAAATTTCTAAGATGATGTGATTTCTTTTATTCCACATGCTTTGGAGTCTATCACTGTTTCAAAAAATAGACTTTACTTGGTAAAAGAGGTAGGTATATGTGCTGAAAAGGGGAAGGGAGGCAGGATAAAAAGAAAAAGAGATACTTTATTCTAAAGTAAATTAGGTGGCATGTGCCTGTAATCTTAGCTACCTGAGAGACTGATGCAAGAGTATTGCTTGAGCCCAGAAGTTAGAGTCCAGCCTTGGCAACATCACAAGACCCCAGCTCAAAAAAAATAAACAAGATAAAAAATGAAGTTGTCAATTATTTTCATATCACCAGTTTTAATCTTTTGTATAAATCTAAAACAATTATGTGGTCCTCTTCCATGACTAGGCTGTAATATTTTCATATATAAACCAAATGTCTCTATTTATGTGGTTTGCTTATTTATTGTCTGTCTCCTGTTAGATTGTAAGACCAAGAGAGCACAGAGCAAGTTCACTGCTCATGCGTGTATTAGTTAAGGTAGCACTGGCAGCTGTAACATAGAAGTTTATTTCTAGCTCACCTCAAGTCAAACACCAGTGTTCTTATTGCTCTCCTCTAATTGGTGATTCTGCCTTTTTCTATGGAGTGGTTCCACCATCTTCAATGTGGCTTCCAAGGTCACCATGGTGGGGGAAAGATCCTAAAGAATCACAAACAGCAGAAGCAGGGGTAACACTTTCTCCCATATTCCACTGGCTAGTACTCAGTCATATAGCCACACCCTGCCACAAAGAAGGTTAGGAAACGTAGTCTAGTTGTGTTTCCAAGAAGAGGACATGGGCCCAGAGATCAGCTAGCAGCCTTTGCCACACTACTGATGGAGTTCAGGGCATGCCACCCCAAAGTGTGGCACCTTAGCATATTAAATATTTTAAACCAAAGGAATTTGAGAAAAAGCAGATGCAGGAAGATCTCTCTGACCTTCCCCTACCCTTCTTCCCTGAAGTAAGTCATAAAACCTGAGAAGGATTTTCTGATTGATATGGTTTGAATGTTCATCACCTCCAAATCTCATGTTGAAATGTGATTCTCCATGTTGGAGGTACAGCCTGGTGGGAGGGGGTTGAATCCTGAGGGCAAATCCCTCATGAATGGTTTAACACCTTCCCCCTGGTGATGAGTGAGTTCTTCCTCACTTATTTCACATAAGATCTGGCTAAAAGGCTGGGACCTCTCCCCTCCCCTTGATTGTAAGCTTCCTGAGGCCCTCACCAGAAGCAAATGCCAGCACCACACTTCCTGTACAGCCTGCAAAACCATGAGCCAATTAAACTTCTTTCCTTTATAAACTACCCAGCCTCAGGTATTTCTCTACAGTAATGCAAACAATGGCCTAATACACCGACCTTCCCCTGAAGCAGGTCATAAGACAGACCCTTCTTATGAGAGAAGCCTTATGAGCCTGATTACTCTTCATCTCATTTGGTTCTTCTTTCTCCTCAGCAATGATCCTTAACTGAAAATAACTTCTTGTGAGAGGTTCCTTCCCCACACCAAGAGGAAAGGAACATTCCTATCTCTGAAAACAAGTCACAGAGAAGAATCTGAACAAACAGTCCTTGCTAAGTTTCTCCCAGTTTATTACCATTTAATCATACAATTTCCCCCATCATATTTCTCCATGACTGTTTACTCTTCACCGAACCTGGCATAAAAATACACAGGAAGCTGTGGCAGGAGGATCACTTGAGCCCAGGAGTTGGAGATTGCAATGAGTTATGATTGCACCATTGCATTCCAGCCGGGGTGACAGAGCAAGACCTTGTCTCTTAAAAAAAAATGTTTTAAATAAAAATACACAGGTTTAACCATTTCTTTGGGTCTTTATTTTCTTATGAAGGCTCTCGTGTCATGTAAAACTTATATTAAACCAATTTGTATGGTTTTCTCTTGTATCTTTTACTATAGGAGTCTCAGCCATGTACCTAAGATGGGTAGAGGAAAAGATATTTTTTCTCATTTACACTACTATGTAACCAGAGCCTAGGGTTTGGCACATAGTAAATGCTGGGAAAAAAAAAGTTGTTGAAGGAATTTTTGAATGAATGCATATAGTATACTTTTTAACTCTCTCATAATCCTATAAGTTAAGTAATTAAGGGTAAAATACTTATCTAAATAGAAACAAGAATTCATTATGATTCCATTTTTAGACAGCCTGATTACTCTTCTTCTCATTTGGTTCTTCTTTCTCCTCAGCAATAATCCTTAACTGAAAATAACTTGATTTTCTTTATTAGCCAGTTTTCATGAAAGAAAGCTTATTAGAGCTGCCTGATGCCCCTTTTCTTTTCCTCCAAGTTGTCATAGAGTTGACTTTACAGAAATAATGTGATGAAAAATCTTACCACCACCATGATATAAGCAGATCATTTTTTCAGTTATACTCACAAAATGCAGATTATCTGCATTTCACTTGTGCCATTTAAACTATGACCATTATTTTGCATTTAAAAATACAGTTCAGGAGACATCCTGAGATTGTACAAGTCAGGTAAGAATCTATTCTAGTATTTGAATATCCAGAGCAGGCCATTGGGCAAACTTCTGGGATTCTTAACCAACCTCATTTTCAAGAGTTTCTTCAGTTTCTTTCACCTATGCTCTCTGACTACATGTCAAACTCAGTCCTTTGCTTTTTGTCTTCCATGGTATCAAGAGAACAGCAGGTAAATGTCCCTAGAATAACAACTGTGTAGTACAACAGCTGCCTGCGGCCTGGCTTCCTGCCTTTATTAACACCTTAAAGGCTTAAGGGTTGTAGCTACACAGTCTTTGAAACACAGTTCTTTTCAAGCTTTCTATCCTCTTTGCACCTTGCCGTTTCCAAGTCCCCTCTGTGTCTGCCTAACATCTGCAACATAGACTCAGGGCAGCTGGTAGATTACACATTTTTTTTTTTAAACTATGGACAATGAGAATAAAATAAGTACAAACTATTCATTTTTTCTGGTTACAGATTCATAGGGAAGTAGAAAGTAGAAATTTGGGCAAGTAAATGAATTTCTCTGAGCTTCAGCTTTCTCATTTGTGCAATGCGGAGAATTACCACTGAATTAGTGTTAGACAATGAATGTAAAGTCCCTGCTCTACAAGTGCTTGTTTTACTGCCCCCTTCATTCCACTGCACACTATGCTTCTATGGCCTCTAACCTCACTACCAGCTGATGGAGTTTTCACACTTCTACAATCATCAGTATGTAAGTTCTTACACCTAAAGCACCTCATTCTGAAATTAGTTCATTTTTATGCAGGCTTTTTTGGACCACCTTCTCTGTTCAAGTTTTCTTCTTAAACTACCAGGGCTGTACTTTCCAATACTGTAATCTCCAGCCACACGTTGCTGATGAGCACTTGAAATGTAGCTATTTTGAATAAAGATGTGCGCTAAGTATAAAACATACATCAGATTTTTTTTTAAGATTTCATATACAAAAATGTAAAATACCTCACTGAATTTTTTTGTATTGATTATATGTTGAAATATATAATCCTTTAGATGCACTGGATTACATATTATTTAAAATAACTTCACCTGTTTATTCTTTTTAACATGAATACTAAGAGATTTTAAATTACACATGTGCTTACATCTCTGGCCTGCATCGTATTTCTATTGAACAGCCCTGTAATAGAGATATCTCTGACTCCAAATTATATGTTTCAAACTTCTCCTGCAACAGAATCTTCTCTCTCAACTCATGCTCCTTCTTTCAACTTGGCCAACTGTCAGGCAGCTCTGTTTCTTTTTCTGGCCCTCATTAGTAGCAAGATCTCTTTTAAAGCAAAAGGAAATGCTATTACAATATTCCTGAATAACTTAGATTTGTGTTTTGTGTGAAAAAAAAAAAAAAGTGTGGTTAAGCAACCTGATTGTAACCACTTAGCTGGGAGAAAGAGCCGGACTTAAGAGTTCCTTCTGACCTTTAAAAATATTGTAAATAGAAATTTGGCACAAAAGGAAAAAAAATTGGTTTTGAATTTAGATATACATAGGTTCAAATCCTTATTCTGCACTAAGTTGAATCTGTAACCCTAGGCAAGTCTCTTGAGCCCTCTGAGTCTGTTTTCTCAGTAATAAATATGTGTTTGTGAAAATTAGACTTAAATTATGTAAAGCGCCTTACATAAAATGAGTCTTTAATGAGTGCTCCAAATATTATTTCACATGGCAAATCATACTGCTAATTAATATACTGGGACTTCTAGGACTAGGACCAGGGGGTGGAGGCAGATGCTGAGGACCTCTAAATCCCATCAACCCTTTATAAAACATCCTCTACACCTATTGTGCTTCAACTCCATCATTCCTATATCTGTTAGCCTTTTATTGTTACTGTTAGTTTCAACAGATGCTTATTAGAAATATCCATAAAAAATTGACCCTGATACTAAGTTATAAAAAGCATTAATGATATAATTCTGAAGGTTAAAAGATCCTTTTTAGCACATATTTTATTTCAAAGATTATACTTAATCACAGAAGGCAACTGGTCCCATTGTCTTAGCAACAACAACAACAAAAGACAAAAACTTCTAACCAACATAGAGATTCTTCATAGTCTTCATATGCAGAGATAGGAAGAGGTTGAGCTTCACCTAACTTAATACGCCTGTAGATCGAGAAACACAGAGTAATGTCTACAAAGTCAGGGAAAAGAAATTCTCCATACATTTTCTGGAAAGATGAGAAAGGTTTTATTCTTTAAAGTGCCTTAGCAGGCTATAGAATCTTTGGTTTTTAATAGAATATTCTACTTTTTAAGATTCCCTTATGTACTATTCCAGAATAGCTGACCTTGGGATGAGGAAAAAAGACATGATAGAAAATAAGGCAGGACTTTAAAAAAAATTTTTTTTTGAGATGAAGTCTCGCTCTGTCACCCAGGCTGGAGTGCAGTAGCACGATGTCGGCTCACTGCAACCTCTGCCTCCCAGGTTCAAGCCATTCTGCTGCCTCAGCCTCCTAAGTAGCTGGGACTACAGGCGCTCGCCACCATGCCTGGCTAATTTTTTGTATTTTTAGTAGAGACAGGGTTTCACCGGGTTAGCCAGGATGGTCTCGATCTCCTGACTTCGTGATCCGCCTGCTTCGACCTCCCAAAGTGCTGGGATTACAGGTATGAGCCATCGCGCCCGGCCGGCAGGACTCTTAAATGCTCAGATGACTCAAAGAAACCTTAGACCCGCCTCTGAGATTCTGGATTCATGGGCGCTAATTGGGTTTTTGGGCCATGGTCTCCATGGAAGACTATAGTGGAGTGATGACTTTTGAGCACAAGAAGTCTAGGCTCCCTTTAGTCCTTTCTCTTTACTATCTAGGTTTTAACATTTAAATGCTTCTCTGCCATAATTAACTGAGGCAAAGTATGTCATTGTGAAAAATAATGAGAGTAGAAGGTTAAAAATGTCAAATTTCTTAACCCAGATTTAAATATGATCCTGCTGGGATAAAGTAGACTTGTTACCCAGAGAAGCCAAATTCGACTGGGTCTCAACCATGAGAGTCCCTAAATCTGGAACTGGTTTGAATTTTTTTTAACTACTGCAAAAGCCCTTTCTTGGGCCATTAACATTGTCTCAGTCAAGTAGTAACTTGGGGACCATCTATAAGTAGGTTGTAAGACAAACAGTGCCTGCCTGAATATTTAATGAACTCTGAGAACAGCAGCTGTATAGAACTTTCTTTACGTTTGAAATTGTTTCCTTCACTTTACAGGGCAAGTTCCTAGAATTCCTCAAGGCCCAGGTGAAATTTGACCTATTCATGAAGCTTGTCACTTGCTCTCCTGTCACACATTTAGTTGTCAGCTCCTCTCACCAGCTACCACAGCACTTTGCACACATATCTTACAGGAGTTGTAATTGCATATGTGTTTGTCTCTCCAGGTACACCATGGGGGCTTCTAGATTAGGGTTTTCTCATTTGTCCTTGCATTCTGTGTACTACTCAAAATGCCTGGGGTAGAAAAGATATGTACCCAGTTTTCTAATGGACGTGCTTTTTCTGAAAGCCAAGGCTGGTAGGACTGCATTTGAAGGCAGTTTCCCTTTCAAACAGAGTTTACCTTAGCACCGAGTGGGCTTCCTCTTCATTCTTCCTTCTACCTCAAGCCTATAAGCCCTTGCTTGTTGCAGAAAGAAAGAAAGAAAGAGAGAAAGAGAGAGAGAAAGAAAAGGAAGGAAAGAAAAGAAAAAAGGAAAGAAAACTGGCAATAATGTCTCAAAGTTAGAACAGTACTGATTTTCATCTCGCTCTGAGGGTGGAGAGGGGGGTGCATCGTTAAAATACAGGGGCTAAAGGGGCTCTTTTAAAAGTTGGTTGGATCAATTAACTGATAAACTGACCAAATTCCTCCCAGAGAATGGTCTTTTTAAATACATTCACTGAAAAATGCAGACAACCTTAAGAAATTTCCAGTTATCTTTAGTTGGCTTTGCAGAAAGGTACTTGGTAAGTAAGGAGCACATTGTCCAATTCATAAGTTATTTTCTTTCAGTCCTCCTTTGGTCAGTGTTAACTAAGGCAGCCACTTTTATTTCATTTTAACTAAACTGAAGAAGATGAACCATCTTTCAGTGGTTCCTATTAGGTTCATTTGAGAAAACAGATACCCTTTTCAGTTGCAGAATGCAGGGTAAAACATTTTAAATGATTCATCAATTCAGCTGCTTCCACATATGGTTATTATTATTATTTTGCACTATTGCTGCTTTTGTTAGCTTTTAAATGTTTAATTCCAATGTTTCTTTGAGTATTTATTTTTCATAAATCTTTATCATTTTATCATCTTAAATGCCTGCAGTACAAGGCTCGGCTCCTGCCATCCACGTGATGTATTTTTAGAGATAGCGGGAAGGACTCTGTAATCCTCCTTTTATTTTCCCAAGTAGCTCATTGATGCCTGAAATTGTAAAACTAGAGATTTATTCTTTTGGCTTAAGACTTGGGCCCTTATTAAAAGAGAGTATTTCAAAATAAATATCACATTTTCCTTCCCTAAACCTGTCTGATTGCTACGTGCCACGCTTACAGCATGTTTCATATTGATTTTCTATTAAACTTGTTTGTTTGTCTTATCTCCCTATTTGATAGTTAGCTTCTTGAAGGAAAGGGGATCCCTCTTCATCTCTCTACATCCCACTTTCGTTAGCTACATCTTTTCAGATGGGTTAAAGTTTGATTACAAGAGACGACATATATAACTCTACTGTAAGGTTAGATTAAGTTTTCAATTATTAGGCCAAAAATCACAGAGCCTGGCAAGTCAGAACCTGTTGCAGCATATCTGCACACTAACAGATGACACAAAGCTGCTGGTGATACTGGCTTCACAAGGTTTTGATGGATCTGAGCTCCTCGATGTCTTGCTGCATCAAATTTCTTTTTTATTCCTTTTTGAGGCTTCCTTGATAGTCACGTGGAACTGACACAAGCAATCTTTTTTACTGTGCTTCTGTTGCTCAGAGTGCTTTCAAAATTGCACACACTCATCTCTTGTGCCAGACGGTGGGAGGGAAGTTATATTCTCACGTGGGAGGAAACTTGAATCAATGCCTAGGCAAGCTGAGGTGCATATACGTCTCTCTCTCCAGCTGTACAACCTTTAAAAGAGCTAATCTCCCTACATTAGCACAATTTCTTGCAGATTATTGTCATTCCATAAATATTTGTTCACACATATGCACACACACACACACACACACACACCCATGCATGAAAAAGAAAGAAAACAGATGAATCTCTGTGAGTTTGTATAATATGCCTATCATCACACAGCGGGTAAGTAAAGGAACCAGGTTCTTCAAACCCAGTGTGGTCTAGATGCCATGCTTGGGAATTATTGAACACACTATACTTCTTCCCAATCATGTGTTTAGTCATGGAAATAATCTAGTGCTTTTTGCATTAAAGAGAGTTGTCCACATACTTTTTACTTTTTATTTATACTTAGCCCAGTTTCCTTCCTACTCTTTGGTTGATTTTTATTTTCTATTCCTGGCCTTTTGTTTTCTTTTATTCCTTCCTCCTCCTGCTCACTCATCTCTTCCTACTTCCTCGTTCTTTATCTCTTTTCCACTCCCTCTTTTCCAATTCCATTAATGAAAGTAGATAATAACTTGTGAATTCAAGTGGAACTTCATTTCTGAAACTGCACACTCATGCTGGAACCCATTAAGCTCGATAGCGAGAAATGAGAGAAATCATAATTATCAGGCCACTAAAATACATGAAACATAAAATTTGTCAGGGAAAGTAATTGAAATTATTGGAGCAGTTGGGGCCTGGTGCTGAGCAGACCCCCAGTGATAATGGAAAGGTTACGGGCGATGTTTAGCAACGCTGATGAGGTCCAAGGTGACTCCGCGCCACCGCAGTCAGCGAATTTATGCTCGGCTTGTATTAATTTGCTAATCCGTCTTTGGAAATTGGGAGAGCAGCGGTGTTCAGGGAACCCCTTCAACTGTCCATCCAAACAGGTACGATGACTTGTTTTTTTCACATCTTTGGGGGTTTTTTCTTCTTTTCTCATTCTTGTGTCTTTTCTTTCCCTGAGTTTCCCTGTCTCCTCATTTTCTTTTTCCCATGCTTCTTTTTTATTCAGGTTTTCCCTCTATCCTTTCAAATTTATCCTGAGTGCTACTTTGCTCTTTAATCTAAAATCATTTAACAATTTGCCTAATTGGTGTGTAAAACGTGCTTTTTACCAAAATCGGCTCTATAACTCAGGATTGGAATTTTTCTTCCCTTGACTAAGGCTGCCTGCCGCTGAGATGAGCCCACAGTCTAAAACTGCACATACAAATGTTCTTGCTGTTGTCATTATCAAAACAAATGCTATTGCTGCGCATGCTTGTCTGATGTTGTACTGAGCAGATATGAAGGAGTAGGAAGGAGAAAGAATGATTCTCGCACTGTCTTAAAATTCCTAATGTGTCTCTGACCTCAGCACCTTAATTTTAAATAATCAGAGTTGCATATGTACTGTGCTTTTGGTTTAAGGGCTGAAACATACACACACACAAATCATCTAGAAGAAGATAAGTTTATATGAGATATGGTAATACATTCAGGCCATGAGAGTGGGACATTTTTCACAAACATGTCTGAATTCTCCTAGAAAACTTTTAAGGGTGTCCCATAGTTGGTAATAGTTATAGGTAGCATATGTGTATAGATAGCTGACATGATTTGATGATTTTTCTCAAAACTTTACATATCTTTTATATCTTCATAATGACACATTTTACCATTTTCAGAATCTTCTTTGATATTAAAAGTAGAGAAGCTATTATTACCCCATCCTATAGCTGAAGAAACTGAGGTTGAGAAAGATTAAATGATATAGCCAAGGTCACTTGACTAGTGAGTGGCAAATATGTCTCCAATCTTTTTATTCTATGTGCTTTTCACAGTGTCTTATGTTCAAGTCTTCTATTAGAAAATTCTTGATTTGGGACAGGAGGTTGCAGTGAGCTGAGATGGCGCTACTGCACTCTAGCCTGGGTGACAGAGTGAGACCCTGTCTCAAAGAAAAGACAAAATGCTAATAAAAGTATTGCTTGTGTAGATTTCTACAACACTAGACTTGAAAATTCTTGATTTGGGCCTGAATGATGATTTGGTTCTCGGAAAGAGTTCAGTGACATCATTTGGACAAGTTCTATACTACAGTTGCTATATCTCAGTATATGCCTGGCCAGAGCATAACCAAACTGCTGACAGCTGTAGTAGTTGTCTAGGTAGGCTCTGTGTGCTAATAGTTAGAAGTATGGGCTCTGGAGTCAGACTGCCTGGCTTGAAAGCCGCCACCTCTATCTGCCCAAGGTTCTGCAGGTCCCCTAACTTACTTGAGCCTTGGATTTTCACATGCAAAATGAGGATCGGAATAGTAAGGAATAGCACCACCCTTATTGGGTTTTCGCCAGGATTACATGACATGATTCATATGAAGAACTTGAAACATGGCAGGAACATATTAAACAATAATAGCTAATAAAGATGTCTCAGAGATAATTATAATTCAGAGAGATAGACACTATGGTTCTCATATATACAAGATGGGAACACAGAGCAAGACACACATGTCCTGGTGGTGGGTTGTAGGGTAAGACTTAGACTTTCTAGAGGGGAAGCCCTGAGTTAAGACTTGTAGACAGTTAAATCTCAGAAATTGCTGGAAGAGGAGAAGGAGAGGAGAATTAAATTTCACACAGTAAATGTGCACACAGACATGGCACAAAGGCAGGAGACATTTGATGAGGGCTGTAAGTGGTGTCGTATGGATGGAGTGTAAGATGGAGTGTAAGATGCCTGTCAGAAAGGGGACTGCAGGGGGACTGAGCAAGTCAGCATTTTATAGACTCTGTTTAAAAAAAAAAATCTGGCTTTTACCTTGATCTTTTTCTTGGCAGCCTCATTACATGGGACAAATTAAATTTCAAAGTGTTCTTTTACATGTGCTGCTATTAAAGAGGGTTTGTTTGAACAGTAAACAAAAAGCAGGGCTTCCCCAGGCCCCTGCATATAGGCTCAATCAGTAACCATGCCAAGAAGAAGCCAGGCTGCAGCAGGAGGATACAGATCACCTGTGGGGAAAATTTGGGCATTGTTTCAAATTCCTTTGTACAGCAGATTCTTACATGTAAAGTTCTGGAAAATAATTATGCAAAATGTAAAGATCTAAACATTTCTGAAAGAAGGAAGGTAGGAAGGGAAGGAAGGGAAGGGAGGGGGAGGGAAAGGGAGGGAAGGGGAGGGAAGAGGAGGGAGGGAGGAAGGAAAGAAAGGAAGAAAGAAAGGAAAGGTAGAAAGTAAGAGGGAAGGTAAGGAGGAAGAATTGACTGATTCTGAAAAGCCCAGCAACTCATACTTTAGAAGTTTTTAGGAAGAAATGATTATTCGTGAGGGTTCACTAAAATTATTTTATTACCTTCTGTATTCTGGATGGCTGTTATGAAACTACTAAGATGAATATTTTCTGGGTGTCACTTAAGGACAATCTATGATCACTTTTCTAGCATTTTCCATAATTCCACATGTCATTATACTCAGAAAAATGTTTTTACAGTTTCATTGAAAAAAGAAATTATATCCATAACACTAACAGCCAATGATTAAATAATATGGCATGGAAAATAAAGAAGTTTTATTTTATTTTGTTTTATTTTATTTTTGAGACGGAGTCTCACTCTGTCGCCTAAGCTGGAGTGCAGTGGCACTATCTCTGCTCACTGCAAACTCCATCTCCCGGGTTCAAGTGATTCTCCTGCCTCAGCTTCCTGAGTAGCTGGGATTAAAGGCGTGCGCCACCATGCCCAGCTAATTTTTGTATTTTTAGTGGAGACAAGGTTTTACCACGTTGGCCAGGCTGGTCTTTGTGTTTTATTTTTAATGGGTCATGGGAATATAAAGGGACTAGGCTGCGTACATTGTTTAGATTCTGTGTAGTACATACACATACAAGCACCCAGTCTAAACAAAACATTTTCATGCTAAGCTCCATGCACTGAATTGTCATGTCATCAGTGTTCCCAAATTGCCAAGATGATGGTGTTATTTCAAACCTGAATTGTCTAATTAAATTATCTTATGAGCTGTTGTTCTTTAATAGAGTTTCTCATGTTTATTTTACTATTCCTATAGTAAACTCCATTTTGCCAGGGCAGAACAAACACTTGTCCTAAATACCTTAACTATAGCAAATGGGCAGAATTAGGCACTATATTTGATATTGCCAGAATATTTGTAACAACACATTTATATTTGTAAATACATAATCTACAGCTTTGTAAAGTTGTATAACTAAAAGAAAACTAAAAGTAAGGACAATATAGTTTTTTCTCCCTCTCGTGTTTTATACCATGAGGAAGGTACTAATCCTTAGTGGAGAGCTGAACAGAATTTTTGGCACATTTATAATAACTTCTATTCAACAGATGAGGAATCTGTGTCCCAAAGAGGAAACTAATTTGCCCAAGGCCTCACAGTTAATTAATGGCAAAGCTAAGACTCAAATTCAGTGGTTCATCCCCTCAAACCTATTGCTTTTTCTACTTCCATTGGCTTTCTGGACTTTGGTATTTCTTCCTAAACTGCTTTTCTTTAATAGATTTTGTGGGAGTTAACATTTCTCCTCAAATGTACTTTGGCCTATTCTGTATATCAGACTATGAACAATAATAAAATATATCTTTTCACATTAATTTAAATTACTTTATTAAAATGATTCATTTTCTTTAAAAACACATCACAAATTATAGGAATACAGATATGTTCTGAGTTTACTAGTGCAACACATTACTCTCGTTACTTCTTCCTCATGGAGAACACCATATAAATGTGAAAAACAGACACTTTCGACAGAATTTCTAAAATCTGATGATGCTCAGTAACTATGTCAATTAACAAGAAAACATATCTCTGAGTCAATCCTTTGAACACCAGAAACTCTTTTATGTTTGGATGCTACTGGAAAAACTGTCCTTGGAAAAAGCAGCTCTAACGCATTTGAGCAACAATGAAATTTCACATGAGGAAAGGTTAGAGCCGGGTGCACACCAGAAAACTAATTGCTGAGAGCTGCCTTTATATACACACTGCAGTAATTCATAGAGATACCATTTAGAAAGAGAAAATCAACAATTCTGTTCTGTAGACACTGTGTCCTCTAGAATAGGGGAGAAAAAGAGAGGTTCTTATGGCTCTGAGGATTTTCTGAAAGGCACAATTGTATATCTATCACTGGAAATTGTGTGGGAAGTCTGTCATGGGGAAGAGGAGGACAATTCAAGTTTATAATGAAAAAAAAAAGTAGTATTCTTTTCCCCAGTGGGTTTCCCAGGTTTGGCAAAAGAAGCTTAGTCCTTTTAAACTTTTCTTTTTTTTAAGACAGTTTTGTTGAATTATAATTGTCATATAACAAACTGCCCATATTTAAAGTGTACACATTGATCAGTTACAACATGTGTACACACCTGTGAAACCATAGCACAAGCAAGTTAATAAATATTTCTGTCATCCCCAAATGTTTTCTTATGCCTCTTTGTAATGTCTCTGATATGGATTGGCTATGTCCCCACCCAAATCTCATCTTGAATTCTCACATGTTATGGGAGGTACCCAGTGAAAGGTAATGGAATCATGGGGGCAGGTCTTTCCTGTGCTGTTCTCATGAGAGTGAATAAGTTTCATGAGATCTGATAGTTCTATAAAGGGGAGTTTCCCTGCATGAGCTCTCCCTTTGCCTGCTGCCATCCACGTAAGATGTGACTTGCTCCTCCTTGCCTTCTGCCATGATTGTGAGGCTCCCCCAGCCATGTGGAACTGTAAGTTCATTAAAACTCTTTCCTTTGTAAGTTTCCCAGTCTTGGGTGTGTCTTTATCAGCAGCATAAAAATGGACTAATACAGTCTCCCTCCTGCCGTTCTTGGCCCCCTCCTGCCTATAGATAACCATTGATCTGTTTTCTGTCACTATAGATTAATCTGAACTTTCTAGAATTTTATATATATGAAATTATACAGTTTGTAGTGGTTTTTGTCTGGCTTCATTCACTTAGTGTAATGACTTTGACAATTCATCCATGTTGTTACATGTATCAAGCATCTATTCCTTTCTACTTCTGAGTACTCTTCCACTGTATGGATATACCACATATTATTGATCTATTCATTTATGATGGACATGTGGATTCTTTCCTGTTTGAGGCTATTAGAAATAAAATTGATAAGCGCATTCATGTACAATTATTTATGTGGACATAGTCTCATTTTTTTCTCTTGGGTAATAGCTAGGAGAAGAGTAATTGGATCATAGGGGAGGTTTATGTTAAACTTTAGACTTCTTTACTATGGAGAGAAGAAGGGTGGTGATGCTGGTTCAGTTGAAATAGAAGCTCTCGGCAAGCTTTATGATGACTGGATTCAGCGTTGGGATACTCATAGCCTTTTTTCTCAGCTTTGGGTTCTTAGGCAAATCATTTAAGCTTTCTAGGCCTCAGTTTCCTTTTCAATAAGGCAAAAATTTTGGATGAGATCAGCCTCCTCAAAGTTTATTCTTAGAAACATCATCTTTCAAGATTTTTAATTAAAGTAATTATGTATGGCCGAGCACAGTGGCTCACACCTGTAATCCCAGCACTTTGGGAGGCTGAGGTGGGCAGATCACTTGAGGTCAGGAGTTCGAGACCAGCCTGGTCAAGATGGCAAAACCCCATCTCTAGTAAAAATATAAAAATTAGCCAAACAAGGTGGTGGTGCGTGCCTGTAATCCCGGTTACTGGGGTGGCTGAGGCATGAGAATCACTTGAACCCCAGAGGTAGAGGCTGCAGTGAGCCAAGATTATGCCACTGCCCTCCAGCCTGGGTGACAGAGCGAGACTTTGTCTCAAAAAAAAAAAAAAAAAAAAAAAATAGAAAAGAAAAAAAATGTATGTAGTCAAACATGATTGGGAAAAATGGCATATTTAACTCCCTTCTGGAGAGTCACAACATAATTACCTTATGAAGGGCCCTGAGAATTCCCATAGGAAAGAGGCCTGTTTAACTTTGGGTCACCTAGCATTTCCCAAAATTATTTGCCCCAGAACCCTTTTCAGATTAATATTCTGGAACTGACACTTCATGTAATTCTTATTCAAAAAAAAAAGAAAGAAAGAAATGATCTTTCCCATTAGCTCCAAAGATATTGCTTTGCTTTGAAAGATATTACTCCTCCACACTGACAAAGAAAAGCAGGAAGAATGGAAATGAGAAGCTGAGTTTTCTAACTTCTGTTTATTGCTTTTTTCATACTATTACAACACTCATCAACTCTTTCCCTGTGCCTTTTAAGATGGCAAGTCTAAAGCTGCTAGCCTAGGCTAAGGGGCAAGAGTTTCATGACAGCCAGGTCCCTGGGCCTAATTCTTACTAAGAAAGAATTTACTAGCATTTATCGGCTCTTCTAGTTACATTTCCTCCCTAAGCAGTGCTTACAGGACTGAAGATTCTGTGGAAAGTGCTAAATTATCTAGTTAACATCATCAGAGGAGTGTACTTTACACTTTCTGGTAAGGTGTGTTTAAACTGAAAACTTTATTTTGAAATAGCAAGATTTTTTCACTCAGGCAAAATAAAACATGAGAGAACATTGAATCATTAGCCAATTTCTTTTTTGGTCTTTGTTTCAGGCCAAGACTGTCCTGGTCCCTAACTCAGCAGGTGGAGACAATTTCTGTAAAGTCTGTCTCAGACTCTCTCATTTAGAAATTTCCATGGCACCAGAAAACAGTATCTAGAGAATCCTGAAGAACAAATGAGAGGAAACAATCTCCTCATTTCTTACCCACTTTGTGTCACTAAGACAGCGGGGTCCTTGTCTCACAAGGAGGTAGTTGCACAACTCTATTTTAGAAGAAAAGCATAACTCAGTAATTTTCTCACTAGTGCTTCTAGTTTTATCTTTAATTTATCCAGGACAATAAAAATAATGACATTCTGAACAATAAAGTATGAGCTTTTTTCTAAATATCTATATTACATGACTAAACAATAACATCCCTTCAGCCTCAAGATTTCAAAATATGTTCTGGCAAGAACACTAAATATATTTAAGTGTGTAGATATGTTAGAAATACAACTGGTCTTTATGGTGTATTATTTTATACTAATTTTGAATGAAAGCATGATGGGAGATAAAAACATATGAAATGTTTAAATATGTAACTAGAATTGGTTTAAAAACAAGTTTAAAGGAATTTAAATTCAGCCACTAAGATGTTCAAGCTTGATGCCTACTAACATCTGAAATGTGCTCTCAAAGACAGTTCCACTGGCAAATTTAAATCCCTTTCTCCAGTCTCAAACAAGGCTACTGAGATTCACATGTGGACTGACATTTGATCTATATATGATTGAAAATTGGATTTTTAGGAACTCAGCTGAGAGTCATAAGCTCTTATTATCAATATCTCCTTGTTAAATATGTAGGGCATATGTGCATTTATTTTCCAAATGAACTCTACAAGACTTTTAATAGTAAATGGCTTGAAATAATTGATATTGTTTGGTAGTCCTCATGAAAGAAAGCTAAATTCTTCCACTGAAGGATTATGATTTTGCTCACAATAATGAAAAGCAGGTAAAGTGTGAGGGTGGGGTTGAGGGAGGCTATTCCATTATCTCTTCTTAATATTCTAGGCTTTTTTCAACGATTACACTTGCATGCATTTCATTTAATGCAAAATAAATAATACCTCTCCTTCCTCATGGACTTTTTTTTTCCATCTTAGAAAGCTCTTGTTTCTGGTTGCCATAGTAATGGTGCCACTCTGATATTTGTTTAAGTGGAACACTTTCATCTGACTGACTTAAAGACAGATACTAGAAGGGCCAGAAATAATAATTGACAACATTGCCTGCTAGCTGGAATAAAAGCCCCTGTTCTGTGGCCAAAGGAAAGTAGCTTTGATAAGAGAAATTGTCCTAATAAGAATAATGAAGAGGAACACTATCTCACTGTGAAACTTATTTTATTTTCTCTTCCAATTGTGTCTTACTTCATTATATATATATTTTTAAGAGTAAGAAATTGTGCTGAGAGTAAATAGGCAATGTCATAAGCTGAAGTCATTTGTAGCAAAATTTGCCATTGGAATTAAGGGGACCTTTGAAGATGAGGAGGGTCGGAACTTTACGAGAAAGCTCCCTTTCTCTCATAAGACAAGTGAAGCACAGGAAAGGCAGCATTTATAATGAGGTACTGCCTGCAC
This sequence comes from Homo sapiens, assembly GCF_000001405.40. NCBI lineage: Eukaryota > Metazoa > Chordata > Mammalia > Primates > Hominidae > Homo > Homo sapiens. The sequence goes on along the minus strand of NC_000003.12, from coordinate 117,135,775 downwards.
TGTACCTTGGTTTGTAACTATAGCCAACCCACTGAAATTGGTTTTGAGTTTGTGGCTGCAGTAAATACCATGAAATCTTTATTCAGAAAAAGCCAACATATTTCCAAAGGCTATACAACTTGAGGATTGCCTGATGTGCACAACTCTGGCTGGTGGTGTCATAACTAGAATCACTTTTGATAAACCTTAATAAATGAAAGTAATATCTCTCATTGTCCAGCAACATCTTACTCTAGAACATTATGGGAAGTAAGTGTTAGCAGCTAGATTATGTTCATATCTGTACTTTAGTCCTCAGATCTGCTGCTACTAATTTCACATTGGCAGAACACAGAGGTTAAAGAATGCCCTTTGGAATCAAATACACCAGAGTCTCAAACTCCACCTCTTATGTTTTGTGTGACCTTGGGCAAATGAATTAACATCACTGACCAATGTGACTAATCTAATGGTCTTAACATTGGACTTGGCTGGACATAAAGTGAATGTCCCTTTTGTAAAATGTCCTTTCAGTTTTAATAACTATGGGGAACATGATCTTGGGTTTTGGTTCATTCAAAACATGTACTTTCTTTTTAAAATTATCAGAGTTAAATTGTTTATCTAAACAAATCTGGGGTGCTTAATGGTTTATAGAACTGGCCCAGTAGTGAGTCGAGTTCATTTTACCATTGATACTTGGATACATTTGAACAAGTCTTTTCATTTTCTTAAGCCACAATGTCTATATTGACCAAATAAAAAAGTTAGACAATGTCTCAGGCCTTTTACCTCTCTAAATTCTGTGACTCTTCTTGTACTATTCTTGGTGGCAGAATAACATAGGGGTCATAGGGTCTCCCTTGTCAGTTGAAGAATAATAATCAGCTCATCCTTTGAGAGCTGGAGAGAATTGAGTTGAGGGGTTGTTGGAGGATCTGCCCATCTGGTGGTATGCATACTGCCATAGCTCTCTGGAGTTTACCTATTTTCTGGTTCATGGAGTTTTGTTTTAACCACTGAAAAAGAAATTTGTCACTCAAACAAACATTTAAAAATGGGGTTGGGTGTTGGGATGGGGGGAACATTCTTCTAGCCATTCTTGGTCTGGTGCCAGAAACAGCTGTAATTTTCTATAAATCACATTTGAGTGTGATGGAAATGACTGATTTACAACCATCTCCTCTCCTCAGACCTTTAATTATGTCTGCATTCCTTTTCATCTCTAATCTTCAAAAAAGATCATTTCTATTCATTGTTTTTAATTGTATATTTTGCATGCTTGTGTTTCCTTTAAATATAAGAAAACAAAGCATTAAAAACTTTACACTCTGGATGGCTGGAAGCTACTTTTTTTTTCGGATTTTAAAATTATCAGTCTAAAGACATTCTTTACTCTTTTTCCATTCCTTCTTTGCTAATTTACTTTTCAGACACATAAAGGATTTACACAGCAATTCTTCCCTTCATCTCTTTTGCCCCTACCTTCCTCAAAGTAGGTAAGAGTATCTCGAGCACACATCTGCAGTAATTATATTCTCCAGAGATACTAGTCAAATATTTTAAGATTTTAATGTAGTAAAAGAGTAGCAGAACAATATGCAAAGAAGAAAAGCACCGTAGAGAGCTAGGAATTGACTGATCTGCGGTGTTAACTGAAGGTGGCGAGAGAATACATGCACCTTCTTTTATACAGTACCTGGTGTTCTGAAAATTTGCATATAAATCATATCTTTAAAAATTGATTTAGACTTTCAGTTCACCGGAATAGCATTAGAAATCTGATTGCACACTTTCTGTGCAACCCAGAGCTAAAGCGGTTATTGTGAGCCTGTTTTCCTCCTCCCGTTTCTGAAAATACACTTGATTTTACAAGTTGAGAATGAAAATCACTGAACAATTCCTAAGAAAAATAACATCCCAACTTCATATCTTCTCATTAGAAGTAAATACAGTCTAGGTCAATGGCTTTGAAGTGATTTTGATCATGATCTACCAAAAAAAAAAAAATAGATTCTACTTATTATCGAGATACACACATACATCTATTCATACTCAGATATAGGTTATATCTATATTTAAAAGTTTCCCAAGGCGATGTTTACCTTTCTATGCATGATCTATTCTATTTTCTCCTTCTTTTCTATTGATTTTTTAAATTATTGAAACTCACTAAATTGATTTCACAACCTGCTAATATGTCACAATACATGGTTTGAAAAACACAACAATAGAGAGTAGATCAAGAAAAAGCAAGGAATAATTACAGAAATTACTGACAGAGGATGAGATTTGGAATATTAAAGCTTCAAACTAGGCAAGTCATTCAAGTAAATATAGAAAATCAAGGAGATTTTCTGATCAGAAATGAAAGAAAAGAGGATATAAGTTTCTATGAGAAATCTCTTTACATGCATCCAGTCAGTGGTCCATAGTCTGCATGCGAGCATTTGTTGAAAGATTGCATCTGCTGGTTGTGCATGTTCTGGCCTCTCCCCTGAAGCCTGGGGGACTCTGTAATGTCTTAAGGCAGTGTGTAGTAACCACATGAATTTTCTCAGTGCCAAGTCTTCCAAAGTGTAGCTAGAAAAGACAGAAAAAGAGCAGGCCCAGCTGTTGATAAAAACCAAGAGAGTGGAACTGATATGAAAGTTCTAATTAGCCTGAATCCTTGAAATTATGATAAGAAGTCAATCAGGACCTACAATGTAAGCCAGGTGAAGAAGTAGAGCCTTCAGTTTTAACATTCTTATGAACAAGTTAACCAGATCCTCATGATATAATGGGAAAGGTCTGGAGACGAAAACAAGGGAGCTTAGCTCCAGCTCTGGCACTGACACTAAGTTGCTGAGTTACCCTAGGGTAGGTCACTGCACTTCTCTAGTCCTTACATTCCTCATCTGTTTGACTCTTAAGCTCTTATCCAGTGTAACCATTGTATGATCTTACAATCTGAGACGCCAGTTCAAGTATAGAGCAAAAAGAGACTAGGCCATTCTCAGGAAAATCAAAGATCAGAAACACAGGACAGGCTTGGAGACCTAAATACTCTAGGCCAAGGGAGGCGGGGGGACCATAAGGGTCCAAGTAAAAGGGGGTCAAAATACAGGCAGAAATTCTAGAGCAAGAAAAACTAGGTTCAAACTGACACTGTTCCTGAACTACCCCTTCTGAGAATGGCACTTTTTAGTAATACTTTCTCAGGACCAGAGTCCCTGTTTGGGAGAGAACGAGACCAACCCAATAGAGACAGATCTGCAAATGGGGTATGTGTGTAGGGTGAAAGAACAGCAGGAATAAAACTCCTGTTGTTACCGTCTGACCTGGCCCAAAGAGGGTAAGATATTATCTCTTAATGACATGGCCAATTTTCCTCAAAAACTTTGAACTACCAAGTCCAAAATTTGGGCTACCAAGAAGTTTCGTATTTCAACAACCTATGACCAGATTCTTTTAAAAAGCATTCTTTTGTGGAACACTGCATCTGCTTAAATTACAAATGTAGATTTTTGTAAGTTTATAGGCCTGCTTAAAGCATATGTAATTTGAACTATCTATAATGGAAACTAATTAAACCAACAATATGATAGAGGAGTTTATTCATTTATTTGTTTATTCAAGAAATATTAATTGAGTATCTGTGATTTTCTGGGGCACTATATTAGACCTGAGGTTAGAAAGATGAATCATATTGAGCCTCTGTCTTCAAGGATTTCATGGTCTAGTAGGGAAGATAGACGTATAAATAGATAAATTGCAATACAATGTGATAAGTGCTTTAATAGAGACAAGAAATGATTAATATAAATGAAAAGCAAATTAAGCACATTAAGCTCTTCTCAAAAGAGGGGAAATTTGTTCATGTAAAATATTATTATAAAACTGTATTATTCTTCAATTCCCTAAATGATATTTGAAGATAATGTCTTCTCTTTTCTCTTCTAGGCCCCATTAGGTTTCATTTTTACTCCATGGGGGTGGGTGTGCACATGTAGGCACATGCACAGGTAGACTTTGTTCTGTCATTTTGCCTCTAATTCCCATAGAAGTGTCAACAATTTTTATGATTAATATAGGAACTATCATTAAAAGAAGCAAATTGTAAGACAGCAAAGTTTTCTTCCCCCCTCCCCACCCCCCACAAACCCTAGCCCTCTTTTGAGCAATTAGAACATGTTAATGGAAATAAAAAGTAGAGCAGGGAATAGAGATGTAGAAGTGAGATAGGAGAGTTCCCTGGCCCCGTTCATGGAACTTGCGACAGGGGTGTGGCCGAGTGGCTGTTTACTCGGCCATGTGCTCAAAACCCTTGTGGGAGCAGGAGCACACAGGCAAGTGGCTGCCAGGGCCGGGGCGAGCGCTTTTGAGCTTCAGCCCCACAGTAGCATCTAAGGGTGTGTTACAGTTAATGCTCTTTCAGCAGTTGCTGCCCGTGGACAGCTAAATGTGAAACAGCTCAGTGGAGAGTCAGGGTGACAGCCTTTTACACCCTGCCCTCTTGGTACCCGGGTCCTTGTCTGGTGTCCAGGAAGAATCAGGTCACATGGACTGCAAGGATGATGAATGCAGAGGTTTTATTGTGTGATGGAGGCGGCTCTCAGTGGGATGCGGAGCTGGAAGGGGATGGAGTGTGAAAATAATCTTCCCCTGGAGTTCGGCTGTCCCTGGCCAAACTTCTTTCCCACCGTCCAGCTTCCTCTTCGACATTCAGACACTTCTTTTCTCTGCTTCTCTGCTGCACTGCTCTGCTCCCCTGCCAGTGGATTTGGGGAGATTATGGGTGAAGGATGGGGGCATGGCGGGTCAGCGTGGTTTTGGAAAAAGCAACATCCGGGCAGGAAAACAAGGATGTGAAGTTCTCATTTAGGGCTGTAGGCCCAGGCTGGTGGGTGGGGTCTTTACCGGCGAACCGCCCTCTTCTACTCGGTATTTCCCTGCCTCCTTTCCGTATCAGAAGGAATGAAAGAAAGAATATTAATACAATGGTAGCTAATATTTATTGAGTTTTTACTGTGTGCTAGATACTGCTCTAAGTCCTTTACCTGTTTTCATTCCTTAAGTCCTAATGACAACTCATGAGGTAAATCTATTATTTCCTCCTATTGATTAGAAAGCTGAGGCACACACACAGGTTAATTAACCTGCCCAAGGTCACAACACCGGGAAATGCAGAGCCACAAATTGAACCCAAGCTGCCAGACTCTGGAGTCCATAATTTGACAACTGCACTGGGCTATGTTAAAAAAATGTTCCTTCTCACATTTTTTTCTTAGAAAATTCTGAAGTGATGTTCCTATTAAATATGTATTAATAGAGTGGGATACAGCTAGCAGGAGAAGGAAATGAAAGAAAAGGCACACTGTAACATCTGGCTTCCTCCTCTGTAGTTTCTGTTTTGATAAATCATGACTAAAGAATTTTTAAGAACATTAAATTTCTGCTTGATATCTACGCTTTGTTGTTGTTTAGTTTTGGGGTTTTTTTGTAGAAATCTTTCTACCTACCATCCCCACACCAAGCATAAGAGGTAAAAGATTTATACTTTTATATTCTATGAGAAAAATACAATTAATTGAGACCCTCTAGTCACCTTAAGAAAGATTACCATGTGCTTAATTGTATTTTATTCTGTTCAAGTTCATTTCCTCCATAATCACAAATATTAATTAAACCATTGCATTGTTCCCTCTTTATGTATGAGGAAAACTAAGGCACCGGGCAGTTAGCCTCCCATCATACGGAGATTGTTGTCAGTTTGAAGTGAAAGGAGAATGAAATAGATGGATCCTGACTAATACCTGATTGCTCTAGTTCAAGAAATAGTTCTTCCCTTTAGCTTGCAGTTAAGGAGTTAGGACGTGGGAATTAAGAAAACTGAACATATGCACGCATCTGAGATCCTTCTGCATGCACCCCTGTCATGTTACTGGATTTTTCTGATAAATACGCAGCTCTCTCTGCCTGGGTTCTTCTGCTCTTGGCCTCTTATCCAGATGTTAGAATACTTATGCCCTGACTCCCAGGCACGATGTTTTCTTGGTCATTAGTTTCTAGCAGCTGCCTGAAAACCATGATGCCACTGTGTGCTGTGGTTTGACCCTGACAGGTATTGTTTTTTAATACTGAAAAATGCCTTAGAAATCATCCAGTCACTTCTGCCTCTATTTGATCAAGGGAAAAGCTGAAGTCAGAGAATCTGCCTCCTCGAGTGGATCTCTTTACCTAGTTCTCCCCAAGTGCTAATAGTAATTACAGGAAAACTACAGGCAGACCATCGGGAGGTGTCTGGGCTACCCCCTTTCCCCTTGCATCTTCTTCTAATACCAAATGTCATGAGGGTGTTTCCTACCTTGAAACTCCTGCTAATGATAACATCCTACTAGGTAATGGCAATTCCAAGAATTTTAGAACACCTGGAACCAAGAAAACAAGAGCAGGGCAGGCAAATGTGTGTGTGTATACATACACACACATAAATATAACATGTATTTTATACAGAGCACACAAATATAGTTTATACATAAATATGAAAAGATATTATACAAATATTATGTGTACCCTGTTAGTTAAGCATCGAGTGTGTGGGTATACATACAGAACAGGGCTAAATAAGCAGGATTGGTCTTCCTAGACTAAATAATTGCTAAAGCTAACAGACAGCTGTTGGTAACTACTCTCCCAGCTGTAACAGCCATAAAACACACAAGGCATCATTGCATTAACCTTTGCACTTCAAGCAAATGAATTATAGCTTAGACTTCTAAGACATTCCATTAGGCCTACATGCTAATGAGTTAGACTCATTCTGCTTCAACTCCTAGATCTGTGGATCCAGCTCTAATGTCCAGTCAACAAAGAGGCTCATCCTAGCTCCTATCTCCTTTAAGGTGGTGGCTTCAAAACAATAGTAATGCTTATCAAGGTATATTTCAATTATAGTTGCAAGTCACTTCCTAGAAACTATCTTTTCACCAGTTTAAGCCTAGCATATATTTGACAATGTTGCTAGCAGCCTACACTGTAGTTATGTCTTTATGCATGGTATCCTTCAATAAGACTAATTTTAATATCATAAATTAGCTGAGAATAATTGTTCCATTCCTTTACTACCCTTATTATCGGCATAGGTTTTGTCTATTTTAGAGCTGAATTTCAACCAAAGGAATGAAAAAGCCTAATAGTAAATATTAGATATTTCTATAAATAAGTCACTTACCGATTTACTTGGGTTTAATGTGATTCTTGTTTGCTATGTTTTACACAAATTTAGCAGATGTTAATGCTTTAGATTCCATTTCCCAGCCACCCACATGAGTTGCAGTTAAACAAATGAAGTTTATTTCGACAGTCTGAATTGTTTATATCCAGAGATTCATCCTGACTAATTCAACAGTTTAATTTACAAGACAATAGATTATTCTCTCCAAATAAGGGATTGCTATATGCTGAGTTGGCACAACACTCACAACATCCTAACCATGTCACCTGGAGTATAGATCCATTCCGAATGTGCTTGTTGCTACCACAGTCAACTATCATGTTACCTAGGCAACTTGGGATGCTCTGCTTTCAAAGAAAACCAGAACACTTTAAAAGGAAAATGAGACAGTTTTTTAAAATTTAGTTTGGAGACTCTTTTTATCTGAATAGCCATATCTTTGAGAGATCTCCCTGAAAAGCAGCCTGTTGTTAGCTGATGTGACCACGTTATTGAGTACTAAATCTATATTTCTAGAGGGGTGTGTGTGTGTCTATATTTGGATTTCTAAAAGTAATCATTCAGACACTATGATTTATCTGTTTGTGTATAATTTTAATCTTCTTCCCTGGTTGTTTAAAACTCAATTTTTTTTAACTTAGTGAAAACCAAATTTAGTTATGTAAAATATGTTTTTCTTCAATTCTGAGACTTACATACTGCAAACTTTTCAAGAAAAAGTTAATTTAGTTTTGGAAGGAATGCTTTCTCTAATGAGGGCTGTGTTCATTACACGGGAAGATTCTAGGAAAAAGAAAAAAAAAGATTTGAAAGCAAAAGAAAATATTTTATATTTGTTTTGTTTTGTTTAGACATTTAAAAAATATCTGTTTAATAGAAAACATTTTTTGGGGATGAGTTTTTATTACAAAACATTGCACACCCCTTTTGTAGAAATAAAAAAGGTGACAAAGGTACATTTCAGCTGTGAGAGATTTTCCCTTTGTTGGAATCTGTAAAACACATTATAATCATGTTGCTGCATCTAGCTACTTTCTATGGAGAACTGGTGTCAAAAAGGGTCAAAAAGTGCAGCAAGGGCTTCCCTTTCTTCCATCCTTTAGGGGCAGTATTTCTATTAAAAATTTTGAAATTGTTAGAATTTTTTAAAAATCTCAGGCAAAATACATTATTGGCGTTTTTTGAGGCTATGTTCAACTTTGACCACTAGGACTTTTCTGTGTAAGCTTCCCTCATCTCAGCTCTCTTTTTCTGGTTATTTATTAACACTATTTGGTGTGAGACTAACTTCTTTAGTGATACAGTCCCAATCGTCTTTCCCTCTACCCCAGGCAGAGACAGACACTTCCTCTCCTCGGCTCCCAGGGCACCTTTTCTCTCCCCTGCTATATCACTTCGCCATTTGTGTTGTTTCTGATTTAATGCTCATCTGTCTCTCCAGACTCTGTGCATATTGAGGAATGGCTTTTTTGCCTTTGTATCCACATGCTTATAGTGGTACATAACAGGCTGTCAAATTGAGAGTTCCAATATGTGTTTGACGAATAAATGAAAAAAGTTAATGATTTCATATGTTAGGACCACTTTGAATTCTAATTCTGTCATCCATTCAGTTTGGTGTTACCTACAGATTTCAAAAGCATTCTTTCTTTGTTTACATTCAGCCCATTGATACGTAGAGACGTAGACATGGACATTGATGTATATATACATGTACATATGTATGTATCGATATAGACATAGATGTTCTATGGCACATCTTGGAAAACATACCTTCAGTGTGTATTTCACCATTAAGCAATGTAATTTTTTAGGGGGAGAAAGGTGTTAAATGTTTCAATTAATTTGACATCTATGAGTCATGAGTGACAGTGAACTAGTATCCAGACTATAATCTCTTTGTATTTCCTGTATACTTTATCACGTGATTGAGTGAAAAAAAAGATAAAAAATATCTAAAGACTTCAGATTTGCTGCTTTATGGAAAACAAAAATAAGTTTAGTTGCATCACTAGAAATAAATTCTTAATAAACTCACATAACCAATCTATCTTCCAGTTCATTTTAGAATTTGGCTAGAAATCATCATTAAGTTCGCTGATCCTTAATTTTTCCCATTTCTTAAAATTGAGATTTTTGTCCCACTTTAATCTCTATGATTTAGTGCCCGTTCTTCTCCATTCTTGCAATAAAGTCTTTCTGGACCTGGAAATTTGAAGACATTTAAATTGCCCAGATAATAATTTACTACCAACTCATCTGCCAGAACTTTAATTTGTTTTTACAATGTTTATTCTACCCTTTCTACTGGGAAGATTTAGTTTCTTACTAGCGAAAATGGATGAAACCCTGGAGTTAAAAATCTTGGCTTCCCTTTTTCTTTTGTTGCTGGGTCACTATCTTCGCTAAGCTACAAGATTTTCTGAATAAACCTTAAAAATATAAGCCCTATTTCTTATTGATTTCAGGACATTTTACCAACCTGAAGCTTCTTGCCTTAAGCTTTCTTGACACTATGTTTACATGTTCAAAGCACATATGATATCTGTCTTCATGTCTTTCTTTTCATCTTTTATTGCATGACTTTAAAAATATGATCAAGAGAGTTTCATGTGAATTGCATTAATCATACTCTTTTCTGGAAATAATGATTCAAAGTTAATTTCTACAATTTCTCATCTTCGTTGGCTCCAATTATTTAAAACAATTATGATTTTTGGGTGAATGGAATACTCTATGCTAAATATCCTATACAAGATTAACTTTCTTGGGAACTTAGTTGGTGTGTGAGTACAGCTTTACCTCTGATAGAAACATGGGGGCAGTTATTCAGGATGCTCCCTTTTCAGGTTCCTCAATTTTTAATGAATGTTAATGTGTCCCTCAACTGTCCTACTTGTTACACCCTATACAACCTCATACATATGTAGGAACAGAAAAAACTTCCCCTCCTTTAATGGAATGTAAGTTCAAACTCATTGTCCCTGGATAGCTTTAGAGGTTCAACAGAGAGAAGTAATCATTTCACAATGGATCAAACTACAGAATATTTCTGTAACTGATTTTTATTTTGATATAATATCAGGTCCTATAAGGGACATCACAAGACAGGAAACATTCTTATAAAATTGATCGTTTCACTTATTCTTTGTACATATATTGTTGAGATTGTTGTCATAGTTGTATGTCCCCACTATAAATGACTTTTGTATTATGTATCTGGATGAGCTACGATTTTCCTGAAAGTCTTGTAACTAATCCTACTTTCCCCTTAAAGAAAATGAAAATAAAAATTTGTGACTTCATCTGTAAAGTATGTTATATAGGAATTCATGCCACGCATTTTGGTATTAACTTCACTTTGGGCTTATAGTCACCCTTACTTGCTATGTCTGTATCTTTGCAAATCACCACAAATTCTTTTTGTAATGAGGAAAGTTATAAAATAAATTTTAAAAAATGAAACAAAGTGAAATAAAATTTCTTTGCATTCTTTTCTTCTTCAATTACAAAATCACAATGGCACTTTCTCCTAAAATTTCCATTTTTTTCCAGCTGAATTCAGTTTCTTGTTGGTCACAATAAAACCATCATATACAGCTTTTGTGAATTCAGTGAGCAGATGGAATATTCTCATGTCTGTTCTAAGAACTACCTTATTTATTTATTTACTTACTTATATATGTATTTATTTACTTACTTATATATGTATTTATTTATTTATTTTTAGATTGAGTCTCACTCTGTCGCCCAGGCTGGGGTGCAGTGGTGTGATCTCGGCTCACCGCAAACTCCACCTCCTGGGTTCAAATGATTCTCCTGCCTCAGCCTCCCAAGTAGCTGGGATTACAGGCATGCACCACCATGTCTGGCTAGTTTTTGTATTTTTAGTAGAGATGGGGTCTCATCTCAAACTCCTGACCTCAGGTGATCCGTCCCCATCAGCCTCCCAAAGTGCTGGAATTACAGATGTGAGCCACTGCACCCAGCCTAAGCCGCTGCACCTGGCCTAAGAACTACCTTATTAACCCATAAAGATGCCTAATGGGCATTAAGATCAAATGCATTAGAGCACTTTCTACACTTGTCCTTCCTCTATCTTCATCAGCTCTTGTAAAGAATTTATTTGATATTCCACTTTTGGTACAATGAGATTTTCCACAGAAGTACATACAGGTAATTGCAATTTTGTATCGTTCTATTTTGCCTTTGTCCTATAATCTCTGTTAGAAAAACATCTATTATATTCTCATATCTGTAGTACCCCCATAACAATATTGCTTCTGTTTGTTTTGCTTTCATATATTTCCTTCAACTAATTATGTCATGTGGGTTAATTATAAAACTAGAAAAATAAAACAATGTATTTATATGAAATACACATTTTTGTTAGATTTTCTTAATGTTGACTTTGGAGACAAGGCTAAAAATTATACACACAGAGTATATTCTATGAGGCATGTTAAATAAGCACAACATTTAAATGAGCTTTTTCAATAGTCCAATGGCTTGTCAGTTTTATAATAGTCAGATATTAGATTTAGCTGATCTAATTTATCTCAGTAAAATTAGGCAATTACTTTTTTTCTGTAAGGTCCAAACTCTTTATTTTCTCTTTTGGAGGAATTTACTAGCAATATTTGATCTTGGTGACTTGTACTAGATACAATTTCTATTCTCGTTTACTTTCTGCTTCAAGACAGTCCCCAGTTCAGCACTTCTTTAAGGATCCTCTGAATTCCTTCAGTTTGAGCAGGAAGCAAAGAAAAGAGCTAGGGAGAAGAACAGAGAAAAGGGAGAAAATCAAAGAAGCATGTCCTCTGACACACGAATAATCTTGATGTCCTTGCCTGTTCATAAAGCAACTTGGAAGACAGTTCCCAAAAGGAAGCCCTGAAATGCTTTGTGCTCTGTGGAAACATTGTGGGGCCACCCAAAGAGACTGAGAAACAGCCATCATTTGGGAGAAAGTGACTTCATAAACATACAATTTAATGTACATGAGTATAAAATGCATCTGTGTCATTATTTTTTTAGTCATCTCACAGTCAAACTTTTGCAACTTGGCTGGAAAAGGATAAAGCCAGGTTCTACTAATTGCTACTTCTATTGTTGTAAAGCAACAGGCAAAATGTGTGGCTGAAATGGGGAAGGCCTTTGATTTTGGGGTTTCAGGATCAAACTTAGCACCGGTGCCTTTGAGTTTGGACATTCAACCTAAACCTTTCAGGTTTTTTGACATTGTGAAGTAATAATCTTATGAGAAATCAAAGGATAAAAAATTCAGTACAAGTGAAGGTTGGCTCTCATGCATTTTAAAGGCAAGTTTGACTTGAATATATTAGGGTGCAAGGTGAAGCTGCTAGTGTGGTAAGATGGCTACTCAAGAAATAAAAAAGAGACATTCTGTTTCCAAATCCAGGAGGATAACAACCACTTGACCTCTGATATTTAAACCTACTGCAGGGAAATTTATAGTGAAAAAAGAGGACAACAACAAAATATGAATCTGAATTATTTTATCTAAATGACACAAGTGGTCCAAATTCTCCTAAAAATTAATTGTCGCAATATCTTCAGAAATGTTTTCCTCAATGTTATTAATTTAATGGAGATGGTTTCTTTATCTCTTAATTTGTTGACATAAAAATAATGCAGACATTTTAAGAACGATTAGAAGTTAATGCCTATGTATCTCCCATATCATTTTAACTATATTTGTTTATGGTTTATTAAAGTGCTGACCTGTACAATTTAATTTGAACAACAACTTTATGGACCCTTTGTTGAACTTTGCCTTTGCCTACACTAAAATAGACATTTGGTGTAGCATGTGCATTACAAAGAAAGCCTGCTAGATCAGTCCTGGAATTTTTCCTATCAGATCTTACTAATTTGTCTTGCCTATGAAAGATTTTAACTTTGTTGTTGAGATACAGTTTCTAGGATGCCTACCACTGCTGTTTAAAGAAATTATGTTCTATCTAGTGCAGTCCCTGTAGTTAATAAAGCATGATTGGATCCGTAGTGATGAAGAGCATATAAATAATGCAATATACTATTAAATTCTACATCTCATGTTGATACAAGGTCAAAGTTGAGAAATTAAGCACTCAGAAGCCCAAAAAACTCTAGTATTATAAGCTCCGAGAAAAAATGCACTATGCATTTTAAAAATAAATGCTATATATTATGATAAGCCTTTACCAGGAAAGGAAAGGAAAGGAGTATGCAAAATATGAGTTTATATGTGTAAGAGTCTAGAAAATAGGGAATCACCATATTAATAGCTTTGAAAAAAGTGTTTTGGCATGCTAAATGCTCAGTTTTAATGCTGCTTGAATCTACTATTCACTATTTTTATTATTCCTCTTAGATTAAGTCAGTGTGCAATTGCAAAGGAAATATAAAAAGGATAGCATTACAAGGTCACATAACAGAAAACACATTTTATTATACCCTCCCCAGAATTAATTCAGGACATATTTCTCACCAGCCATCATGATTTGGGGACAGTCTTCAATTAATGGGAATCATCACACTATATAACAGATATTATATATATATATATACATATTACAGATGTTCTTGCTTTATTCCTTAAATATGTTAAACTCTCTGAGAGAAGAGCCTATCTATCTCTGTATCCCAACACCTCATCTTAACCCCTAATCAGTTCTTGGCACAAACGAGCAGTTAGCACGTGGTTTTTGGATTCAGGAACAAATACATCAATGTGTGGATAAAGGGTGAAAGTCTGGACTTTACAAGATGTGATGCTCTGGGCAGTACTCTAAGTTTAAAACACTTGTAGATGATGTGGAATTTTCAGATGCTAAAAATATCCACCTCAAGTTATTATTTAAATATAATGTAAGAAAAAGAGTACATTTTCACCATCTCTTTGTGTAGCTGCCTTCCCATGAAACGGACAATTCGTAATCTCCTGATTTTTAGGGGAAACCTTCCTTCCTGACCATGATAATTAGTCTGGATCTTGTCCAGCTTCATTCCGTATGCTGGAGAGGGATGAGCAAATGCATGATGCACTCAGGTGCTGTTGTACCATGTTTTGTTTTGTTTTGTTTCCAGTGCAAGTATGGTCAATGCTTTTTGTTCTGTTTATACAAAACTCCATGAGGAAGCACAGCATTTCATAGGTCTCTTGGCTCTGGCAGCATTTTCAGCCATTACCTTCAGTGCATAATGCACTCATAGTTTCCGGATTGTTAATGATAGCTTGGAGCCCATAATCTTGTAGTGTGGATTATTTCCCCCAAAACATATTACCTTACATTTGCTCTCACTGAATGGAGTTCATATGCTGATATGCCACTTTCATGCCCACTTACCTGGACTCATAGGAGTCTTCCTGAATGCTAACCCTGTTGCCTCAGCATTTTCTCACCCAACAGGGCTTATCATCATGTGAGAAGGTGGAGGTTTCACTGCCAATAAGCCCTTTAACTTTTTTTTTTAATGCTGTAAGTAATACTGGTTTCAGCATGGATACCTTGAATGGTGGGGACAGGGGTGATAGAAAGGATGGGTGGCACAATTTTGAGTCTTCTAGATTCGGAGGATGTAATTTTTTTGTCTTTGTCCTCCCCATCTCTCAGAACCAACAGGCATTCACTTCTTCAGGTGCTTCTGCCTGCCTTTTTAAGTCTGTGGGCTCTAGGCGCTTACACTCACATTAGCCCACTTCTGTCAGAGGACAGATACGTGCCTCTGATTGCAGAGACCTGTAACTGGTTCATCTTTTTGATTGGATTTTGAACTCTGCTTAAAGTGTGATATGAAGAAAAGAGACTTGACTACAGCATCAAATAGTTATGTAGATCCTGACTGTCACTATCTGCACACAAGTGAGTAATTTGAGTTTCTTTCGCCATCTGCAAAGTGGAGATTCTAGTATCTATGACATAAGGCTGTAAGAAGAGACAATGAAAAAGAAAATCACGGATGATATGTGTATTATTTTGTATCCTGGTCCTCAGGATATTTTATTTCCTTTTTTGATAGCTGCCCATCCTTTCACCAGGACGTCATTATTTTCCCCCTTCTGCCTTAATAGAGGTCTGCTCTTCTTTATTCTGCCTGTCTGATCTCTTAGTCTCTGCTTTCCTAATTCTGTTGCCTGCCAGATAATTCCTATCTAGTGTTGCTAATCTCTGACTAAACAATTCCTTTATTCAGTCACTTTTTTAAAGAAAGCACCCTCACAAACCAGTTTTAGAAATTCTCTGATTCTCGATAAATTACATGCTTGCCCATTTTTTCCCACAGCTTACATATCAATTACTGGAGCATAATTTCCCCTTACATTATGAATAGCAAATGTTGAGCAGAACAGCCCTGCCCAGTTGCAGAAGCCTGGGGAATGCAACACAGCAAAGACCTTTGAAATGTTTCCTATGCAGAGATTTAAGAAAGTTCTGGTTTGGGCTGGAGTGTTCCCTGTAATGACCAGAGTTGGAAATAATTTGAAGAGAAAATTGATGTTTTAGCAGAGGAGAGGAGTTATAAACCAAAGATCTGTGCCAAAAAAACAAACTATATTTAGAATAGTGTCTAGTGAGCAGTGCAGAGATAGGGATGCCAGGTACGAGTTGGAACACAAAGTGAGATAAAGTGATAGGGTTAAATCTAGGATATTAGGGGGACCACTTTTAGTGGTTGCATCCAATTTTATGGTACAAAGGAAGTCATTGCTGTCAAAGGAGCAGCATAAACTGAGGCACAGCACTCAACATCTAGACCTAGAATGTATATAGTATACTTGAGGAGGTTGGAAACCAGAAAAAATACAGAATGGTATCTTATTGAAGATCTGTGGATTCTTTGTACATTGGCTAAAATTCTCAAACAAAATTATCTCAAGATAATAAATAAGTCTTAGTTTGAGTTCCTCCCAAATCAGTGAGAAAAGCATTCAGATGCAAGCCAATAAAGGGTGCATTAATAAAATCCTGAGCACTGTGAGCAATGGTGGCCCAATCTTGCTGGGTACTCTCTGAAAGACTATGTAGACTATACCTCAGAATTTTCCTGCCACGAGACAAGAAAGTGAAGTATTTATCCACAAACTCATATCTTTCCTTGGTTGAAGGTTACTCCTGGAAGCATTAGCTTCCCTGCACTGTCATTCTGCTCCATGTACAAGAAGAGCATTCCTATGGCCAGGAAAGAGAGGCAGAGAACACAGGTGCTTGATGTCAGGAAACTGGTCATGGAAGCCACTAATGTCTTGCAAGGTAGGCTAAGGAGCTATGTATGAGTGGGGTGACTACAGTGTCTGCTACAAAAGGAAAGTATAATGATTTTCATATAACCAGGCAAATACACCAAGGGGTTGTGTTCAAGGCCACATCAAAATATGGTTTTGTCCTACTTTGGTCAGTCAGATCCAGGTCCTGTGGAGGAATTATGTTAGTCTGTTTCTGTCTTCTCCACTGAAATAAACATGCTGCCAGGACAGGAAAGAGTGGGGTGTTTTTGTTTTGCCTCATCTACCACCTAGCATAGTGCTTTGCTGAAACGAAATGATCTGAATTAAATTCTAGTGAAATTAGAAAGCAACTGCTTCATAAGATCCCCTTTTTCCTCAAAAATCAGAGCATTGGCTCATGGCAACTTGCTTCCCTATGTGTATTTTCTTAATGCCTCCAATCCTAGTGGAGCTAAATACACTGAATTAGCAATTACCGTAGAGCACATTTAGCAGACTTAGAAGCCTCTTTGCCCACCATTGGAATGCAGCCACCAGGATACAGCACAACAGCTGTTCAGCAGCTACAGTAACACAACATAAAAATTTATGATGAATAACCCAACTGGCATGTATCTCCCATATAACAGGTTGCATATTTGCAATCTCAGAGTCTCTTCTAGACCACTTTGGAACTTCTAGTAAAGAGAAAGCATGATAATATTCTTAAAGTAATTATTTTCTAGGAAAATAAAAGCAATTCATAATGTCCTTCAATCTTGCCCATTAGAACCAGAGGTGAAAGTGACAGGCCACAAAAGGCCTACATCTTTATTATGAAACTTAATGCCCAATGAAGCAAAAGCCTGTGTCTTTGGAAGAATGTACTCTGTGTTTTATGTGGTGATAGTGGTGGTATCCCAGACACGTAGGTAGCTATTCAGAGTTTACAAAGCTCTTGGATAATGCCACTTAAACCTAAAAACATATCCATTTAACTGGTTAGAAAATAAAGATCTAAAGAAGAAAAACAATAGGCCCGGAAACACAAAATAGCAAGGAGAGTGTACCCTCCAACCATGTTAGTTGCTTTTGCATCCTATGCCTTTTCCGCCACACCACCAGATGTAGCAAGACGAGGGGTTGTGGAGGGTGTGTTAGTTGTCCAAATGAAGTATAACCCTACCACTTTCTTTTAAAGGGCTCTATACATTGTAAATTGAGAGTCCCATGGACTCAAAAGAACACGCCAACAGGCATCAGGAGACCATTACTCCAGCCTTGGCACTTCTGCTTACTGCTGTATGATCTTGGATTAGTTATTTTACATATGAGTCTCAGGTTCCTCTCTTTAAAATTGTAAATTTTAATTGCTTGCTGATAATTTCCTATACTATTATAACAAAAATCCCACAGATTTATGCTGTATAAATTCTAAAGTGCCATACAAAAGGAAGGTGACCAGCATTTATTGAAGACTCGACAACACTCAGAGTTCTTTGCACATTTTGTTTCTATTTCTTTCTCACATTGTCAGGTGTATATCATCAATCTCATTTTTTATTGCTGGGGGAGGGTGTTGCAGCTCAGTGAGTTTCAGTTTCTTACCAGAGATCACACACCTAAGTGGGAACAGAATCTAAACTCAGTTCTGTGTGACTTTGAGCCCTGTCTTGTTTCCAATGCATCTGAAGCAACTGAATCTATACTAACACAGAGCATTATTGAGGGTAGAATGCCTAAAAATGTTCAGAAAATCAAGGGCCCCACCTCTGACACAGGTTGGCCAGCTTAAGCTATGGGAAACACTAACAGATCTGCTACTTCCACCAGTTCTTGGTCTTCCCTTCTTCTTCCTCATTCTCTTGTCCCAGTAGCAATATGCTTTATCTCACTATGACTGCTGATGGAGTCCCTGTATTAGGCATTGGGAAAAAAACTGTTCCTGCCCACAAGGAGGAGGAGCAACAAGCAAACAGACAAATACAATACAGTGTGCTCATGCACTTCCAGGGAGGTGAGCTCCGGAAAGTGCTGAGGGAGAGAGCCCAGAGACTTGCAGAACTACTCTTTTCCCTGCCAATGAAAAGAATCTGCTAACCTTAATTTATAAATAGATGCAAATGTATGAATGATAAGGTCTGAAATGGTAACTTTCATTAGGAGTACTTCCAGAGTTTATATTGAGAACATTTAGCAACAAAAGTGAATTGAGTACCAACCAATCAAAACAGAGATAGTTACAGCCCAGAGTCCTGGAGGCCCCCCCTCTGCTGTGTCTAAGGTTAGTTTAGCTGCTGGAGCACAGTGAGGTCCAGGAGGCCCCAGGGGAGGAGCTGTGGTAGTCAAAGAAGACAAATGAGGATGGGGCATAGGCCCTAGGGGGCTCAAGGCAGCAGTTATTGGTCAGTTGATGCAGAAATATTTCAGTATTTCCACAATGAATAGATCCCTGTAGTACCTGTTGAATACCAGTTGTTATTTGCTTTTAGAGGCCACTTGTATATTTGCCTTAAGCCTTCCTGAGATTTGTCTTAAGCTCTCCTGTAATATCTCGGACAACTTCAGGCCACAGAAAGAGGTGCCCAGTAATCACTCTGTGAGCACAGCTACCTGCTTTATGAGTGGATAATATCACATACCCATAGACTTTGAGAGATAACTTAGAAGATTGTTCTATGTTAAGAATTAATCCAGGGAGAAGACTTGCAGTTTGCAGAATCTCTTTGTTTTACTTTAGAGAAATAACCGCAACAGGGTTAAAACTCTTTTATGCTCTAGATTTGACAAAATACTTCCATATATACAATGCCATTTGCTTTTCACTACAGTATTATGAACTGAGCAAGGCTGCTATTATTATTTCCATTTTACAGATGAGGAAACAGAGGCACAGGAAGGATAACTAACAGAGACATACAGTAAGCAAATGACAAAACTCAGTGACTACTGAAGATGTGAAATATGAGCATCGGTGTCTGACTACCTGGAGTCGAGATATGGCTTCGACTCTTCGTTGGCTGGATGACCTCAAATGAATTATATTTTAATCATGGTAGTGTTGGTTTCCTCTTTTGTAAAATAAGGACAATATCAGTATCTAATTCTTAGGCTTGTCTTGAGGATTAAATGAGGCAATGTTTTAAATGACATGGTGCTTAGCACATAGTAAGCACTCATTAAATAATGACCACTTTTACTAGAAAACCAGTCTTCTTACCCCTAATTGAATGTCCTCTGTGTTATTACAACTTATTATTACCATCATTTTCATATCTACTAACACAGTCAAAAACTAAACCCCACTTTATGGAATCAAAACAGAACCTGAATAATTTGAAATACCAACTGTTGCTGGTATAGTCTTTTGGTACTAAGTGTTGTGTGACAATATTTACATATTTTAGTGCCAATGGAAAAATACTAAGGAAAACAAACACATATGAGCAAATAAAAAGATTTCATGTTGATATGCTGTAATACACGAATCTCTTCATTCTACAGTATATTAAAACTCACCAGAGAATTTGAAGCTCCTTATCACAGTAGGATATTGGTTAATTCTACAGCCAAAATATTAGGGCTAGTAAAGTTAGAAAGAATGGCAGTGCACTTATCACATGGAGATAGATTTATTTTCTCAAATCTTCTTTGTGCAATAAGCCATTCTATCCAATTTTTGCATCAAGTTTTTCAAGCTGTCAACCTGTGGACTTTAACTCTTCACCACTTGTTTTAGAAGTAGGGGGTACATAGGACAAAAAGATTGGTTTTAATAGTCTTCTGAACCTAATAAGATTTTTATATATCTTTAGAAGGCTCACATTTCATGGTCTGGGGTCGGGGGAGGGAATATTTCACTCGAAAGCCTTCTATGAGATGAGTGAACAAATTGCCAAAACAATTCAAGAATGGTTTGGATGACAGAGCATGGGTTAAAATAAGAATGCAATTCTCATATTTGATTTTATTTGAGGCATTCTCTTCTTTGCCCCTTGAATCAGTAAGCATTTTGTTTTGCTCTGAATTTTAAAATGCATACATTTCTTTGGACACTGTGAATTCTTCCTGAATTTATAAGACACAAAGCTGTTGGTCGCTGCTACTGAAAATTCACTAGCGTTCTGAGTTCCGGCACTGTTCATTGGATGAGAACTGTTTTCAAAGATGTAACTTCTCCACCTCTGTTCTCAGGAACTTTGCAAATCTGGATTTCCTGGCCTACCACAACCACACCTGTGACTCATTAGCTAAGTTTATCAATATCATAAGCCCAGATATACAACCTAATTGTCCCCTGGTGTGCAAAAATGCCAGGCTGCTACAAATCTCAGTAGGTGGCATTATATGAAATTACTCCCTACAGCAGAAAATTTCTCTCTTAAGCATTTCTGGATTTCCAAAAATGTGGAATCCCCTCCGCCTCTTTTTCAGGGGGAGGATGCGTGAGCCAAGTGAAATTTTGCAGAAGTATTGCTTCTTTACCATTGTTAGATCTGGTCCTCACTCCTAAGAAAAGTGTTGATCTTTGCAGTTAGCTCCTTTCAAACTGCCAATAGTCCTGAGAGAAAATCCCTGAGGCTCTCACCCTCATTTTTTGCCTCTGAGCCTTGGCTGGGTTATTCCCTTATTGGAGTGTGCTTTGTTCCCCCTCTTTAATTATTATTTAAATCCTTGGCATTCTTTTAAGCCCAGATCAAGCCTTATGTTGATTATTGAGCCTTCCCTCCCTGATAAATTCCAGCTTCCCCATTTTCTTCTTTGAACAATTAATGCATTCACCCATCCATTTCGCAAACAAAAAGATTTAAGTGAATAGCTACTTTCTTAGTCAGTTCAGACTGCTATAACAGAATAGTATAGACTGGGTGGCTTAAACAACAAACATGTATTCTCACAGTTCTGTAGACTGGAAGTCTGTGATCAGGTTGCCAGCATGGATGGGTCCTGGTGAGGGCCCTCATCCTGGTTTACAGATGATTGACTTCTCATTGTATTTTTACAGGGTGGAGACAGAGAGTGCTGATCTCTTCATATCTTCATAAGAAGGGCTCATGACCTAATTTCTTCCCAAAAGCCTCACCTCCAAAAACCATCACATTGGAGATTTAGCCTTCAACTTAAGGTTAACATTTAGTCCATAGTGTAAACAAAGGGTAGAATTCAAGATGGTAGAATTAATGATGGTAGTATTTATACTGCTTGGAAAGTTAATGTAAGGAAAATTTTCATTCAGACCAGGCAAAAGGGAGAATCAGATTTGCTTATGAAGTAGTAATGTTCCTTTCACTGGAGGTAATTGACCGTTGTCTGAACAGTGGATCAGGAGTCCCATTCTAGAGAGGACTCAAGTATTACATAGGTCATTTAAAGAACACTAAGATCTTTGAGATTATACCACACTCTATACTACAGAGTATAGACTCATTAAGAATGGAAACCTTACCTTATACTGTTTCTGTATCTTAAAAAGCAAAGCATGTTTTGGGGAGTGGTTACTTCATTCCAAATTGATTGAATTTACTAGATGTCACATGAAACTTACAGAGCATGTCAATTATACTAAATTTATAACACTTCATGTGATATCTTTCATTACTTTATATCAATAGAGAAATATGGTTTAGGCCTTCTGATTAAAATGATGCCAGGTCTGGTCATAGGCAAAAATAAAAGTCTGAAAAATACATTCCTGGGTTGATAACTACTCAGAAGAAATAATTGTTTTTTATTTTGAAGTTGGTAATTCTGCCTTTGCTGTTTCTTACTTTTTTAAGAATTAAGTGAGCAAAATAATAAGACTCTGCCTTGCTATATATTTTGTTGTTTTTGTTGTTGTGCCAAAGAACTTGCACCCTTTATCATTTAACCCTTACAACTGTCCTGTAAAGTAGCTATTGGTAAAAGTAATAGTTTGTTAGTTTTCCAGAGGAAACTTAGGCTCAGAGGTTGAGTGACTTGTTCAAGATCATGCAGCCATTAGTAAAACATAATCCCAATCTCTTTACTCTTAAAACCTTAATGGCACTAGCAGCATAATGCAATTAGCATATTTATACACTGCAACTTTCAAGAGTTGATAAGTGAATGTAATCTAGGCAAAATAAATTTAAAATGCAAATATTTGAGTTTGTGATATAAAAATCAGCTTCTGTAGTTAGTTAAATGCTACTTGAATGTGGGCTGTACTTGTTTCTGCATCTGAATGAAAGGGTTATTGCATATATTATCTTCAAGAACTAAGCTGAAAATGAAAAAAGATGTGCTAGTGTTTCAGAAATCAGAGATAGAGATATGTTATGTTTTGGGCAGAAGAAATTGTAAAGAAAGATGCAGGGAGGGAAGCACTTGTGTCAAAAATGTCAGCATGTTGAAACTGAGTCACTTAAAAAATTGAGTAGAGGGCATAAAGGACCATTTAAAGAACAAAGCAAGTTTATGTATTAGATTGAATGAATAGTGAATAAAAACATAGGGGAGTTTTAGCTGCAGGCTCCAAAACAGAAGCATGGAAGTCACTATCTCCCATTTTTGTATCTGGGGATATGATGTACTCGACAGAGTACCAAGGTGGGGAAGCGCCTGCTGCTTAGTGCTTGACCACTCTTTACCCTCTGCCACCCACACTATAATAAGAAACAGACAGCAGTGCTCCCAAGAGCAGGCCTATAACCTCATTGATGCTTCTTAAGTGGCCATAAAGAAGTTGACTAAGCATGAAATTTCATCATTAAAGTTTATGCCTTTAGTTGGGGGGAGGGGAGGAGAAACAAAAATCATGACTAAATTAAAAAGAGGAGGAGGAACAAATGATAACAGCTCGTATGAAAAGATGATGTGGTTCCTAGGAGATAGTTAAGTCTTAGCAGGGAACCAAAGATACTTTCAGTTCTAAATCCAATGTGTGCTGCTGACTCTTACCCTTCCTGTTATTCAGAAGAGAGAAGGAGGGAGAGTGCAAAGAAGTTCCGCTGTTGATACCCGAGCATGACATAGCAGCTAGTGTTTTGCTGAATTGTGATGAAGGAATGTTGACAACCTTTTCAAAACTTACAAGGAAAGGGACTCTGTTGGAGGAACTCAAAGAAAAAAGTATCCATTGAAAGGATAAGTTAGTATTTATATTTTAGTGCAATTGTGTGGAATTGGTTTGGAAATTTACACACTGTCACTGAGGTGACAAAAAGAAATGTCTTAATTTTCTGTAATTGTTTTATTTCTCACAGTCTTCTACTTGCTCAGTAGACCGAAGTTAGGTTGGAATGGAGAGGACGTTGTTTAACCATTAACAATGTCTTTGTCTCCTTCAGTCTATATAGTGTATTTTCCATATTTAGATATCCTTTAAATAAATGCTAATTTTCACATTTATCCCACCTTCTCCTGATGCTGCTTAACATGGTGTCTGGCTCCAAGATAAGAGGCTAGACGAGCTCATACAACTGAAGTAGATGAAAATCTTGGAATGAGGCCTGAAAGTCAGTAATGGGGCTCATTTCATAGTGGGAACCTCCATCTGTTCTGGGCTTCAGGCTGATGACCACAGAAGTATTACGGTCCTATGAAGCCTTTGGGGGTGATATGCTGACAGTGACTGCTGGACTCTCATTCTAGCCAGCTTCCTCTTTATTTCCACCTTGGACCTCTGATATTTTATCCACCCTCTCCGCACCCCCATGCCAATTTAACAGAACCCATAGAAACATCTGGATCCCTTGCATACCACATGAAAGAGTGGGGCACCAAGAACTCAGCCTCAGAATTATCTCTTTAGCTCCTCTCCTTCACCAGAGATAAACCGCCCACCCTGACCTGGATCAGGGTGTCCCAGGACAGCTCTCTCTTTCCAGGCAAATAAGTGAGAGAAAGGGACCAAAGCTTTACTGAGTCTAGTCTTCTCTGCAACCTTTCCATCACATGAAAGTCAGAAGCCACTTCCATAGTCTGCCAACTTGCCCATCTTCCTTAGTCTAATGGCTCAAAGGGGCCATCTCTCCATTTTCTTTGTTTCTCTGGAAGAAACTTCCCCCAATTTTATCTTCTAATTTCCCAGGGCCACTAAACCTCATGGCTTAGCTGTAATGGTAGACGGGGAGCAAGAAGAGAAATCTGCTTACCAGCGAGAGAGCACGTAGTGAGAGATATTTACAAATGACTGCATTCATACAAATCATTACATTTACACTCTATCATAGACTGTAATGATATAAAATTCAGGGCTTCCTTGACACTATTGAAATGCTTAGGTGGAATGGCCTATTTAGCAAAACATATATTCATTTTGTAACGAAAACTTTTGAAATATCAAGCTGGTAAAATTCAGATCGTTTTTTGTGAGACAAAATATTATTTTGCTAAATAGAAGTTATCATAAGAATCAAATACCAAAAAGAGGTTTGTTTGTTTTTTTAAAAAAAGTGACGGCAGTAAATATTTAGTGTATGAATAGGATTGTCATATGTCATCCCAGAGGGGACATTTTCAGCGCACATCATTCCTGCTGCCTTTCAGGCATTTCTCCACACAAACGCAGAGAAACATTGCTCTAAATAACCACCCTCTGCGACTTTAAAGCTTTACTTTTCTTAGGGTGGCCTCATTTTATTCAGCTCAGGCGAGGCTGCAAGATCTACCTAAGTTCTGTTTTGGGGAATCATTAAGAAGTAGATAGCTCCTTTGACTGTTTAAACATTTTCCTGATATAACTGACTAACATAATACCAAGAAGTTGATCTTAATGATTCAACTGCTGGATATCCCTTAAATTTGATAAAGACTTCATAAGAATAGAAAAAAAAAAAAAAAAGACTTGTTTTCTGCTGAGGCTCATATCAAAAAGGGACTGCTCATCTTCAATTTCTATTTCAATTTTATTTTAGCAGGTTGTTTGATTCCATGATTCCTTCTTTGCATTCTACCCTTTAAAAATTAAACTAAAATGAACACACACAAATAATTTAAATGAACAGTTCTTCTTCTTTACCCTCAATGTCTAACCATTGTGTGTTGTATTTTCATAAATGAGTCACCTGTACATATTCACTATTTAGATGTGGTCTCTCAATTATTGTGTTTTCGCTTACTTGTTCATTTGTAGTATATATTATTAAGAATTTATGGTAATAGGCATAGCTATGATTCTTTGGTGTATTCACTAAGTGATGTTTAACAAAAAGAGAGAAAAAAGGATGATGTTTCAGGAGCTCATTTTTAACCATAATCTGAGTAAATATGTCCTTAAAATACTTTCCCTTCAAACTTGCTCTGTTTTCATTTGGGCAATACCCCCCTAAGACTGTACATGTCAGTATCATTAAAACAGTGCTTTTGTATATATTGTTCCAAACCCAAAGTGAGAACAAATAAACATATCCAACAAAGTACACACTGTGTGTCCATACTGGCATACTGGTCAGGAGAGAATCATAAATGCTTTCTCTCTGCCTTAGGTTTTTAATTGCAAAAATCCCTTAAAGGGCTTATATTGTTTATCCATGATTCTGTAAATTCCTGTATTCATTTTACATTCTACTGCTCTCCTCCTCGTGCATTTCAAAATCAGGACAAAGAGCCAGTCAAGGAAAGAAAATCTTTACAAAGTACTCTTCTAATACAGCTGCCTCCTACTCTTCTTCAATCTAATATTTATTAGCTTCTTGGTTTTGTAATTAATTGATAAAGAGTTTATAGAGATTAAAAATTCTCACAAGAGTCATCATCTGCCAAAGCAAATTCTACTGGCTTTGTAGGTGAAATGTGGTAATAAATGGAAGACAGATGAAAGGAGTGAAACAATGATACCTATATGATCTAAAAGCAAAAAGAAAAAAAAAGTGGTATTTAATTCCTTCAATGTCTTGAGAATCCATCACTCAGACCTTTAGCAGAAATCTAATTCTCCAGTTGCTGGACAAAGTTAATTAATTTGCCAATATATTTCATCTTCCAAGTGACAGCCTTGTCTACTCTAGGCAATGAGGAAAGAGGAGGCTGAAACTGGAGCATGAAACGCTGGCGGGCTCACATGGCACGACTAACCTTGGAGAATCGAGGTGACACCAGCTCATTACGTCTTCTCTAAATGAGCTTCTCGTGAAAGGGAAATATTTTGATTAAGGTAGTGAGGGGGGCACTTGGCAATGCTCTCCATGTGCTTCTTCTAATTGCTCTACTCTACACTTGTTTCTTCAAAGGAAGGGTGCCTGCAGGGAAAGGGGCCCTCCTGGCTTTTGTTGTCAGCCCCAAGGTGGGGTGGAGAGATGTTTGCTTTTGTTTCCTGATTGCTGCAGGCACTGTTTTTCTTGCCTTAATCTCCAGTGCTTTCATTGGATCCACTCAAACTGAGTGAGAGACAAATTTCTTTTTTTGTTTGTTTGTTTATAAATTATTTATTTATTTTATTTTACTTTAAGTTCTGGGATACATATGCTGAATATGCAGGTTTGTTACATAGGCGTACATGTGTCATGGTGGTTTGCTGCACCTATCAACCCATCATCTAGGTTTTAAACCCGGCATGCATCAGGTATTTGTCCTAATGCTCTCCCTCCCATTTTCCCCCACCCCCCAACAGGCCCCAGTGTGTGATGTTCCCCTCCTTGTGTCCATATGTTCTCATTGTTCAGCTCCCACTTATGAGTGAGAATATGCAGTGTTTGGTTTTCTGTTCCTGTGTTAGCTTGCTGAGGAGGATTGTTTCCAGCTTCATCCATGTCCCTGCAAAGGACATGAACTCATTCTTTTTTATGGCTGCATAGTATTTCACAGTGTATATGTGCCATGTTTTCTTTATCCAGTCTATCATTGATAGGCATTTGGGTTGGTTCCAAGTCTTTGCTATTGTAAACAGTGCTGCACTAAACATACGTGTGCATGTGTCTTTATAAATCAAATGTCTTCAGTTAGTGACACACACTGCCAAGATTCTAGCATGAGATTCAGTAGAGACTACAGAGTTCTAGATTGGGCCATTTATTTTCTGTGTACAGATTTCCAACTACAAGGATCCTTTCCCTGTATTCAAATCACTTCACAGGCTTATATACTTCCATAGTATTAGCAGAATAATTACAAAGACAAAACAGGAGTGATGGTGAGAGAGGGAATAAAAGTGAATTCATGGTGGAGTTCTGGCTTAGGTTCTGCCTTGTTCCCAATCTATAGTTCTGTGTTTCTCTGTGAGGCTGGATTCCTTGGCCCCATCTGCTGGCATAGCAACATCCCAGTTTGCTGAACACAAAGGAATAGAGAATAGTCATCAGTATAGTGAACAAGAGGGAAGAGGTTAAGGACAACGTTAGAGATTTATAAAGCAAAAAGGTCATGCATGGCTTTGTTGCCCATATGATGGAGTTTGGCTTGTGTTCCGTGTGCAACAGGGAAGCTACTGAATGTATTTAAATGGGGGAATTAAATGACTTGAACTATGTTTTAAAAATAATATTCTAGCTATTATGCAGAGGATGGATGCGTGAGGAGAAACAGTAAAATTAAGGCTGCTGTTGTAAGAGTCTTAGTCAATGAAGATGGTGATTTGTAAAGGCTGACTGAAGATTTTTACTGAAGACAGAGCAAACAGGTTTGGCAAAGGGTTGGATATGAAAAATGAGGAAAAATGGGGAAATTAGTATGTTTTATAGGTTCTTGGTTTTGACCTACTGAGTGGACAGAACATAAGCACCAGAGAACTCAGTCATTTTGGAACTTGAGCCTTGATATGATCTTAATAGTTCCTATCCAAAGAGTGGTGGACACTGCCCCCAGATCTCAGTTTGGTGGCCAGATCCTGTAAGCCAACTTTTCTGGTACTTTCTACTTTATTCTCCTGAAATCTTGTTGCCCTTTTCAGCAATTTCTCATTTGCTGGGCCTTTCCCTGCTAAGTCTCGAAATAGAAAAGATAAATACAGTGATAACAAAATCCATGGAAAATTTTTACAAGAATTTCCTCTCCCTTTGAGTCCAGTATCCCCAGAAATGGCTACTCTGAGAATTACCCCTTCTCTTTGGCTGTCCTCATGCACCACAAAGTTTATACAAATTTTAATTATTTGTCCAAAGCACTCAGCCCATTATTTCTCCAGAATGTACAAAAACAATGACAAAAGGCAACCTTGTAGAAATAATTATACAATCATGAGGAACTAGGGGAGTTCATGCCAAAAAAAAAAAAAAAAAAAAAAAAAAAAAAAAGGACGGAAAATTTTACTGAAAATAGAGAGAAAAAAATTCAAATGAAAGAGAATCGTGTGTTCCTTTCTGAAGATCAAAGCTATTCTGTCTTGCTAGTGAGCATCCATTTGGAAATTTCAAGATACATATCTCATTTTCTATCTTGCAAAGTAGAAAAGCAAAAGTACTGTTTCTCTTCATTTAGTAATCAGAGATTTATTTCTGAGATAGTTTTACAATATACCAATCAAATGAATTGTAGCTAAGTATTCATTTTATTCAGGTGCTAAAGGTCCAGTGAACTAATGAACAAGAGGACCATTTGCTTCATTCAAGAGTGTAGAATTCCTATACCAAAAAAAAAGGTGAAAAGAAAAGAAAAAAACAAAAACACTGATTCACAAACGGTGTTAAGGAAATCTGTAAACCAGTTTTAAAAAAAGATCAATCACCTCCTGCAATCTAAAAATTGGGGTATAAAGCAATTTTTATAATTCCAGATAGCGCTAAAGAGCTTGAAATTGCTTCATTCTTTTAAAAGAAAACATTATTCTAACTAAACTTTCCACCCAGTTGTCATGACAACCTTGCCATTTTCTACCATGTAGAGACAATTAGATATTAACCTGGGCATTTAGAGAAAGACACTCCTAACTTAGACAAAGTCTTGTTGATTTGTGTTTGGCTGAGTAGGCCAAAAAATTGCTATTAGAATTCTTCCCAGTGCTAATATTCTTTAAGCCTTGTAGGCCATTGTCTTAGAAAGGAGTAGCACTGATTCTTACAGATAACCCAAACACATTCAACAAAAAGGGAGTATAAACTAAGTTGTATTAACTAGTACTCTACCAGCTGCAAAACTAGAGGATAAGAATTATATTTTTGGTTTCTCTGACATAAATCTTTAATATAATAACTGTCATCACTGTAGGTTCATATTAAAATGGAAGAGCAATTTCCCTGAGATTTAATTGGGGGAAAAATTCATAGGGAATTGTATATCCATGTTTTCACAAACAGCTGTTATTAAATCTGTAGCTGTAACTCTTTCATTTACTTACATATCTTGTGAGAGGCAGCAAGGGAAGCAATGAGTTGGAAACCACCTGAGAATGCAGGAATTAATCCTTCCTTTATTAAGGTTTTTGTCTAACTGGCACCCTTTCTTTTCTCATCAATTCAGATAATAAAATTCTTTTTGGGTTTTTTCATTATCTTCCTTGCTATTAACGTTTTTCCTACTTACTTAATAATGCTCAGGGTGGAAGAGGGGTGGAGGCATATGTTTAGGAAGGCGGAACTGTTTTAGATTAAGCAGAACTCATGAAATGTATCTGAGTCATTGTTATCGCAGAGCATCTGTTTAACTCCACAAGCATTTCTCTGGTTAATGTAGACGTTTACATAGACTGGAGCTATCCCAAAAATATGTGCCATACAGATGAGAAACAAGATGAAATGCATTCAAAATGTGACTATAAAAGAGCAACGATTTTTGTTAGAAAAAAATTGGATTTTTCTCTTCAATGTACTAAACAAAGGAAGTGATATATTTTCTAATTATGTTGTCATTGTTCAAAATATTTAGGGAGCTTTTTTCTTCAAAATTGCTTCTAGAATCTCTTGCATGTTATTTTGATTGTCCTAAGTGAAGCAAATCTGTATTCTTTAAGAGTAAGCCACGTCTATTAAAAAGATGGATGTTCAAGTTCAGCAAAATCATTTTTACTTTAATATTTTTAAACTTTTAAAAGGAGCCACTAAGGTTGTATATGTGTGCATCCCAGTAGGGGGACAGCTGGCTATATTCATATGCTAGAGCCGCTATAAAAACCACAGACTGGCTGGGCACAGTGGCTCACACCTGTAATCCCAGCACTTTGGGAGGGAAATTAAGTCTGAAATTAAGGTGTCAGTAGAGCCTTCTGAGGGCTGTGAAGGAAGGATGTGTTCCAGGCATCTCTCCTTGGCTTATAGATGGCCATACGGCCATCTTTTCCCTTTACGTTCACATTGTCTTCCCTCCCTCCGCACATGTCAGTGTTCAAATTCTTCTAACTTATAAGAACACCAGTCACATCGCATTAGGGCTCACCCCAAGGACTTCATTTTAACTTAATTACTGCATTGAGGACCCTCCCAATACAGTCTCATGCTGAAGTACTGGGGCTGGAACTTCAACATGTGAATTACAAAGGCAAGGGAGGGAATTCAGGCTATGCAGTGGGTGTGACTTCTCAATAGAATGTGAAGGCCATTCCCACAGGAAAGCTTCTGTGAAGGAATACATTCCTCCTCAGAGGTTGTATCAGTTATCTTTTGCTGCATGACAAACCATCCTAGGATTAAGTCGCTTATTCTCATAGTTCTGAGATGATCAGATGGTTTTTTGGGGGGATTTTTTTCTTTTGCTGGATTTACCCAGGCTCACTTACATGGTTTTTTTAAGGGGAAAGTCCTCTGGACTAGAAGATAGACGATTAGACTCATTCACACATCTAGCAGTTGGTCCTGAAGGAAGGATGCTCTGTTCTTTTCAATAGGAACTCTCATTCTCCAATAGCTTAGACTAGCTTCCTTGCATGCTGTTCTCAGGGCAGTGTTGTAAGAGGGCGAGGAAGAATCTGTAAGGTCTCTTGAGGCTTAAACTATGGAACTCATATGCTTTCACTTTGGCATATTCTTTTGTTCAAAGCAAAGCACAGGCCAACCCAAAGTCAAAAGAAGAAGAAGTGGGTTTCTCCCACCTCTTGATGGGAGAAACTACAAATAAATTGTGGCCATATCTAATCTGTCACAGATATATAAGCAAATTCTGGTAAGTCTGTCAAAACATTAATCTTCCATTTTATGCCATAATGTTTAGGTACAATAATTTTTGCGGGGGAGGATAGGAAATAGTGGCACACATAAACCCAAACAATTTTTTTAACTCCCACTATTTGTTTTTTTTTAATGTTTTATTCCTGCTTTATTAAATCTTATTAATTTTGATGAAATATTACATACTTTTTTTGTAAACTTTGTTTGCATTAAGCACACACTGGCCAGATGATGAAGGAGGTAATCTAAGAAGGTGCTGAAGAGTAGAAAACAGAAGCTTATAGATAGAGTATGTTAGTTTCTTTCATGTTCCAAGGAACAGAGAAGTATAGCTACTGGGGTGATAAAGCCATCTTGGAAAGATACACGAACAAGTAAAGGAAAATTGAGAGGCAGCCAAACTGCATAGAGAACTCGCACATAGTAGTAGGCATCTGTTGCATGGCAGGGCAACTATGTTAGTTCCCCGAGGCTGTTGTAACAAATTACCACAAATTTGGCAGCTTAAAACACAGAAATTTATTCTCTCACAGTTCTGGAGGCCAGAAGTCCACATTCCTGCAGAGCTGTACTGCCTCCATGGGGTCTAAGGCAGAATTTCTCCTTACCTGCTCCAGCTTCTGGTGGTGACTCCAGCATTCCTGGGCTTGTGTTCACATCCCTTCAACCTCTGCCTCCATCTTCACTTTACCTTCTCCTCCATTTTCTGTGTCGTTTCCCTTCGCCTCTCTCTTATAAAGATGCTTGTGATGGCATTAGGGCCCATCAAGATAATCCAGGGTAGTCTCATCTCAGAAATCTTAATCACATCTTCAAAGACCCTTTCTTTCAAATAAAATAGTTCACAAATTCCAGGATTAGAACCTGATATCTTTGGGTGTCCATTATGCAACTTACTACAGCAACCTTCAGTATCAGGCTTTCTTCAGCCTCCAGTGCTGAGCCGCTGCAGAGGACAAATAAGACATGAGAAGGCAAGGATCGTGTGGATATCCAGCTGTGCCGGCCTGCCTTGTTCTCCCTCATTACCAGCCCCAGCGCATGGCACTCCACTCAACTGTGTTCTGGAGAAGTGTGTGCAGTTCACTATTATTCCAGATTCAGAGGCTTTTCTCAGTTGTAGTGAGTATAAGATAAGAAGATATGTCTCTAGTATTTTTCTGCGAATAAATCCTCTTGTGTTAAAACACTTGCATTAATTCTCCTGAATCCTAGTTAGGAGAGGCAGCTAAGCTTAGTAGTGAGAAGAGCTCAACCTTTAGCTGAATTAGAGCAGAGAACGCAGAAATGCTCACTGATGCCTTCCTAGATGAAAGCCAGGCCAGAGAACTCTGAGCTTCTATATCCCAAATACATTACAGAGGGGCAGAAATGACTCCATGCATTTCGAGGAGCAATTGATTCCATTTTTAATCTATCTTTGGACAATTAGTAGCCCTTGTAAGAAGTGCATAGACATAATATTTTACATGTAATTTTAGAAGGGGTAATAATTTCAAGTGCAACACAAGATAGAATATATGATTCAGAAAGACAGGCATTTTGGAATTTTTGCATTTCAACTGCCCAGAATAGAACCAGGAATAACTAGAGCCTTGTTAAAACCTTGCTTTAAGAGGCCCTACCAAGCACACGAGATTTAGTGATAGTTTTTCCATGGAGCACAATTCCCTGACATGCACTTAATGAATTATAGGTTTTTGGCTACCAGTTACCATCATGTAAGCATAGTTACTAAGGCATGAGGTCATTCTAGTACTTGCCTTAAAACAAATTAGTTAACTCTATGTAACGGTGTCACTGCATATAACTCAGAGGATGCTTGACAACACAATCTCCAAAGGCTATGGAATTTCCATATGCCTAAGAATCATTTGGTTGGTTTGTTAAAAATAACTACTTCCTGCTGGGCATAGTGGCTCACATCTGTAATTCCAGCACTTCGGGAGGCTCGGGTGGGAGTATTGCTTGAGACCAGGAGTTTGAGACCAGCCTGGGCAACATAGCGAGCCTCTGTCTCTTTAAAAAAAAAAAAAAAAAAAATTAGCTGGGCATGGTGGCATGCACCTGTAATCCTGGCTACTGCAGAGACTGAAGTTGGAGGATTGCTTGCACCCAGGAGTTCAAGGTTGCAGTCAGCTATGATCGCACCACTGCACTCTAGCCTGGGAGGCAGAGTGAGACTCACTCTCTCTCATTGTGTGTGTGTGTGTGTGTGTGTGTGATGTAGTATACATACATATATGTGTATATATATTAGTTTGATGCCAAAGTAATTGCGGGTTTTGCCATTGAAGGACATGGCAGAAACTACAATTACATTGGCACCAACCATGTGCTGTATATATACACTGAGCCAATTGCTCCATAAATTCTGATTCAGCAGAAATGTGGTACCCAGATGCCTCAGATATAGGTGGTTGAGAACTGCATGTTGAGAAACACTGCCCTCAGCAGCATTCCAGAACTTCCAGTTTATGATATTCCATGTTCTAGCAGAGCCAACACACAAGTCTTACTCAATAGGTAGCAGAGGTGAGATGTGGAAAGACAGCTGTGCTGAAAACAGTGTTTCTAGTTTGTTTCCATCATGTTTTGAAGGCATGAGTAATCAAAGTTGTAGGCATTCCTTCTGGTCATAACAGTATTAATAAATAGTATTAATAATGGTATTACAACAAAGTACCTAGAATTGAGCCTTCATTACAGGAGAAAATGTCTTTTTTTTTTTTTAACAGTAAAAAGAAATGGTGCTTTATCCTTCTTGATGTTTGGTTCACTCCTAGACATCTGTCATTTCTGAATCCATGTCATATATCTCAGCTCCACTTTGCAATCTTGTATCAAAGAGAGAGCATGCTGTCAGTTTCTGAAAATATTTGAGACACACATACACACAAAAAGGCCCAGAGAGAAAGTTGAACTCTCTCATTGGTGGAAATGAGCTACCTGTATAATCACCAGGTTTCCATCCATACATCTAGAGAGTGTTTTTCTGTTATGATACTTTAACGAAGCTCTGTGTGAAAACTCACTTATATGACCTATTTTTATCCATGTTAACTGTATTCTAGCACATAAAAATTAAAAAATAAAATATTAGAGGGAAAGTTTTAAGTTTATGTTTAATGACTTTTTACTTCATGGGGATTTCAGAGCAAGGTCATGCTTTAGAAGTTTAGAGTAATAGATTATTTGATGGAATCATAATGATTAGATTGTCCCCAGGAAAACTGGGACAGAATGGGCCATGCTTAGTAAGCCCTGCATCTAGCAGAAAGCATCAAGGTCTTTAGGAGAAGTGGCTGTCCTGGTTCTTTCTTCTTTGCACTGAGAGACATTGATTACCAACTTGTAGATTTTTCCTGACATGACTCTTTCTGGGTTTGTCCTTGACAAAACATCCAGGAACCTGAGCAACATGCTAATTCAAGATGTACCACTAAGATCTTTGAGACATGCTTATACACTACAGGTCTTTAGACAGCTCATAATTCAGAAGACACATAATTTGAAAGCATATTTAAGTTTTTTTAATTTAGCACTAACTGCTATGGCCTTTTTACTTTTAAATTTCCTCTCCCCAGTTGTGGTTTTAATTCAGTTTTGTAGAATTGACTTTCAATAAATCATTAAGTTGCTGATAAGGCCCTAGATAATTTGAATAATATGGCTAATACATTTGATCTCTTAAGTATATATCAAACTTTAGTCCCTGAAAACAGAGAAAAGAATTTATCTTTAAACAATTATAGAATGTTTACAAAAATAGAGCATATATTACCTTCCAAGATAAACCTCAATAAATTTGAACAAAAGAAAAAATACTCATAAGTGGGAGTTGAACAATGAGAACACATGGACCCAGGGAGGGGAACATCACACACTGGGGCCTGTTGGGGGGTGGGGAGGTAAGGGGAGGGATAGCATTAGGAGAAATACCTAATGTAGATGATGGGTTGATAGGTGCAGCAAACCACCATGACACGTGTATACCTATGTAACAAACCTGCACGTTCTGCACATGTATCCCAGAACTTAAAGTATAATTAAGAAAAAAATACATATTGACTTGTTACTGAGACCTTGGTAAATTCACTTTTGACGTCTGGTAGCTTCTTTGTAGTTTCCTATGAATCGTGTGTATGTGAATAAAGCCACTTTAACTTCTGTTTAAAAAAAGAAAAAATACAGGATTTTTTTTTTTTTTTTTTTTTTTTTTTTTTTTTTTTTTTTACAAACTGTAATTACGGTATAAACCATTGACAAAAAGAAAAAGTAATGTGGCCACGCACGGTGGCTCACACCTGTAATCGCAGCACTTCGGGAAGCCAGAGGGGGCCAGGGGTGGATATCTCTTGAGGTCAGGAGTTGGAAACTAGCCTGGCCAACATGGTGAAACCCTGTCTCCATTAAAAATACAAAACAAAATCATTAGCCAGGAGTGGTGACACCTGCTACTAGTTCCAGCTACTTGGGAGGCTGAGGCAGCACAATCGCTTGAACCTAGGAAGCAGAGATTGCAGTAAGCCCTGATTGTGTTGCTGTACTACAGCTTAGGTGACAGTGAGACCCTGTCTCAAAAAAAAAGAAAGAGTAATGTACCTAATAACGTAAAACTTCAACAAAATAAGTTAAATCTATATTTTTAACAATACTTATGTCTAAAACAAAAGTACAAAATACCTAGAAAATAGTGACTATATTAACACTTTTTGTGATGTACATTAAAAATGTGTTTGGAGGGGCTGGGCGCGGTGGCTCATGCCTGTAATCCCATCACTTTGGGAGGCCGAGGTGGGCAGATCACCTGATGTCGGGAGTTCGAGACCAGCCTGACCAACATGGAGAAACCCCGTCTCTACTAAAAATACAAAAATTAGCCGGGCGCGGTGGCACATGTCTGTAATCCCAGCTACTAGGGAGGCTGAGGCAGGAGAATCGCTTGAACGCGGGAGGTGGAGGTTGCAGTGCACCGAGATTGCGCCATTGCACTCCAGCCTGGGCAACAAGAGCGAATCTCTGTCTCCAAAAAAAAAAAAAATGTGTTTGGAGGAAAATACATAGCCTGAAATGATTACATGACTAAACAATATACTTGAGAAGTATTCAACTGAGAAGACAGAAAAACAAAAACAAATGTATCCCAAAAATTGAAATTTTGAAATTTTAATTAAAAAAGAATGATAAATTCAAGTGCTGATTCTAAAAAAAAGAGGAAGAAAAAGAATCAGCATAGTGAAGAAAGGAGAAGGCAAAATGACCTAAATTAGAAATAATAACAGATCAAATCACCCCTGAGAATAAAAGAAATTTTAAATATAATAAATGAATACTCTTAAACTTTTCTCAACATACTTTGAAAACATGAGTGAAATGAATATTTTTAAGGAAACTAAAAATTATCTAAATTATCTAAATTGAAATAATTACATATGTAATATATAATCAAGAGAGACACTGAGAAAATTATCAAATAGCCAACTATCAAGATAGAGGCAGGATCAGAAATGCTTTTAGGTGCTTTCTTTGAAATATTCATGGAAAATGCCTCTAATACAATAAAAAAGAACAATAAATTCTCTTTTAAGAAAATTGAAAACAATTATGCAAGAAAGAAATAAAAGGCATCTCATCATGTGAATATTGATACAACTAGCATAAAGAAAATGTCACCAAAATGAATTCAAGCAGAAATGAGTATAATGTTACACTATGACCAAGTGAGGCCTATTTCAGAAATGCAAGGATGGCTCAATAATAAAAAACTATTAAAGTATTTCAGCTCATGAATAAGTTAACAAGGGAAAATATATTCATCTTGATTGAAGTTCAAAGCACTTGGAAAATAAACTTAACCTTCATTTCAAACTTAAATGCAATTTAAAACACCTTTGCCCAAGTTGAAAGGGTGCAAACTTACCTGACGTGAATACATTTTTTAAACTCAAAACCAGGGCTATGGTGAAACACTAAAGTCATTCCATTACTGTTCTGAAAAGGAAGCAGTACCATTATTACCCTTATTAAGCATTATTTTGGATGTTGTAGATAATGAAGTTTTATAAAAAATAAAACATATAACAATTGATTCAAGCTTATTCCTATAAGAAAGTGAAATAATAAAAATAATTGAAAAAGAAATACTGTTATATTTGTACATTATACATGTCTAGTCACATATAAGTCAGCTAAAAACTAGTAGAAATAATAAATCTTAAAAGGTGACTGGTTATGGTATTAAGATACACAGTAATTAGAAACAAATGGAAAGTTAGTGGAAGAAAAATTCAATTCACTAAAACGGTCAGAAAGATACGATATCTTAGAGCAAGCTTCATAAGCAATGTGTAGATCCAATAAAAAGAAAATGTTACACCTCTACTGAGGAATAAAAATGTCATGGATGAACGAAAATGCATACCCTATTTGAGAATAGGAAGATTCAATTTTATAAAAATAACAGTATGCCCCAAAAATGTATAATTGCAATCTCAAAAGATGAATAAGGCTTTGGGAAAACTTTAAAAAATAGTATGAACTAAAGTCTTTCTAGAAACAGTGACATTAAAATACCCTGAAAATTTCCAAAATAATTTGGGAGGGTGGGGAATCTTTCAGATAGTAAGAAATATTTTTAAATCCAAGTATTAAATATATAGTTTGATATTGACATACCAATAGGCAGGCAGAATAATGGGAGAGAATAGAGAGGTTATAAATAGACTAACCATTATATGAGAATTTATATCTCAAAGGGGAGGAGCAAACCAGATTCAGTAAATGTTGTGGCAAGCAATTGGAAAAAATATATTGGACTCATACCTCACTCCTTATGTCATAATTAATTCCAGATGAGTCAAAGGTTTTACTGTTAAATGAACCCTTAAACAGCAAGAAGAATTTAAAAACATAACTTTTTTTTTTCAAATTTTGAGCTGATGAAGTACTATCTAAGGAGAGAAAGAATATGAAAGTCATGATAAATGAAAAAATAATATGTTTGGTACATAAAATATTAAATATCTGTATAGCCAAAAATGTCAAAAGATAAAAAATGATAAGCTAGGAAATGGTATTTAGAGAAAATAAGGCTAATTTCTATACCATACAAGGGGCTCTTACAACTTAAAAAAATTTATAAGGACAACAAATAGCTAAAAGGCATGAACAGAGATCAGACAGGAAAAGAAGTGTAAATGAATACTTGGTCACCCTAACATAATCAAAGAAATGCAAATTAAAACAACAATTAGATAGTACTACGATTGGCAAGAATAAAATGTTTCATCGCCTTTAGAATTGATGAGGGCATAAGGGAGTGCATACTAACAGATTTCTGTAATGGGAATATAAATTGGTGCATAATTTTGAAGACAAAAATGGCAATATCTAGCAAATTATTATCTACATACTTTTTGAGCCATCAGTTCCCTTCTAAGATTTTTCTCCCATAGAGTCCTTGTGCATATGTACAAATATATGCAGCAAGTTGCCTTTTATTTATTTATTTATTTATTTATTTTTGAGACAAGGTCTCACTCTTGTCGCCAAGGCTGGTATGCAGTGGCTGGATCTTGGCTCACTGCAACCTCTGCCTCCCGGTCTCAAGTGATACTCCAACCTAAGTCCCCTGAGTAGATGAGACCACAGGTGTGCACCCCCACATCTGGCTAATTTTTTGGTATTTTTAGCAGAGATGGGGTTTCACTGCAAAACTTTTTAATAGAAAGAATACT
The DNA here is from genome assembly GCF_000001405.40 of Homo sapiens. NCBI lineage: Eukaryota > Metazoa > Chordata > Mammalia > Primates > Hominidae > Homo > Homo sapiens. The sequence goes on along the minus strand of NC_000003.12, from coordinate 117,096,634 downwards.
GAAACAACCTAGACGTTTCAGGTCTATATAACCAGTTCCTATATAATAGGAACTGGTTAAATTTGTTACGTTTTTGCAATTAAGTGAAGAATTTCTATATATGCAAGTATTAAAAGCTTTTCAAAATACATTAGGATGTAAATTACATAACCATGCTTTTATCTGTATAAAATATACTGTAAGAAAATACACACACACACACACACACACACATACACACAACTTGATAGCAGGGATTTCATTTTGGAAATGGAAAGGGGAGTCAGAGTGTGAAGGAGGAAGATCTTTATCTTCCTTCTTTTAGAACTAATGGCATCTTGTTTGAGCAACATGTATTAATTTAGTGGTAGTTATAATAATATTAACATTTTAGTGAATAAAGGAGAGAGACATGAGCCAGCAGGAAGAATGACATATCTTATCCTTCTTCCACTTCACAATGGCATCAGGAAATGTCTCACAAATACTAGTAGAAAAAGCAGTAGTTTCAGTTACTATTAGTCCATAATACCCTAAATACCTAGTCTCAACCACTGGATGACTGACTATGTAGCAAATGAGGAAGTATATTCCCTATTTTTTCACAGAGACAAGCAGAGAAAGAAAACTGATTTGGGATTTTGGAGCATAATATAATGGAAACAACAGAAATATTAAAGCCAAGGAATCTAAGCCAAAATCTTGGTTTGTATAGTCACTGTGTGACCTTGAACAGTCACTTAACCCCTCTGAGCTTCAGTTTTCCTATCTATAAATGAGGATAATAACCTTTCACAAATCCAATAGTTATAAAAAGAGACTGTATATAAACACTATGATGAAAAATAAATAGAACTTTTATTTGTTTTGTTTTGGAGGAAATACATCATGCTTTACTTTGAGAGCCCTCTTTACCTATGTCAAAACACGTAGTGTCAATCAGCGTGGCATCTAAGTCAGAATGACTGAAAAATGATGCCAGCTCTAGAATTTGCACTACTCTAAATCTGAAGTCGATTTGTGTATACTGAACTCAGAAAGGAGACATCTGAATAGTCAGATTCTCAGTTCACTAGTTTCTTATGCCAAAAGTTAACCATACACATCTCTTCCTTGACCTATTTTTTTCTGATGTCTGCCTCTTTCTATCTTTCACTATTTTACTCAGCTAAAGTATTTTCCTTAACTGTCTATTAGAATTACTGAACATCAGTTGAAGGTATGATCCATTCAATCATTCCCTGAGCAATGACGTATCAAATTCATTAAAACCAGAGACCAGCTTAGAAAATGAGAGACGTACATACAAATCAACCCTGGAAAATCACTGTTTAATTCTTGCTAGCTGTAATGCTTTTGCTTAAAGTGGAAAGGTGATTAGCCTTTATGTCATTGATTATTTAACTGTTGTGCTGCCAGAAAATATCCAATTTACTTTGCCTATAAGAATGGAAACTTCTCTATATCAAAGAAAACTCTTATAATCTGGCAGCATTATTTCTGCCAAGTTTGATCTTTCATCATTTCCCATAATGATCTTTCCTCATTTCCAATAATGATCTTTCCTCTGTAGCTAGTCATGTAATATGTCCAGTTAACTTGGCTTGTTAATTTTCCTCCCAGGGTCTTTGTTCACTACAGGCTTTCTACCTGTTGTTTATGGTCTCTCTCCTGCAACACTTTCCCACCAGAACCCAGTTCTTATCTCTTTCTCCTCTATGCTCTACAGGACCCAATGATTGTGTCACTCATTGTGACTCCTATTTACTTTCAACTTAATGACATTTCATGTCATTTAATTACTCTAGGCCAGGCATGGGAGCTCACACCTGTAATCCCAACACTTTGAGAGGCCAAGAAAGGAGGAACTCAGGAATTCGAGGTGTCAGTGAGCTATGATTGCACTACTGCACTCCAGCCTGGGTGACAAAGTGAGAATCAATCTCTTAAAAAAAAAAAAGAAAATAAATTTAAAATTAAAAATTAAATTACTCTGACCATGAACAACTTAATCTCTCAGGACTTCACCTTCCTCATCTATAAAATCAAGCAGTTGATGAAATTTAATTATGAGTTCAACAAATCTTTTACTAATGACTGGTTTATGCAAGGTAGTTTTCTATGTGCTGTGGACTTAGCAGCTTAAAAAAAAAAAAAGAATTAAGATTCTCTTGAAGTTACATTCCTGTGTGGAGAGACATGATATTAGCATAGTGAAGATGTATATTATATACTGAGATAAACAATGATAAATGCTATGGAGAAAACAGGTGAGGAGCAGAAGAATTGAAGCACCAGGGATAGGGTAGCAGTTGAGTAACAACTTTAAATGAAGAGAAACTTCTTACTCATAATGTTCTGAGTTTATATGTTTTGTATATTTCCTTTAGGAAGATTATAAGTTCCAGGACAATAGGACATCCATCATCAGTGTCTGTTGTTTCACTCTATGAGGAATATGGCATGATGAATAAAAGAATAAAGTTTCAGAATATGGATTTGGAAGATAATTCCAGGTCTGCAGTTCACTTGCTCTGTAACCAAACAAGCTGCTTAATTACTATTAGCCCTTGTTTCTTCCTCTATAAAATAATATCTACCTTTTAAGATTGTTGTGAGATGCAAATTAGAGAGTTCACATTACTATAAGTGTCTAACCCATTGAAAGCACTCAACAAATGGGAGTTATTATTACTTTTTCTATATAAAAAGTCTACACACAATACCTATTTATTGAATTAAAAGGTACTGACTATGTTATCTACTAAAACAAAATGTATTCTCGTAAGCAAACTCTCTGGTACTTTTCACTTTCTCATAAGTAGTTTATTCTTTTATGCAATGTACAATAAAATCCTAGGTTTTTGAAAGGTAGCTACTGAACAATTGGCAAAATGTAAATAAGGTCTATAAATTAGATAATGTTATTGTAGTAATGTTGCTTTCCTGATTTTGATAATTATACTGTGATTATGTAGAAGAATATTCTTGTTTTTAGGAAATTCATGCCGAAGTATTTATGGGTAAAACACATGCCTGCAACTTACTTTTAAATGGTTTAGAATATACATACGCACGTTTGTGTGCGTGTACACCTATATATGGGTATACATAATACATATACATACTCATATAAATACAAGTGTGTACACACATGCACACACATGCATGCACACACAAATGGGAATCTGAGTGGTAGTAGTATGAGAAATTTTGCAACTCATTTATAACTCTGATATTGTGTCACAATAAAAAGTTACAATTAAAAGTATATATTGTTGAATGAATTAGTGGCTGGATAAAGGAGTGAGAAAACATGAATTAAGCATTATCAGAAGAAAGAATAAAATCAATTAGACATTTGGTATACTTAATCTTCTATAAAACTCTTAGAATTCTTAAAGGACACTAAGACATAAAATATTTGTAAGTAAAGAATACAGAAAAAACATTGAGTTTTTAGTGTCTCATATCTAGGCATTGTTATAGTCTGAATGTGTCGCCCAAAATTCATGAGTTGGAAACTTAATCCCCAATGCAACAGTATTGGAAGATGTGGCCTTTTGGGAGTTGTTTTAGATCATGAGGGTCCACTCTCATAAATGGATTCATGCCTTTAGAAAAGGGGCTTGTGAACATGAGTTTGTCCTCTTCTGCTCTTCTGCCATGTGAGGACACAGAGTTTGTCCTCACTTTGGCCCTTCTGCCTTCCACCATGTGAGGACCAGCAAGGAGACCTTCAACAGACAGTGGATGCTGGGGCGTTGATGTGGGACTTCCCAGCCTCCAGAACTGTGAGAAATAAATTTCTGTTTTTTGTAAATTACCCAGTCATAGGTATTTTGTTACAGCTGCACAAATGAACTAAGACAGGAACCGTATCTTTGAGGTGGAAATCTTGTGCGTATGATAAGTACTTTGGCAGGTTTTAAAGAAAGCAATTTTGATTATGAATGTTGCAAGCTATGATTATAAAAAATTGCATTCGCAATGAGATTATATAGAAAAAAACAGAAATCATGCTACAAGTGATCAATCAATGTCCCTCTTTTATATGGTTTTAACAAGGTACAGGTGCATGTGTAAGCCCTGGGGATGTTTTCCTTTGTTTAGTTGTATGTAGTATAATATGGCTTGCTGGAAATTCACAAATCCAACTATCAAACAAATCGGGGGGGATCATTATCAGATTTTCTTAAGTTTCTTTTAAAAAAATAAAGACTTTCAACTTTCTAGCCTCTTTCTTTGGGCATTACCAATTCATTAAAATTTTATACTCCTTTCTAATTAAATATGGAACTTGTCTATGCAGCAGATATTCTAAGAAACCACAGAGATGGAGTAATTAAATGAAAAACAAACACAAGGAAATATCTATGCCTTTTTATGTTTTCTTAAGATTCTCTGTGCAATTTGTATACTCAGTCTACAATTGTGTCTATTTTCTTATCTCAAGAGCTCTTGTTTTTCCCTTTTTCTGTGTTACTGTTTTAAAACAGCCAAACATCTATGCAATCAGATTATACACACAGAGACATATATATTTTCTTTCTATCTAGAAAGACCCCTTTTGAAAGAAAAAAAGAAAAAAAATGCCTAAATAAAAGCCCCTTTAATCAGTTACAAGAGTGCTATACCAATTGCTTCCCTACAGGGTGACCTTTTCATCTTTTAATGGCATTTTGGAATAAAATCACCCTAACACGTTGGGAGTGTTATGTGTGTCACATTTCCAATTCTATTTTTTCTCTTGTTGGTGCTGAATAGGGCCTAATGTATTCATGACCTAATTAGAGTAATTTTTGAATAATAATGACCTCCTGGGGGAGACTTTTTTCTTGGAACTATTCAGACACATTAACTAGAACAAGTGTTTCTTAATTTTTAAGTGTTTCTCTGGTTATTGGAAGTATTTTTGCTTCATTTAAAATGGAAATTATATAACAGGAATCCCTAGAGGAAATGAGAAGCACTGTGTTTTAGTTTTTGTGATGCTTTCTTCTCTTGAAAATGAAGTATTCCTATTATGTTGTTGTTAACATGTTCATCATTTCTTTCATTCTCATGGATGTGACTATCCAAGAAAGATGTATCACCATCTTTGGAAAAAAGCTTAAGCAATTTTGACAGCCCCTCTTGCAGCTGTATCTCTAGGTTTCCAAATTAGATGCACAAACACTTTCATTCCAGCCATCTCCTTTTTTACTACCTTATTTTTTCTATGATGAAAATAAATGATGAGACAAAAAAAGCAAATAAATACATTAACACATTTTAGCATTTTATGGATTCTCCACAGCTTATAAAAGACTAAATAGTGGCTGGGCGCGGTGGCTCACGCCTGTAATCCCAGCACTTTGGGAGGCCTAGGCAGAAGGATCATGAGGTCAGGAGGTCGAGACCATCCTGGCTAACACGGTGAAATCCCGTCTCTACTAAAAATACAAAAAATTAGCTGGGCGTGGTGGTGGGCACCTGTAGTCCCAGCTACTCAGGAGGCTGAGGCAGGAGAATGGCATGAACCCGGGAGGTGGAGCTTGCAGTGAGCTGAGATCGTGCCACTGCACTCCAGCCTGGGTAACAGAGTGAGACTCCGTCTCAAAAAAAAAAAAAAAAAGCTAAATAGTTTTATTTTGTTTTAGTTTAAATAAAACAGTTCCATTGTGTGTGTTTGTGTGTCCATATATTTAACACCTACCTTTTCCCAAGAAACCAACAGAATGGACAATACCATGCCACCTATCCTCATCACCACTAAAAGTTCTCACTGTCTACTCATGCATCTCCTCGTATGAATTGATCTGCCCATCTGCTTAGCTGACTCAACTTCTCATTCACTCACACACGGTCATGCTATTTCTCCTGATCTCTTCCTCTGTCATCATTAAAATGTCTGCTATTTCTGAACTCCCCTTCCACCTTCCCACTTTAATGAAAACCTGACCGTCACTTGAGGATCCAGATACTGTCATATCTCTCCTAACTGGTGACTGCTTTTTTCTCCCGGCTCCCATAGAACAGGTCCTTGAAGTTGAGTTGAGGCACTTGCTCCTCATGGCTTCTTTTAGACAATTTTTCTTCCCTCCTGTTTTCAAAATTTTTAGCTGCTCTGCAGCTCCTCATCAGACTATATCTACTACCACTCTTTATTTCAATCATATAGCAACCAGCCATTCTCCAGATTCTAGAACCATTCAGGGCCAGGTGGCATGAGTCTGGCATTAATTGATTGGTTAATAGAAGAGAGGAATATTCTAAGTAAATCTTAGCCTATTTAAGCAAATGTCTCAAAAGACAATTGGTTCTCCAATGCTTATTGTGTCTATCGGGGATGGAATGATGTCTACCTAGAAGAATTTCATTTTGAATGGCCTTTCTTACATGGTTAAAAGTAGGAAAAGTTAATTAATTTTACAATTAAATATGGTAGGCTTTGAATATTTGTGTCCCTCCAAAATTCATTTTGAAACTAAATCTCCGATGCCTTTAGGGGGTGATTAGGTCATGAGGACAATACCTTCATGAATGGGATTAGTGAGTGGCCTTATGAAAGGACTTGAAAGAACCTGTTTGACCCCTTTTGTTCCTTCTATGTGAGGACACAGCAACAAGGCACCATCTTGGAAGCAGAGAGCAGCCCTCACCAGACATTGAATCTTCTGGCACCTTAATCTTGGACTTCCCAGCCTCTAGAACTGTGAGAAATAAATTTCTGTTATTTATAAATTACCAAGTGTAAGGTATGTTGTGATAGCAGCCCTACCTAACTAGGACAAATATTTTAGCAATGAGGAAAAAATTATTTTCAATAAAGTGATCCTGGAACAAAAGGATATCTGTATGTGAAAAAAAAAAAAAACCACCCCTAGTTTACTACACATAAAAAATAATTCAAGAAAAATCACAGACCTAAACATAAAAGCCAAAAGTATAAAGCTTCTTAGAAGAAAACATAAGAGAATATTGTAAGACCTTGGGATAAGCAGTGATGTTTTATATAGGACAGAGAAACACTAACTATAAAAAAATTGGATAATTTGGGCTTGCGCAGTGGCTCACACCTGTAATCCCAGCACTTTGGGAAGCCGAGGTCCAAAGATGTGTGAATGGAAAGTTTACTAGAGTCCCTGTAGAAATAAACAGACATTTAACCAGACTCTTGAAAGTCTTATAAGTTCCTTGCCAATCTAGCCAATTGAATTCTGCATCCATATATATATATATATATAAATTTATATATATATATATAAATTTATATATGTATAAATTTATATATATATAAATTTATATATATATAAATTTGTTATGGCTGATGGCTTAAAGCATGGAGAGGATGGCAAGATAGAACCTGGAACCAAGAAAGTGAGAAGATTGAGAGGTGTAGAGAAGGAAAAAGTTGGTCCTCTAAAAGTGCAGTAGAATGTCCTTGGGTGTCCCAATACACCTTTATTGTTCAGATCAAAAATTTAATGACATTATAGGATATTACAAAGGCATTTCAATATTTGTGATATTGTAATCAGATAGAATTATGAAAGTCATTAGTTAGAGAACAGACTGTCCTGAATGTCATGTCTGTTTTACAAAGGAAGATAATACAACAACAAATAGTCATAAGAAAAGAAAAAATCAAACCTTGAATGATGAAACAGAGGCAGGGACCACACTGTATCTACACAGTTTTAAACTGAAGAATTGTGTTACCGTTAGAGGTACGAGTGATGGAACGCTGCAGGTTCAGGAATGGTTAGGGAGCGGTGCAGAGCCTATGCTAACCTGAAAAGCAGCTTTTTGAAAATTAGCAAAGATATCATCTCTGGGTGAACCTTAAAGTATTTCCTCTCCATAAATTCTAGAGTGCCTCCTGTGTATGGACAAAGGGGATCCTTTCGCATTGCAGTTGCAACTTTCTTCCCTCATGTGTCCCCAAGATGATATAATCATAAAAAGGTCTTTATCATTAATAAGCCAGAGCACACAGGGAATTTCAGCTCCCATTGATCCTCCTTGTGCAGGGTACCATTCAGGGCCAGAACCATATATATATTTGCATATATATGTCTAACAAAAAACTAGTATCAGAAATATTTAATGAATTCTGGCAATGGTATAGTATATATATAAACAACCAAATAAAACTAGTGAGCAAAAGATTTGAATAGTCCTACATAAAGAAAGGCAAATGAATGGCTAATATTCATAAAGAAGCAATTGTCATCATTTGTGATCAGAAAAATTAATGTTAAATCCGTGACATATCATTTTACACTTACTAGACTGAAAAAAAACGTTAAAAATTGAGAATGTGGAGCATCCAGAACTCTCAGTTATTGCAGGTAAAGAGTGCACAATGGCACTATTAATTTTAGAAAATTTGGAGGTAACTTTTCTTATAAAGTTAAACATTTGTATGCCCTATATCCAAGCAATTTCATTCCCCCCAAAAAGAAAATATATTAATCTTGATCAAGAATGTTTATAGCAGCTTTATTTATAATTGCCCTAAACAGAAAACACCCAAATGTTTATAAGCCAGAGAATGAGTAAACATTTTAGTATATTCCTACAATGGAAAACTACTCAGGAGTAAGAAGGAACAAACAACAACATAAGAAAATGTCAAAAACATTATTTTGAGCAAAAGAAGCCAGGCACCAAAGAGCATATACCATTGGATTTTACCTGTATAAGGTTCTAGAACAGGAAAACTAACCCACAGTGGTGGAAAAGCAGAACAGTGGTTGTCGCTGGGCTAGAAGTAGAATTGACTAAGTATTGGCATGAGGAAACCTTTTGTGGAATGGAAATGTTCCACATTTTGAGAAGCCATGCATTAAATGAGTATCTGCATTTGTAAAAAAAAAAAAAAAAAAAAAACTCATCAGATCGTCCACTTAATATCAGTATGTTATACATAAATTACACCTTCATAAAAATACATATAAATTAAAATAACTGCATCAAGTACACCCTGTTCTAGATGCTTACAATTCCTTTTTTCTCATGTCATAGAGTTCTAATCTCTGTACCTGGATACTCATCCACCTTAAAATAAATTGATCCATTTGACTAACATGGTTTCATACCTACTATCTTATTGGCAAATTATCTAAAATACCTAAATTTGAGCTCTTGGCAAATTGCAACCCCAAGAACTTCTGGCAGATTCCCAATTTTTGAGCCTTTGAGAAACTGTTTATTTTATATTCTAAAATCTCCCAACACAAATTTCTGGCTAAAATAATCCTGAAGAAGAAATTAATGTCTGCGTGTTGTAGTTTTAAGCCTGGAAGTGCCTAAATATCCACATATCAATGACAGGCAGACCTTTGACAGTTCAGACTAACACCACTCTTTGTGGTCCATACTTCTGAGTTTCTTGTATCTTTCTGCTGCAAAGATACAAGTTCTCTTCTAAGCCGATATTCATGCCAGCTTGCTTCTTCCTTAAATGTGAGTTTTCCTACCTCATGGTGCAGAAAAAAATCAAAATAAACCTTTATAAATCAATTCATTGTTAGTAAGTATTTGACTATCTGGTCTCTGAAAGACACTGTAGTAAGCCCTATAAAAATATCATAGCTTCTAGTTTCGAGGCATTTTCTATTCACCTTGACCTCTTTTATAAGTACCAAGACTGTGATGGAAAAATCTTAGGAATAAATAGAGGAACCCTATGACCATTTGAGATAGTTTAATTGCTATCGAACTATAATACTCAGTGCTCTTTTCTGTTGTGAAATTCAAGTGTTATTAAACTGACCCAATCAATTTCAGTTCACTTTCAGAGGGACTCTAATACAGTCCTGGGGGATGAGAACAATATGCTCCACTGTATCCTTCACAGTGATCTCTGATGACTGAATGATCAGGGCTGTCTGTGTGTAATCATCATAACAAACTTGCCAAGTGTCTTGAAACACTGGTTATGAATGCATAGAACGATTTAATTATCAGGGTCAGCAATACCCTAAATGACTTTGCTACTCTCTGTAGAACTTTGCGTTTAGTACTTACTATGCATTCTATAAAAAATAAATAGTTCTTACTACCTTACTCCCCAAATTCAAGATCATTTTAAAAAGTGACAAAAACCACAGTTTTAAAATGCAACTATCTTTCACTAAATAAATCTATCAGTTCCTGAATTTAAATAATGAGAATTAAAATAGCAAGCTCAGGGATACAAATGTATATGACTTTATTCTGTTTCTTTGTTTTAGATAGGAAGTTCAGAGAGCAAGGAATATTTTTAAATATATCAAAACTCTTCCACACTGCTGACTTGGGATAGTGGAGTTTTACTACGAAGAAAGGGTTTGTGACTTTATGCTATTATTTTAGATTTATTTTAAGGTGTTTCAAAATACAAATCAGTCCCAATTCCTCACCAGGTGTATCGCTCTAAGAGCCTGAGTATTTATGATACAGTCTGAAATTGCAATCTTCTCTTTAGCTCATAGTTTAATTGCACTGGAAAATTCACTATCTTAATACAGTTATAAGAAGTGCACATGGATTATGAATTTATGTATATGGATTATGGTTTCATGCATTTAAGAAAGAAAAAGGTACAGATGGTTGGGCTTCATAAACTACTTCACTGATGTATCAGATAAGCACAGGTACAATTCAGGCAGGTGGAAGTGAAAGAAAAAGGGAGAAGAAAAGTTGTGCAAATAAATTCATTGGATTATGATACTGCCATAGAAAATTTGCTTTAAAATCCTTTTCTTGTTATGTAGTAGGAATGAAAGTGTATTTTTCCTTGTTTCAATTTTTCATAGATGAATTACACTCATACTAAGGGTCAGTGGCTAAGAACCCCAATGAAAGTATTCTAGCACACATTGAGAACACAGATCTTCCTGATGTTCACTGAAAATGAGTACACCATTTCAAGTGCATGAGACCCTCATGTTGTGCTAAGAATTTCCTCTTGGCCTAAACATATGTCATGCTGACCCATGAACTAGGGTAAAAGCCACCTAATAAAAAGAGAGTTAGAAATAAGTTTCCACTTTTATAGTCAGGAAGACTGGGGCAAAAGAAGCTCAGAATTAGGTAAGAGAACTTACAAACTGGGAGAGTCAAACTGTGAGTGAACTTTTCTATGCCCTTGCTTAAAAAGAGAAGTCTGAGGATTGATTAAATCCGGTGTCCAAAAATTGCCTGGGGTTGCAAGAAATTTATAGAAAGAGGCTGTACAGAGAAGTAGAGATTTCTACTCTTAAAACACCACTCAAAGTAAAAGGTTCATTAATACTGAATTACTAAAAATGTAGTTTGTTGGTTGACTGACCTCCCTTGTGGCGATCTGCATGCTTTGTAATTTGTGAATTAAGAGATTGAGTGCTTTGTAGGTAAAGAGAATTGTCAGAGGAGCAGCAGTGGACTAGTAAGCCCAGGATGACTTCCCCTGAGGAACTCACAGCTCAACTTCCGGCCAAATATCTCACGGGAGTTCTGGGCTTTCTTTGTGGAGGCGTTTAGTCCCTGCTGAATTTAATTGGCTTACAACTCCATTAGGGAAGATATTATACAAAGAAACAACTCATTTTCATAGGAGCAGCTTTCTGCCTTCACACATGCATTCATACCATGTTTAAGTGAAAACACATGGCAGAGTCCAGGATTCATTTATTTCATCTCCATGCTTTTTGCCTATTTATATCTATCAGACTCTAGACCCTGGAGATATAATAGTAAAAGATGTCCCTCATGGAAATGACATCATCACTGGAGAAAGAGAAAATTAACAAGTAAATAAATACAGATAAAATATAATTTTAAGTAATAATCATTGCCAGGAAGAAAAAGCAGGAGAAAGGATTTTGACAGATGATAGGCTTATCAGACAAGGCCTCTTAATGAGCTAACACAGAAACAGGAGGAAATAAGGGGATAAGCCATGTAAAGGTCTGGGGAAAGAATATGTTGACAAGAAAAATACTACAAAAATACCTTGAGGTGAGAGTAACCCTGGCATGTTTGAGGAAAATAGGGGCCATTTTAGCAAGAGTGAGTGTATTAGTCTGTTCTCACACTGCTAATAAAGACATACATGAGACTGGGTAATTTATAAAGGAAGGAAGTTTAATTGACTCATGATTCAGCATGGCTGTGGAGGCCTCAGGAACCTATAATCATGGCCGAAGGGGAAGCAAACACATCCTTCTTTACATGGTAGCAGCAAGGAGAAGTGCTGAGCAAAAAGGGGGAAACGGCCCTTAAAAACTCATCAGATCTCATGAGAACTCACTTGCTATCATAAGAACAGCATGAGGGTAACCGCCCCCATGATTAAATTACCTCCCACTGGGTTCTTCCCACAACAGGTGGGGATTATAGGAACTAGAATTCAAGATGAGATTTGGGTGGGGACATAGTCAAACCATATCAGTGGGTGAGCAAGAGGAATATTTATAGCAATTGAGTCTGGACAGGTAAGCAGAAGACTAACCACACAGAGTCTTGTCCATAGCACAGACTCTGCCTGTTTTCAGAAATGGGGAAGAGCACATTAAAGGGGTGATCAAGGGAATGGCATAAAGTGAGTTAAAAATCACCACACTACCATATGAACATTACTCTTTGAAGCAAGAATGGGCAAAACAAGATGAGGTAGGGGGTTTCTAAGGTAGTTTAGGTGAAAAGTGATGGCAGCTTGAGTGAGGGTGATAGCTCTGGAAATGGTGAGCAGTGATCAAATCCCATCTACCTTAATAGGTAAACAAACCAGGTTTGTTGATAGATAGGTTGTAGTTTATCAGAATAAAGGGGAACCCATAATGGCTTGTAAGCTGGAGCCCAAGCCAACAGGGTATGAGAATGCCATTGTTAAGAGGAGAGACATAGGGAGGGATAGATTTAAAGACAAAGGGACATCAAAAGTTCTATTTTGGACATGCTAATTCTTATGACTCAGAAATCCAAGGGGAGATGCTTAATAGAAAATCAAATATGTGTATTTAGGACTTGAAGGCATTGGGGCTAGACAAGAAAATTTAGGATATTTAAAAAATATGTCTATGGGAAATCTCAAAATATATGAGACAGAATAATGTAAAGAACCTAAATTTCCCATTACTTAGTTTTAACAGTTATCAGCTGATTACTGATCTTGTTTCAACCACATCCCCACCAGCACCTGCCACCACTTTCTTCTCTTTCACAGTATTTTGGTGCAAAACTCACACATTGTATCATTTTATAAGTAAATACATATGAATTTCAGTATGTATATGGCTGGTTTTTAAAACCATGGATCTGTTCAAAATTATCTAGGAAGAGAGCAATTAGACATGAGAAGATGGAAGAGGTTTGAGTTTTGGACCATCCCAAAATTTAGGGGTCAGGAAGAGACTCCAGCAAAGACCAAAAACAGCTGCCACCAAAATAGAAAATTAAACTAGAGGAATCTGTTATCTTGGAAGCCAAGTGAAAATAGTATTTCTTTTGTGTCAAATGTTTCTGAGAAGTAGAATAAGAAAGGCACAAAGAATTTACCATTGAATTAAACAAGGTAGAAATCATTGTTTATCTGACAAGAGTGGTTTCCCTAAAATGATACAGACGAAGTACTGAAATGAATGGGTTAAGGACAGAATGGCAAACAATGAAGTTTAGGCAGCAAATATACGTAACTCTTGAGAAGTGATTCGTTCAAAATAGGAGCAGAGAAATGGGGCAGGAGTGAGAGAGTCACTTGAACATCAGGCCGAGGAACAATTTAAATTTTACATCATAGAAGATATTGCCACATGTTAATATTCTGATAAAAATCTGCTATAGAGGAGAAAGTTGATGATGTGCAGGAGAGAGAGTGGACAAGTGCAAAGCGAAATCCATAAGTAGGTGAAAGGCAAAGGCCTTTAGTGCACATGTGCAGGGGTTGTCTTTAGATAGAGCAGTGGCAGTTCATCAATTTTAGCAGGAGAAAAGGCAGCATATATTGATCCAAGTGCAGGCAGGTTGGTAGATTTGAGGGAAGAGAAGTGAGGGTTATTCCATTCAGAATTCTTCTATTTTTTCGACTACATAAATATTGAAGTGATCATTTAATAATAAAGTGAGTTAGATCTTACTGAATATTTGAGAAGAGAGGAAATGGTGTGAAAGAGTCCTCTTAAAAAATGAAAGCATGAATTTAGGAAATGTGGTAGACTTGCTGTCATTGTTGAGGTTCCACTTTAAATGTATGGTCAAAATTTTGAGTAGGTTCAGTTATTAAGTTTGGTGGGTTTTTTTTCCACCTACTTAGGCTGCTCACATATAGTAGTGGAATAAGAAAACAGCCGAGTTTTACCAAGTAGGGTTTTAACATGTTGGAGAAAAACCAAGTTTGAGTTGATGATGTTTGCAAGGGATTGCTTATAGTGATGAATCGTGGCATCTAAGTTAGGTTAAAAAAGGAAATAAAAACAGGAGAAGAAGGAAGAGAGAAAATAAAGAAGTGGTGATTAATGAATTGGCAGTTTCACTGGGGCCAAAGCATTAGAGCAGCTCTGAAGCTACAGTGAATGACTTTAAAGAATAGAAAGTGAGAACAGAGACAGGATTAATTAAAATCAAGATGTTCGAGTTGATGATAACAATCCATGTAGTGAACATCATGGCAATAGTTGGGTAAGACTGGGAAAAAGATCACTGGAAATAAAAATAACAACCAATTGATTGTCCAAAGTATTGAATTGTCTACCTATGGCGAACAATTCAGAACAATAACTGAAGTGCATTCAAAGACAGGGAACAGGTTCTTGTTTTGTTTTGTGACAAGGTCTTGCTCTGTCACCAAAGTTGGAGTACAGTGGCATGATCATGGCTCACTGCAGCCTCAACCTTCCTGGCTCAAGCAATCCTCCCATCTCAGCCTCCTGAGGAGCTGGGACCATAGGAATGTGCCACCACACTTGCTATTTTTGGTAGTTTTTGTAGAGATCAGGTTTTCCCCTCTGTTCTCAAACTCCTAGGCTCAAGCAATCCACCCATCTCAGCCTCCCAAAGTGTTGGGATTACAGGCATGAACCACTGTGCCCAGCCAGTGAGCAGATTCTAAATATTTTTTAAGGAAAGAAATGATGACCAGAAGGCTAGTCACGTAATCCAAACAAGAAGCAATTGCAAATTGTGTGATATGGTGGCCAGCTTCAAAGACCCTTGAGTTATTGAGGGTGGAGGAAGGAGAAATGGTCTGGTGTGGTAGCGAAGAACATGACAAAGCCCTCTTTTCCTTGAGGTCCTATTTTCAGGAGAAGAATAGGATATTGGAGAAAAAAGTACCCTCCATTTAAATGACTACAGGGGTATTTTTGATCTCAAAAGATATTTAGGTTTCAGTTAGGCAAGTATGAGAAGAACATGATGAAGGCTGTTGTGAGAGAGCTAAACAGATGCAAGAGTTTAGGTCAGATTTGGGTTGTGTAAAGCTTGGTAAGACTGAGTCCACCTACTGACAGATAACTACTTCTGTCGATGACTGCAGTAAGCAGGAATGAGAGCTTGATAGGTGAAGTCTTATTGAATGTTGTAGTCACCCTGTTG
Organism: Homo sapiens; assembly: GCF_000001405.40. Classification (NCBI taxonomy): domain Eukaryota; kingdom Metazoa; phylum Chordata; class Mammalia; order Primates; family Hominidae; genus Homo; species Homo sapiens. Next base: position 117,081,112 of record NC_000003.12, on the reverse strand, counting down.
TTAAGGATAGTTAGCTAATCACTGCCTCCTTCCTCCCCAGGATCAGTCTCCTAGGTAGTTTGTAGTGCTAAAGCACTGGTTTCCTAGCGAGGGGAATGTGGTTTTACCATAATCACCAGGGGTTCACAAAATTTCAAGAGCAAACATCTGTAAACTTGTTTTATAGACTACAGCAGACAGTGTCATGCCAAGGGGAGGAGGAGGTCTTAGCAGGAGTAGATGGTCAATAAATGCTCTCTTTCTTTCTTTTTTTCCTTCTTCCCTATTACAAAGAAATAGTCTCAGGAAATGGAGGTATGATATAAAGTTCACAGAGTCTGAATTAATTAAGTCTTGTTAGAACAACATAATTTAAGGAAACCTTTCTCAAATTTTACACTGTGAAAGAATCATCTTGGAAACCTAATAGAAATGCAAATTTCTGGGACTCAATCACAAAAGAGCTATAGATCTGAGATGGGTAAGGGGCACCCTATGTTCTCTTTTGCCTAGCACAGTATAGTTTATGCTCATTAGCCTGGCATGATTATTTATAGCAATCTCTTTCACTCTCAAAAATGTCCTGGTTTGAACAATAAAGTATATGGTAACCTTAGAAATAAGATTTGAGAATCTGCATTTAAATAAGCACCCCAGGTGATTTCAATGCAAATGGCCTAAGTTCCATGCTCTGAGAAACTCCACTTGAAGGGATGATACTGTTTGTTTTTCCAGTTGTGGTCATTATACCTCTTCTGATCTTGTCAAGTATAGTGCACCCAGCTCAGGTCCCCATGTTTAAAAATAACTGCAGAAGTCCAACGGGCTTTGTGAAAAAGGCACATTGATTTATTCAGAAATGACTGGATCCTACTGTGAAATGACAACTATATGTAATTTTTTATACCAGCTTGTGCATACACAGAAACACATACATAGACACAGACACACAGAAGCTAAGCCTGTGGAATAGTGCGTACTCTGTCCTAGGCATTCTTCTAAGCACTTTACATCCATCAGCTCTTGTAAACCCCAAAACCGCACTTTGAATTTCCAGTAATATTATTTCCAATTTAAAGTGTGGCACAGAGAAGTGAAACAATTTGTTCAGTATCACACAGCTAATACGTGGCAGAGCCTGGATTCCAACCCAGGCAAGCCAGCTCTCAGCCTACACTCTATGTTTTTTTTCTTTCCTTTCCTTTTCTTTTCTTTTCTTTTCTTTTCTTTTCTTTTCTTTTTTCTTTCCTTTTCCTTTTCCTTTTCCTTTCCTTTCCTTTTTGAGGCAGAGTTTCGCTCTTGTTGCCCAGGCTGGAGTGCAATGGCATGATCTTGGCTCACTGCAACCTCTGCCTGCTGGGGCCAAGCGATTCTCCTGCCTCAGCTTCCTGAGTAGCTGGGATTGCAGGCGCTTGCCACCATGCCTGGCTAATTTTGTATTTTTAGTAGAGATGGGGTTTCACCATGTTGGTCAGGCTGGTTTCGAGCTCCTGACCTCAGGTGATCTGCCCGCCTCAGCCTCCAAAGTGCTGGAGTTACAGGCATGAGCCACCTCACCTGGCCTTCAGCCTACACTCTTAACCACTATGCTATCGTGACCCACAACTTTTACTCTGGGGATATATGAATCTTCATTTCCTTCTCACTAAAATCCTGGTGATAATCCTTAACAGATTACCCACTTGTCATCACTTTGTATTATCTTATTTCTACTAACCTTCAATGTTTCCCACTGACTTCTTGTCCATGTTTTATTATGAGTGACATTCAGCCTCTTTATTATTTGTAGATGGCCTTGTCTTTTCAATCACAAAATTCTACCAAAATTATAGGCTTTCTTCACTCCCAAATGTGACAAGAGAACTTATTCATTGAGCACTTACTATCAGCTATTTTGTTGCATTATGCATAATTTTCTTGTTCAATCTTCCTAACAGTTCTGAGAGGTGAATATTTTTATCTTGTTTTTTAAAATAAAGAAAATAGAGTTTAAAGAGCATGAGTCACTTTGCCAAGGAATCAGGAATTAGTGGGACCAATGTGTGACTGGGTTGCTACCTGGAGAGCTAGAGTGTACACTCTGCTTTAACACCAGCAATAATTTTATTTTTCTGTTTGCTTGCCTCTAAAGCTCTCTCCTTAACCTGTGTTGATAATAGCATAAGGAAGGTTCCTATTCCATTCTCTTTGGTGAAGAGAGCCATTCCTTTGATAAAGTCTAAGATGAAAGCAATAACATAAAAGATATACTTTCAGCAATATGTGAGGTGTTGCTATTTAACCGTTTTACACTCAATTGTAGGTCCTCCTCCCGAATCTAAAAATGACTTATTTGGCCAGGTGCAGTAGCTCATGCCTATAATCCCAGCAGTTTGGGAGGCCAAGGTTAGAGGATCACTTAAGCCCAGGAGTTCAAGAACAGCCTGGGCAAGAAAGCAAGACCCTGTCTCTACAAAAAATTTAAATATTAGCTGGGCATGGTGCCATGCACCTGTAGTTCCAGTTACTTGGGAGGCTGTGGTGGGAGGATGGCATGAGCCCAGGAGTTCAAGGCTCCAGTGAGCTATGATCACACCACTGCACTGAAGCCAGGGCAGCACAGAGAGCCACACTCTGTTTCTAAAATGAATAAACTAATTTAAGTGAAAAATAAATAAAAATGACTTATTTTATAACATTTACTCATCTATATGTGGGTCTACCCATCAGTAAAAGAACATTATTACAATGGCCAGATGGCTGATAATTAATTTTAAAAATCATGAAAATACCCTCCTCCGCCTTGGTGGATATGTGTTAGAGGGACTAGAGCCATCGATTGTACTAAACATCATCCTTTACATACAGCTGCTGCTCATCCATCTGGTCATAAAATATATATTTGAAAAAGGATCGGCCGGGCGTGGTGGCTCACGCCTGTAATCCCAGCACTTTGGGAAGCCGAGGCGGGCGGATCACGAGGTCAGGAGATCGAGACCATCCTGGCTAACACGGTGAAACCCCGTCTCTACTAAAAATACAAAAAATTAGCCGGGCGTGGTAGCGGGCGCCTGTAGTCCCAGCTACTCGGGAGGCTGAGGCAGGAGAATGGCCTGAACCCGGGAGGCGGAGCTTGCAGTGAGCCGAGATCGCGCCACTGCACTCCAGCCTGGGCGACAGAGCGAGACTCCGTCTCAAAAAAAAAAAAAAAAAGAAAGAAAGAAAGAAAAAGGATCAATTCATCAGCACTTTCAAATAAGAAACCTCAATACTAAGTTGTTATAAGAAACTTTGCCACAATCAAGGCATATAGGATACTAAGGGGTGAAAAATGAAGAAAAAAGCTGAACAAGCTGAACAAATATGACTACCACAGCCAAGGACACAAAACAAGTCCCCTGGAAGTGATTGCCTCTGACATGGCCTGAGTCTCTTTCAGATTTTTAACAAGGCTGAGTAACGGGTATAACTCCTCAAAGCAATGTGACAACCTGAACTATCCTGTGTCTATAAAATCTCTATCTTTTTTCATTCCCTAAGTCCATACGGAGTCATATTTTCGTCATTGGGAAGCTCAGGTTCAAGACAGCCGTAGTTTCTACTCTCAAAAGGAAGTCAGAGATTAAATAGATATAATATTCTTGCTGTTTATCAAAAAATGGAAAGGACACTGAGTTTTACTGTTGGAAGAGACCCCAAAGTCCCTGCAGAGAATATATAGCTCGGCTACATTTCCTCAGACATTTCTCCCAACATTGCTAATGCTTTCCTACTCAAAGGGGAAGCCTTTGGAACTTCTTGAGAGTTTGAGGTTCAAATAATGTTTCCTAATTATAAGACGTGAAGGGCTGCGTCAATGCATCTAGTTTACAGTCACTTTATTGCTGTAGAAAATCCATTTGGTAGGTGGACAGATGATAGAAATATACATCTCTCTGTGTGTGTATGTTTTAATGTACATAGAGCTGCAATAACTATCAGTATGCGTTGAGTAAAATTAGATAGCCATAACAAACAAAATTTAGTTAAAATTTGTACTCTGTGTATGTTTATGTGCAGGAAAATGACTAGTGATTATAGGGCCCAAATTACATCTTCCTCTTGGACAACCTGGGATTAGTTTCCTCAGGTTTAGTACATGAAAAAAAAAATGCATTTACTGACCCTCACATTTCTTAACCAACATCTAGTCATTTTTGCATCTTAAAAGTGGATAGATATATATTCTAGATAGTTACAAGAGGATATATACTTTTAAACTGTCTCAGTTCAAGCATGTTAAAATTCTTCCTTACCTATTTTTATTTTCATGGACACAAACTGTCTGTCTTGTTCCCTGCACATATACAAGGATTTTAAGATAAGCTGACTACAGGTCTCCATTTAACATTCAGTGCACATTTGATGTCTCAATAAAGTTTTGTTGATTGAAGCAAGAGTAGGGGTTAATGGAGTTTAGTGCCATCATATTATATGCCCAATGATGATTTCAAAACCCTACGGAGATTTTTCTCAGGTTTTGACTGCACTTCCCACTTATTTAAATCTGGCACAAGGGAGAAAATAATCACTTCATGACAATTCATGTCACAGTTCTATTTTAAGCACCAGGATGCAATCTAAAGTGATCATCCTTTTATTGTTGTTTTCAGGATAAGACTGGGGCTGCTTCCCATTAATCTGCCTATAAAACTTGCAACAATAAATATGCTCAGAGTTAGAGTCCCAGCTTTAACATTTACTAACTGTGTGACCTTGAACATGTTCTAAACCATTATGCCTTGGGTCTCCTATTTTAAAAGGAGGGGTGGCAATAATACGTAATGTATAGGGATGAAATAAGGATTAAGGGATATGAAGCCTTTGAAAAAGTTTAGCACAGTCTCTGGCACCCCTGCTCTTTACTAAACTTCCCATAACAGACGCAGAACAGAATTTTAAGGCCTAAGGATTCCACTCATCAATTTAATCCAACTCACTCCTCTCATAGATCGGGAAATGAAGGCCTAAACGGATGAAGTGGCTTATCCAGATGGTTAGATGTTGAGCCATGAGAGAAGCTCTGGACAGGAGCTCTGGTTTCCCTCTTCTCAATGTTTGCCAAGCATTAAATCAAGGTGGTAATATCAAATATATTGTTCTTCCTGAATTCCATGAACCAGGTGAACAAAGTTGTTGAATTAGAAGTGCCTTGGCAGCTATGTGGTTTCAGGGAAAAAAACATGAGGATGGGCACGATGGCTTGCGCCTGTAATCCCAGCACACTGGGAGGCTGAAGTGGGCGGATCACTTGAGATCAGGAATTTGAGACCAGCCTGGCCAACCTGGTGAAACCCCGTCTCTACTAATAATACAAAAATTGGCCAGGTGTGGAGGCAGACACTTGTAATCCCAGCTGTTTGGGAGACTGAGGCAAGAGAATCGTTTGAACCTGGGAGGTGGAGGTTGCAGTGAGCCGAGATCTTGCCACTTCACTCTAGCTTGGGGACAGAGTGAAACTGTGTCTCAAAAAAACAAACAACAAACAAACAAACAAACATGGGTTCTGAGTTATCACTAAGTAGTTAGACAGCCTTCAGCTCTTCCTCTTGAGATCCCATCAGGACAGCTGGCTCCATTCTAGGCCCAGAAACATCAATCCCTGCCATTTTTTTGCTCCTCTACTTTATAAGCTTCAGATAGCATTACTTCATTCCTCAAGCAATTGTTGAACACCTCCTGAACAACACTAGTTTGAGCCACCCACAAGTTTCTAAAAAATCAAGTTCCTTCTTTTCCCCCTTCTGGTTCCCAGTTACATCTTCTTAGCCCTATAGGTCTCTGAAAACCAACATATTACTCTCTCAGAGTGTTGCCAGATAAATTATTTTAAAACCCTCTTCTTTGGTCTGGGAACATACCCTCCTCCTTGTGACTGTGACTGATCAGCATATTTTGGAGGAAAACTAGTTCCCAATTATCTTATCCAGTAAGAATGCTAAATGGGCTCTTGGCAGCTGGAGATAGAGTAAGGTAAAAAGAGGGAGAAATTACTACTAAATAATAATTCAGTGTCTTGCTCCAGTTTGCATAAGACCCCGGCTGTTTTCTGTCCTGCTTCCCAGAAATCACTGAGGCAGAGCATCTAAGGACTGTGCTGCTGACTAATTGGAATGAGCCTGAGTAGAGACCATGACCCAGGGAGAAAGTTGATGTCACTTTTAGTCAGAGGGCAGGAAAGTACGTTCTAGAGACATGCTATTATGTACTGCTGAGATTAAAAGAAACTTAGGTTCTAAAAATTCATGAAGAAAGAAGATTTTTAAATGAGGGTTTTTGTTTATTTGCGTTAGTGATTGCTTACTGACCCAATTAATGAGAAGTCAGAACTTCAGTTGCAGAATAAAATAAGGAGAAAAGTAAAAGCATAACTGTATAAAGTGTTATTAAAAATCACTTGAAGAGAAAATGTTTTTTAATCATAGAATCAAAATTATATTATTTGTGTGTATTATTTTAAATTATATGTGCCAGTGTGGGTATCATAGTTTATAGAAGTTGTGATCTTACAAAGATGGAGCCAAAAAAAGGATAGAAGTGGTCTCTAGAGTATACAGCAGAATGAACTGTCTTTAGTATGAATTATTCCAGCCATACAAAGCTTCTTATAACTAAAATTTAAACACTCCAAAATGTCTTATAACTTGTGAATGAATACCTGCATGCATGTGCTTATTTTAGTCATCTACTTATTACTCATGCCTGGAGGAAGAATCGATGTTTTGGAAAGCAAGGATCATAGGACATCTGTCCCTGTTCTATCTTTATTGAGCTCTGTGAATCTCCAGGTACTTCTCTGGCCTCAGTATTTTTCATCTCTGGAATAAACCCATTATCTTGTAAACCTATTAGTGTTCACTGTATTTTAATTCTGTAAGCCTATAAATGTGGATATATTTTAGTACAGGTCTATCTATTCATCTGCCCATAGGTATCTGTAAATTGAATAATATGAATATATTTGCAACATCCACTCCTCTCCATCTGCCAACTTTCTACAGTGGAAAGAAACTTCCTTGCTGAGGTATCAACCTACAGTGTGTGAATTTTGTTTTGTTGCCTATTTGAGGAAATGGGCTGAGCCTCAGAATTAAAAAGAGGTCAGAAAGGCTAGATGGGTTTTAAAATTAGAGCTTGAAGTGCTCTAGAAGAGGGACAGGAGTATCAGGATGAGAGAAATGAATCAGTAAACCTGATCAGTCAGGAGTGGAGTTTGGGGTATAGTGGAAGGTGTATGACCAGAGATAATTAAAAATCATCTTTTTTCATGAATTTCTAGGACCTGAGTTTCCTTCTTGAACATTTTGAGAAACTACTTGGAGGACTTTGGGAAGCTAGATAGGACCTCCTATTCCGAAAAGAATTTTGTGGAGGACTTTTGGGTTCTCCTGGCACCACCTGAACTATTTTAATGATTATTAAAATGTCTCTTCAATGGCTTTTAGGTACCGTTTGAGTCCATCCTCATGTTGAAGGGGACATGTGGCAGCTGGGGTTTATTAGGGTATGTAAGGATATGGTGCATAGTGCTTAAGTTTTTATTCCCATAGAAATCATGTTCTGTTCCCTAATGACCAGATAATGTGTTACATGACTTTACGTTTTATCTATTAGCATCCTACCACAATTTCAGTGACAAATCTGCTCCTAAGTCTCCCTATTTCTCACTTCAGTTTCTTCCATGTCTTTACCATATGAGTGATTGTGTTGATCTCACAATACTCTAACGATGGAAGATGACAGCTACAGAGTAGAGCATACCATAGTGCTGTTTTATAACAATAGAATCTGGAGCAGGGCATGGTGGCCCATGCCTATAATCCCAGAAATTTGGGAGGCCAAGATGAAAAGATCACTTGAGCTGAGAAGTTCCAGACCAGCCTGGGCAACATAGTGAGAGCCCCATCTCTACAAAAAAATACAAAAATTAGCTGAACATAGTACAGCTTGCCTGTAGTCTCAGCTCTTCGGGAGGCTGAGGCAGGAGGATCACTTGAGCCCAGGAGTTCTAGATTTCAGCAAGCTATGATTGCACCACTGCACTCCAGCCTGAATAACAGAAGGAGACCCCATCTCTAAACACACACACACACACACACACACACACAGACACACACACACACACGTCTGGTAACTCTGCTGAGGAAGCTATGAAAGTATCTCACAGAAACAATTAAAATCATCTTTCACAGGCATACACATGTCCAGCAGGTCACTGGGCCTGGCATAAGTATTATTCTATTCAGTCTTTCTATAAATAAAAGAGTCTCAGATGTTCCCATGGAGTAGGTAATTTAACAGAGATAGACATGGGGCCAAATAGTCTACAGACTGGGCGCTCCATATGTCTATTTCTATAGCATTTCATATTTTCCTACATGTTCTCATATATTATTTTATTTGATCATCTTTGCCACCCTGTGAAGCAGACAAGGCAAAAGCCAAGACCCCAGATGAGGAGTCAAGCTTAGAAAACCGAAGTTAGTTACCCAAGCCACATAGCTACTGTGTCAGAGTCCAAGGTAAACCTCTGGGCTTTGGATTTGAGTCCATCTCTCTATTAACTGTAAGACGTGCTCTTGAGTAAATCTGATCAAGGTCAGAACCACTCCTCAGTGTTTCCCCAGACTTTGTAGTCAGTGATCCTGTAGGGTCATTTGGTGTTTTTGCTAGGGTTGGCTATTCTTTCACTGCATTTTTCAGTAGGATCAGTTCTAGAAAATTCAGAGATAAGAAAAAAACACAAACTTCTTTAAGAACTTCTTTACCTGGAGTAGATCCTATTTAATTGTAGTGTGTGGGAGGAGTTTGTTTATTTAGATTGCCACTAATTAAAGAATAAGAATAACTCACTCTCGTTTAGAAATGGGGAAAGTGAGGCATGGAACAGTGCCAGAATCCTCTTTAGTCATTTTATTCCTTCCCTAATCACCTCCGTCATGTTCTTGTTATGTGACTATGGGAAAAAGAATACACTGATTCAACTTTGGAAGGTTTGGGCGGGCGGATCACCAGGTCAGGAAATCGAGACCATCCTGGCTAACACGGTGAAACCCCGTCTCTACTAACAATACAAAAAAAATTAGCCAGGTGTGGTGGCAGGTGCCTGTGGTCCCAGCTACTCGGGAGTCTGAGGCAGAAGAATGGCATGAACCCAGGAGGTGGAGATTGCAGTGAGCCAAGATCACACCACTGCACTCCAGCCTGGGTGACAGAGCAAGACTCCGTCTCAAAAAACAAACAAAAAACAGAAACAAAAGAATACACTATTCAGGTGGAAAATATGGTGCAGCTTATTAAGATCAATCGTTTGGTGATGACATTCATTCTGGTCAACTGTTGGCCTTGGGACTATTGTTTTTTTGGAAAATTTGAGGATGTATTGATTTCTTATTTCGAAAAGACACTAAATAAGCTATTACTTCAGAGCCTTCTTTCAAAATTATGTGCTTGGGAGTAGAACATCAGTTTGGGAAAAATCAGTATTGGAATTCCCTCATCTCTTGATTGAACTTCTTGATAACTACAAATAAATTCAGTAGACATTTGGTTCAGGGCAAATCCCCTGTAAATTTGTCAGAAAGTTTTACCTAGCCATAGCTGATTATTTTTTGCTTTTTTCTGTCCTGTTTTTGTCTAATTCTTTTTAATCTGTTAGAAAACTTATGCTCACTGAAGTTCGTCTGACTCTCTACCCAGAAGCCAGCGAGAACAGCCAAGTTTGAGAGTGGCATGTCATAGGCTAAGAAACAAGAGAATAGTGGTGCCTGCCTTTGAATCCTAAGCAAACACTGAGTTGCTGAGGTATATCTAGTCGCTAATTTCACAATGCATCAATGCCCTCCCTCTAAAATAAGAATGAAATCCTTCTGTAGAAACAGTTGTGAAGGTAGACAAGTCAGCTTGCTCTGGGACTATAAATTCATGGAAAGCAAATGATTGAGAAAGACATTTTAAAAATTTAAAACAAATAAATGTCATAAAAATTCTTCTTTACAGCCAATCGTGGTGGTACACAGCTGTAGTCCCAGCTACTCAAAAGGCTGAGGCAGGAGGATCTTTTGAGCCCAGAAGGCCGAGATTACAGTCTGCCATGATCTTGCCACTGCACTCCAGCCCAGGCAACAGAGCAAGGCTCTATCTTTAAAATAAGCTAGTTAATTAAAGTTTGGAAATTCCTCCTTATAGAACATATTTCTCAAAGTCATGGAAATATATTTATTTTTTTCTTTATTAGAATATGATGTGTACCAAATCACAGAAGTAATTACAGGAAGATGTTTCCACCAGGTGTCACCCTGAGTGTTGGAACCATTAAATATGACAGGGCTGTGGCCTCTATTGTAGTATTCATGAATGGTAGGTATTATCCTCTTCTGAGTGGCCCATGGGCACTGCTCCCTTTGCCTGGCACCGCATGCAGAGAAACCCACCTCAGATTACCCTGCTGAGGTAATCTGAGGTAAAAAGGTTAAAGGGTGGCTTTGGTGGTTGTGAAAGGATGTGAGGCAGGGTAGAAATCCCAGTAGACTCAGAATACTGGGTTACAATTTCAACTACACTCCCTGCTTTGTGACATTAGGCCAACCATTGAACTCTCAGAGTTCAATGTCTTTACCTGTAATATGAGATTAACACCACCAATCTGTTGTGATGATTCGGCAAGATAATATTTGGAAGTTTTTTACATAGGAGGTACCCAATAAGGATGTTTGAAATTCGCTGGAATATTAGTTGATGTGATGAGTTCTGGCTAAGGGCTACTAAAGAATTTTCAAAATCATAAATGTGCTTTGCCCAAACTCTAGTCTGTGGAATATGACCATGTCTTTAGTTGACAATAGGTTTTACATAAAAAGGATCCATTTCATAGTCAAATAAGCTTGATGAGATTCTACTGGATAGTCATGAAATGAACATTAGTATACTAAAGTTACCAAAAATTGTATCATTTAAAAAATTATCCAAGTGTTTAGTGGACTTTATTTTTTATCATAGAATACATTCTCACAGAATGTTTATTAAGTTCTTTCACAACATATTTTGGAAATTGCGATCATAGAATCTGGGACAGGTAAGAAATCTTAGAAATGATCTAGTTTAGCCAAGTGCAGTGGCTCACAACTGTAATCTCAGCACTTTGGGAGGCTGAGAAGGGCAGATCATTTGAGGCCAGGAGTTCGAGACGAGCCTGGCCAACATGGCAAAATGCCATCTCTACTAAAAATACAAAAAATAGCTGGGTGTGGTGGCACATGCCTGTAATCCTAGATACTCAGGAGGCTGAGGCATGAGAATCGCTTGAGCCCACAAGGCAGAGGTTACAGTGAGCCGATATTGTGCCAGTGCACTCCAGCCTGGGCAACAGATCGATTGAAACACCGTCAAAAAAAAAAAAAGGAACAGAAGAAAGAAGAAAATAAAACAAAAGAAATTATCTAGTTCAATCTCTGCTTCATTTTACTTTATATATAAGGATGTTGGGTTCACAGGGATTAAGGAGTTTATCCAAGATCACACCACTAATTAATGGCAAACCCAAGACCATAACACAGGTTGATGCTCTTTCCATTTACTACTTGCTGTGGTCTAGATTAGTGCTCTCTTGCACATAATAAATTACTTATCAGGAGTCTTTGGAATGGCCTTCCATATCCTTCTTCCTGTACACAAACCTTCTACCTTTCCGTGGTAAGATCCTCGACATTTAAACCCAACGATTCATTTTTCTTTTTTACTACATCAGTGAGCATGTGCAGCATCAACAGGATGCACATGCTGAGTTCAGTAATAGCTAGTTCTAAACACCAGATCATTCAACTATATTCCACTTATTTCAACTCCCCTGGACAAGTGTACTGAGTCCCTATTCTGTAGTAGCACAGTAAAAGTTCCAAAACTGAGAAGGACCCAGTCGTTCAGGGCTTTTAACTAAAGAGCCACGTTCAGAGGCTTTGGTAGTTTTGTGAGCTCTTTCATGATCTATAGCAATCCTGTTAAGTTTAGAAATGCACATTTCTTGTATATACATGGACAAAGATTAGTATTTATGGCAAGGCTAGAGTATATACCCTGCACCAAAACACACTAAAACATCACAATTTTTAGACTATATGTCTTCTCTTGCAATAATTATTACGTCTGCCTCCTTCTTCTGATCTTTCTATGTTTTATCCTCTCAAATATAATTTAAAAACTTTTTGTGATTAGGAGCTTTGTGCTTATACATTTTCACATAAAGTGGTTTAAGATATACTTGCTTATTTATATGGAGTTCAAGTGCAATATCAATCAAAATCATATTTGAGTAGGTAAAAGAGAAAAGGAAGGCTCAGAACTAAAACTTGGCACCACAAAAAATGGATGAATTAAACCCAACATAGGCATCTCCTCTTGAAAACACACCTCATTACCTATTTCAATGACAGTTCAGCACATTAGTTGATTCAACTGACAATATGAACCCTAAATCTAAAGAAATATCTCACTGTTATCAAACGATTTGTTTTATGACTGTTATATTCTATATTCTTTGTGTAAAAATAATCTTTGCAATAGCACACCCTTCTGAAATAGCAGTAAAAGCTGCTACCTTACATATGACATGTGTTTATTTTTGCTAAACAGTGGAACTCCGCCTCTTAATGACACATTTGGCTGTCTTAAAGTGACTCTTGAACTATAAATTGCCACATGCTGGAACAATGCTTTATTGTTTGCTGAAATCAAGTATTCTAGCACTCAGATTATTAGACAAGTACTGAGTAATATACCTAGAACAGAGTATGCAATCAGCATTGTACTAAACACATAAGCAAACAATTTCATGGGCAATAATGTCATTATTGCCTATTGCAGAAGACTCTCATGGTTCCCAATATTCATCTTTCCAATTCTTTAAGTCAACTTTCCTCATCCTATTAGTAGAATCCAAGAAGAAGCATTTGTTAAAAATGCTTTTTGGGAAGTATTTTTAATTGTTATTTTTAAACTTAAAATTTATGTGTTAAACATTGAAAATTAAGTATGTATTTATATTTTAAAAATTTGTGGGACCCTCAAAAATATCTACTTATTGGGTCACCCTGAGAAATTCATTCTGACAAGAAGTAGGGAATTAACAAGTGAGTCTGTAGGTATTTGTACTCTTTCTTTAGCTTTTGCTATAAACTCATCTTCCCTGACTTTAAAAATTATAGCTAAGTAATTTGGCATATGAACAGTATTTGTTTTGTAAAAAAAAATTTATCCCATTCTACTTTATACCATTTAAATTCAACATTAGTCTTCAAAAACAAACAAAATTAGTCTTCATTCTTCATTTTGTATTTATGGCAACATTTACTCTATGGCTTGGTACCTTGAAGGCACTTAAAAGGTTTCATCTTATTCTTCATCTTAACTGTTGAACTAAAAACTAAGCAAACGTTTGACTGAAAATTTTTCTTAAATGTTGCTACGCTTGTATTAAAGAACTAGGCATGTCACTTAGTGGCTAGGCTGAATAAAACAATCTACATTCTCTTCTCACTCAGCTAGAGTGTTCCCTGAAACACCATAACTTTGTGTTTTTTCTACACTGTTCTATAGCATTTTTAAATTCCCAGGATATCCAATACACAGGTTGTTTGTACCACTAAATCATGTCTATTTAAAATAATCATGAAGAATAGTCAAAAAATTCTTCATTGGAGTCAAAAAATCATATGCCCAACATATCTAGAGTGATTATGCATTGTCAAGCTTATGAGTTTTCAAGAGGTGCCCTTATGAGATAAGTTTAATTAAGCAAGGCATTATATTAATCATTTCTAATTACTCATGCAAATCACAGACGCTGTGGCCTGTGGTTTAATAGCCTGATTTGATCTCAAATGCAGCTGATGACTGTGGCCCAATGGGTATTTCAATGAACATGTCTTCACCGATCCTGTTACTGTATCTAGATATGATAATTGTTAGAAAGCTATAGCTTGATTTGTTATGTGTTACAAGTGTTTTAATTGCTGCGTTAAAGAGGCAAAGGTAAAAGAAAGCAAGAAAATGTTGTGTTGCTCCATGTAGCAATAAAGCACAACAGGCACACATACATCTATTTGCCTGTCTGTGCACTATTCAGGGTGCTAAGCCAGAGATACATTCCTTTTTGTGCCTCAACACAATTTCTAACTATTCACTCCAAAACTGATGTCAATGAAAAGATGTTATCTTGAGTTCAGCACCATAATTTACATATATAAATAAAGCACATAGAAGAATACCCAACTTATTCAACCTGATTCCAAATTTCTTCCCTGGGCTATTGGTTTAAAATTCAAAAATGAAGTTAGAAAAATAGAGACTCTTTACTCATTCCTGCTCTAAATTAATTGAGAACATTTATAATGGCAAAACTACCATGCTTTTGGAATGAATAAATAGTAAGCCCCTCTAATATGTGTATTACAGTTTTTCAAAATTTGGAGATTCTAAGTTATAAATTTATTTTTATTATATAATTTATAAATTAACTTTATAATATAATTTAAGGATGTTTATAATTTAGAACCTATAAATTTTGAAAAACAATAATATACATATGAGTGGGATTATTATTGATTTACTCTAAAAGCAGTGCTTGGGGAACATATAAATTCAAGGATTACCTTGTGGCCAAGCACAGTGACTCATGCCTGTAATCCCAGCACTTTGCGGGGCTAAGGCAGGAGGATCACTTGAGACCAGGAGCTGGAGTTCAGCGTCGGCAACATAGCAACACCCTGTCTCTGCAAAAAATAAAAACAATTAGTCGGTCATGGTGGTGCACACCTGTAGTCCTACCTATTCAGGAGGCTGAGGTGGGAGGATCACTTGAGCCTAGGAGTCAGAGGTTACAGTGAGCTATGATTGTAACACTGTACTCCAGCCTGGACGACAGTGTGAGACCTTGTCTCTAAAAAAAATGTATTAACTTGTAATAATTCCACAATTCCTCTAAAGGTTATATTCCATAGGTTGGAACCTCTGTACTTTTTCTGTTCTATAGCAAATTTAGGTCTATTTTGATCTTCCTACTCGAATGAAAATATTGAAACCCCCAGTACACCAAAAAAACAAAAGAAGTGTCTGTACCTACACTCCTTCCCCAAACAAACACACACACAGAAATGTCCCCTAAACATACATAGCCAATTTAGGCAAGCCTAAGTAGTCAGTCACAACCTCAATATCCTTTCCCCCTACCCTTTTTCCTCCGCTAAGAATCCTACTTTATTTTATAATCTGAGTCGTTTTAGTGTCCCCTTGGACATTCCCATGATCAAAATCTGCTGTCACGAAATGTCTTGATAAATCAGTTTGTACTAACGTATAAAGGACAGATAAAGTTTAATTTGCATTTGAATAGAGATCACTCTGTTTCACTAAAGGAGTTAGGCTCTGACCTGAAATTTTAGGCATCAGCAAATAGATGATAGGAGGGCCTATTCAAGGAAATTGAGCCTTCCTAGTACCCATGAAATCACACTAAATGTTCGTTCACTTATTCACCCACCTTGGAAACAGAGAAACAGAGCAATCTAGTAGTTATAGGCATAGGTTCTGGAACCAGACTGCCTGAGTTTAAATTTAGTCTCAGACATCTTCTTTATATACGTGACTTTGGGCATGAATTTTTGTAGCTTCCTTGTGCCTCAGTTACCCCAGCTGTGGGGTATAAAGAAAAGGGGATAAAGATATAGCATCTGGCCAGGTGCAGTGGCTCACATCTGTAATCCCAGCACTTTGGGAGGCCGAGGCAGGTGGATCACGAGACCAGGAGATCCAGACCATCCTGGCTAACATGGTGAAACCCCATCTCTACTAAAAAAAAAAAAAAAAAAAAAAATACAAAAAATTAGCTGGGCGTGGTGGCGGGTGCCTGTAGTCCCAGCTACTGGGGAGGCTGAGGCAGGAGAATGGTGTGAACCTGGGAGGCGGAGCTTGCAGTGAGCCGAGATCGCGCCACTGCACTCCAACCTCGGCAACAGAGCGAGACTCCGTCTCAAAAAAAAAAAAAAAAAAAAAGCATCTACATCATAGAGTTGTAGATTATAAAATCCCATGATTTGATGCATGTGGAAAGCTTAGAAAATACCACCTACATGGTTAGTGCTCTGGATGTGTTTAATATATAAAATAAATACTAGTGTGGCTGACTCTGAATCTTTGTGGTCTTTCTGTCAAAAACAAGCCTGAAATCTCTGAAGATGTCTTAGTTATTCTCGAGGACTAGACTGTGCAGTTGGATCCCTGATTAGGGTGGATTAGACAGAGAGGTTACAATGACATTCTTTAAAGTATAACGAATTTAAGGGGGCACTTGATAGGGAAAGTCAATGGGACGGGAGGGAGTTTTCCTTAAATAAGAATTAAACCATTTTCTTAAATCACAGTTTTTCATGACCATCAGTAAGTATTGTATAATAGTTTAATGGATGTGAATATTTTACTCTCTAAATACACAGTTTCTACCTTTCTGCCTTCTCATCTTCCTATGTTCCCCCTTTGTTTTCCTCTTTTATTTATTTGACAAATATTACTGGACAACAGGAGGAAGAGAACGTTGGCTGGAAATGGGTGCAGATAAAGAGCTCAGTTAGGGACACTGGGTTTTGAGTTGCTCAGGTGACTATGTCTAGCTGGTGGTTGAATTCAGTGGTCTGCGCTCAAGAGGGGATCGGTGCTCAAGATAGAAAAGACATTCCCCTGCATGTAAATGGAAGTTAAAGATAGGCTGCCCACTAGAAATCATGCAGATTAAAGGGAAGTTCAAAGAAAAACCCTAGATAAATGCTCACTGCCAGTTTTAAAGTGGAGATAGAAGAGGAACCAGTGAAGAAAAGTGAGGCAAGATAAAGGGTGGGACAAGAACCCAGTGTGTTTGCTTCATGGAAAGCAAAGGAACATCGTATTTCTAAAAGGAGTTTGAGTGATGAAAGCAATTTCTGGTAAGACAAGGAGTAAACTGTCCAGGGGATATGCAATGAGGTCATCTTAATGATCTTTGCCAAAGTAGTTTCAGGGAAGTGATGGGAATGAAAGTCAGATTTCAGTGAGCTGAGGAGTGAATTAGAGGTGAGGAAGTAGAGAGTATGAGCTGTGCTGAGAAAGAGAAAAGCAAATAACTTGATAGGCTGAGTAACATGGCTAATATGACCTAATATACCATTTGTTGCCTAAGCCATTGTGTTTACTCTCAAAAGCCTACCTCTTTTCAGTCCTAGGACTGCAATGCTAGCAGATCCACTACCCTCCCAAATCTTGGTTCATAATCAGCTTCCCCTGAATGATTTAAAGAAAGACAAGTAATATAGAATAAGCACCTGATACATAGAAGCCAAACTTACTTTTGAATAGGGATGTCCAGGCAAAGATAGCCAGCAAAGATTCAAGTTGCAGTGTTAGGAGTGAGATCAGGGTAGCAGGTATGTACCTAGATTTAATCAAAAGAGAAATGATAGTTGAAGTGATAAGAAAAAGCAGGTAACTGAGGAAATACACTGTAAAGGGAAAATATACAGCTCATCGTTTAAGCCTCCAAGTTCAGTGGAGAGAAGAAGGAAGAAGAGTCAATGACTGAGATGAGGTGGAAAGAATCAGAGTTAGTAGGAGGAGATCTAGAAGAGTCAGCAAAACAGAAGCCCAGAGAGGAGGGATTCAAACATGGGAGGGATGAAGGACAAGCCGAAAACAGCAGCCAGGTCAAGGAGAAATGGATAAGAAAATTCATTTGTTTGAAGATCCGTTTGATCTCTCTCATATATATGCTTATATAATATAATATATAAAAATACAAAATTATTAATATATACACACATACATATACATAAACACATGTACTTATGTGTATATATATTTATGTATATGTATGTATATGATTTATTGAGATATAATTCACATACCATGTAATTCACAATTGGTACACAGTTCGGTGGTTTTGAGTATATTGACAGAGTTATCTAACCATCACCAATCTATTTGCCTGTGTGATAAGATAATTGATGAGATGATTGCTGTAAACCTTGGGAAAAGCAGTTTCTGGGTAATAACTAGGAGTGGGGCAGTTATCGAGAAATTAAGAAAGAGTGAGTAATGAGTGATGAGTACCTGGAGTCACTAAATATTTGGTTCTTTTCTGAAATTCTGAAAAGAGTGAGACAAGGATAGTAGTCAAGGGATATCTGAGTCAAAAATGGATTTGCTTTTGTTACTTTGGGTTTTTCTGTGTGACCAGCTCTTGTTTGTTTAAGAAAGGGAGCAAGCACAGAAAGAAGACAAGTGTACTTCCCTTTCGCATTGTAGAAAGTGAATGTGGAGTTGTACAAGACAGTGTTTGATGGAATGAAGCAATGAAAGAAGCAGGGTAGAGGGAAAGTAGTTAGAGCTTTAGGTCTTAAAAGGAACAAAGCCCTTAACTATTTAGAAGTTGTGAAGAGGGCCACCTTAAGTTTTTGCAAATTGAACTCTTTATGCTGTATTAAAGAATATGTTTTCATAACAACTTTTTTTAGGTCTCATCAGATGATGCGTGAGAGAAGACAGGGTGAGAAAAGACAGGGCTCTTGGCAAACCATGAAGTGTAAAGTAGCAACCAATTACTGAGAACCTACAATAAGCTAGGATGGTGCTAGGTGCATTACAGACATTTAAAAACAAACAAAGGGGTTGTTTCCAAGCTGAGTTCCCTGGAATCTTTTTGAAGCCCAGCGTTTAATCTTTAAAGTGAAACCTAACTTATCACTAATCAAATATCTACCAATCTAAAAGTCATATAATATGTTAGATATTGCTGTATATGCCAGCTCATATAGTTTAAGGCTCAAAAATTCCCATTTTACCTTTAAAGTAAACTTTCTGAGATTAATTGTCAAGGCCACGCAATTAATAAGCACTCAGTCCGAATCATACTCATTCGCCCTCTTCTTTTCACAAGGCTACACCATGAAGGTCAACAATTATTTTACATGATTGCTTTGAGCACTAAATGAGTTTGAGGGATGTCTTTCCTAGAATCCATCCTTATTCTCTCCTCATTCTTTCCCTATCACTGAAGCATTAACACTTCTCTTTTGTTTTCTTTTTATCTTTGTGCCTACCTTTCTAGATGTGTGGCATTTCAATTCTCTCTAACTCACTGACTGTTGTTGACTTTCTGGTTCACTCATGTCTTTCTTTCATTTCTCTCTTTTTTTTTTTTCTGTCTTCTCTCCTGAATACTGAAATTCTTCTCTAATATAGGAATATTATGACTTTGTGTTTGGCCCCAACTCTAATTGTTCTAGAATTTTAGGAATTTTAGTAGTGGTATATCAGAGAGGTGCTTGCTCTATTTATTCTAAATATTTTTTAGCAAAACCAAACACAGGCTGGGGGCAGAAGAGAAACTTGAATCAAACAAAAGCCTCAGCAAACATTTTTTCAGAGTTAATTTGAATTATTTAAAATGGATTCCTGGGGAAGTGGCATTTTGTCAACATGCTTAAAAATGTATATTCAAGGATGTTGTAGTGTATTGGGACTAATATATTCTCCGTATCATGAAGCGTTGCAGCATTTAGTTGAACATTTCCATAATGTTGCCAGCACTTCTTTATTTCACTTGAGAAGTAGGGAAAAATAATGTTTTAAAAATATTTATTGTTAGATTTAATTATACTCCAGACACATCTTAGTTGTTTGGATGGGATTGTGACATTGTGTATTGCAAAACCAATCACTTTATAAATTATCCTCATTTACATTGTATAGTTTTATGAATTTGATTATTAGTACAGAGAGTTCATTCCTTTAAAAGTAACAGTTCTTTCGGTTTACACTCAAACAAAGAAGTGAGATTTTTGTAATTACCCTTTTTTCTTAAAAAAAGATATTTTACAGCCTCTGAGCTGTGAAATATGGGGATCTCATTAGTTGCACTGAGATTTCCCTGTTACCACTCCAGCTGTTGACTATTTACTACGGGAGCTGGTGCTAGTGGTAGGCAGAGAAAAATGCTCATTTAGTTAGAGCTTTCCAGGTGAAGCGTTCTTTGAGGTTGATTTGAACATTTGCCTATAATGAGCAAAAGCTATGCATTATTCAAATCATGAAAAACTACAAGAATCTTCCCAAATTGTTCAGTGTTTTGTCAAATAAAATAAGTGCTAGTATTTAGAGGAAAATTCCATTACACTAATTAACTTAAAAAATTCATTAGCTAACACATGTTTTATTTAAATGATAAATACTAGGAAATCCCATATCTCACTGTTTATAGACACATTTTAGCACATTTGTGATTATTTCACTCATGGACAAACTAAGCTGTTGTTTACAGTTGTAATTATTATATAATCTAGCTTTCAAAGTCTCAACTGCATCTTAAATTATCATAAAAACAGTTGTCTATATCCCATTGACCTCTGGGGACATATTTTGTGAATGGTATTATTTTCTTAATGTGAAGTGATGTGCTGTGGTGGCTAAAGCCCCAGCTCTAAGAAAGACAAATCTGGGTTCGAATCCTTGATTAAGCACTTAAGAGATAAGCAAATTCAGCAAGTTGTCTGACCTCTCTTAGTCTATTTTGTCACTTGTTATGCAGGCCCAGTGATCCTAGTAAATGGATTGATTGATTCATGTTAATTACCTGGGTCATTAATTAATAACTTTACTCAGAAGTGGCATATCTATGTAAACTGTGTGGTAGAATAAAGGGTGACCTTTTTATTCCATTTTTCTTTGTATTTTCTAATTTTTCTCATATTAAATATAATTTTTTAATCAGCAAAAATAAAGATTATACAAAAGTACATAAGAGGTAATAGATACTAAGGAATTATTTTGAAAGGCAGGATAAAATAATTAAAGAATTTATCAAGGGAAAGGGTGATCTAGTCTGTGTCTATCCACTGCCTTCCCCTTCACCTCCCAACTGAAACCTCTGGAAACAGGTTCTGCCATCCGCTGGCACACTCCTAGGATTTCTGTTTGCATAGCCAAGAAGTGCAAGAGCCATGTTGCGAGATTTTCAATTTGATCGTCTCACATGAGGGTACCAGTGTTTTCAGACTGGAAACAGCATGTTAGTACACTTTGGCAATAATGCATTAAATACAGATGGGTTTGTTTTTAGCCAAATATGTATCATACAGCCAACAGCTGTTTAGATATTGCCAACGGTCTGTTTAGTACACAGAGAGACTGTGGGTTTCTTTTCTACTCAAGAAAATCTAGTGAACCTATGTAAAATCTCCACAACCGTGTCCAGTTGGCTACAAAACAGGAGACAGATCATCAGCACACTGACAAAAGCCTGCAACGATTTCTTTTTACTCCCAAATTTTATTATAATGAGGACAATTAGCATATCTTAAATCTATCTAAGTAATAACACAATCCCAGCTCTTTCAATAGATAAAGAATCCCTTATGATCTCAGCAATAATCCAATTAATGATAATGTTTGGTATTTTTTAATGTTTTCTTTAAAAGTATGAAGCACTGAGGAATATGCAGAGCCCTAGAAACATAGGACATCGCTGCTCCTGCCCACATCTCCCTCAAGTGTGAGAAGCGATGAGCATATGAAACATAGTATTTCTCATTGCCTAAGATTTTATTTTAATTACTATTAAAGACATCCAGATACAGAATTAAAAGACCATATGTATTATCTGAAAAGTGAAAAAACAAAACGGTATTTTATTCCATCAAATTCATGGCTGATTTAATAAAGGACTGTCACAATATAAACAAGCCAAACAAAATACAATTTTATATGTTCAAGAGCTCCCCTCCCCCACTCCCTTTTGTAAACATTGTTTTTGCACTTGAAGCAAGGGAAAACATTTATTTACACTCAGGATTTTAGGGATACTGCCACCATGTGGTAGTAAAGAAACATCTCATCAACTCCAATAATTTTTTTACTCCATGACCATATATTTCTATTTCTTAACAAATATAATTCTTTCACTTAAATGGATAAAGCTACAATACTTTAAGCAACCACCAAAAGTAATGCATTTGTCAACCTATAGGAAGAAACTAAGGCAAAATTAATATAAGTAGAGAGTTTATTTGGGCCCAGGTTTAGAACTGCAGCTCAGGAGTCACCAATTCAAATTGCCCTGAATATATGCACCAATTAGCAGCAGTTACAAGTGGGTTTTTAAAGAGAAAAAAAGAAGTTAGGGGATAGTTTCTAAGCTGTTTACCAGAAGTTTATGTTGGTTCATTAAAATAACATCAGCTATTGATTGGCTATATATTGTTTCTTATATTATAAATTTCAGGAACTTGAAGATAGTGGTTGAGGGTCACATTGTGTAACTTGTAGTAACATTTGAAGAAATTTATCAGCTAGTCTGGAAACTACAGGAAAGAAAGTAAAAACAAAATACCTTTCAGCAATTACCCCTGGGCATGGTTGCAAAGGATGTGACTGAATCCTCAAGCTCCTGTTTCTCTGGGCCTGATAAATTTTGCAGACCTCACATTCTTCAGACTGCTCCAAGTCACTTTTCTTTCTCACATCTTAAATCAGTTTAAAATCATAGAGGAGAATTAACTCTTATAACGCTTGCAGAGATGATCCAGATTTTGTGGGTCCTAAGATTTGGAAAATTGGGGGGATGTCTTCTTTTGAGAAATGTCTATACAAATCTTTTGCCTTTTTTGATTGGGTTATTAGATTTTTTCCTACTCAGCCGTAAAAAAGAATGAGATCCAGTCATTTGCAACAACATGGAAAGACCTGAAGATCATTATGTTAAGTGAAATAAGCCAGGCACAGAAAGACAAACATCACATGTTCTCACTTATTTGTGGAATCTAAAAATCAAATCAATTGAACTTATGGACATAGAGAATAGAAGGATGGTTACGAGAGGCTGGGAAGTGTAGTGGTGGGGGCGCTGGGGGAAGATGAGAATGATTAATGTGTGCAAAAAATTTAGAAAGAATGAATAAGACCTATTTGATACCACAATAGGGTGACTATAGTCAATAATAATAATAATATATTTTAAAATAACTTAAAGAATGTAATTGGATTGTTTGTAACCCAAAAGATAAATGCTTGAGGGGCTGGATACTCCGTTCTCCATGATGTGCTTATTTCACATTGCATACCTGTATCCAAACATCTCATGTACACTATGCATACATGTACCATGTACCCACAAAAAAATATATTTAAAATAATTTTTAAAAAAATTTTTAAAGAAGAAAACAGGCTGGGCATGGTGGCTCATGCCTGTATTCCCAGCACTTTGGGAGGCTGAGGCAGGTGGATCACCTGAAGTTGGGAGTTCCAGACCAGCCTGATCAACATGGAGAAACCCCGTCTCTACTAAAAATACAAAATTAGTCGGGCATAGTGGCACATGCAGCTACTCAGGAGGCTGAGGCAGGAGAATTGCTTGAACCTGGGAGATGGAGGTTGCAGTGAGCTGAGATTGTACCATTGCACTTCAACCTAGGCAACAAGAATGAAATTCCATCTCAAAAAAAAAAAAAAAAAAGAAAAAGAAAAAGAAAAAAACAAAACTTGAGCTCTTAAGAATACAAAATTAAATACAAAATTATTTATAAAAGGGAATAATATTTATTTTGAATTAGAAATCAAATAACCACCAATCACTTCAGGCTTGGAGATTCTTATCTCCTATTTCTGAAATTTCTAGACATTTTCCCCAAAAAACTCATTGAGAAATACTTCCTCTTTGCAACTTGGGCTCCCTGCTCCTCTTCACTTACTTGATAATACCATACAACACCCAGCATTCATTGGGGTCTGTATTAGTCTGTTCCCATGCTGCTAGTAAAGGCATACCCAAGACTAGGTAATGTATAAAGGAAAGAGGTTTAATTAACTCACAGTTCCACATGGCTGGGGAGGCCTCACAATCACGGTGAAAGGCAAAAGAGGAGCAAAGTCACGTCTTACATGACGATAGGCAAGAGGGCATGTGTGGGGGAACTTCCCTTTATAAAACCATCAGATCTCTTGAGACTTATTCACTATAATGAGAATAGCATGGAAAAAAATCACCCACGTGATTCAGTTACCTCCCACCAGGTCCCTCCCGTGACACATGGGGATTATTACAATTCAAGGTGAGATTTAGGTGGGGACACAGAGCCAAATCATATCAGGGTCTGTGCAAAGGGAGAGCTTGGAAGCTTAAGTCTTATTAGCTTTATGACAATCTCATCAAAAGGTAATTTTTGGCATTTCTTAGGATTTGCTTGCAGCTGTGAGGCTGTCCTATAAAATGAAGACAAGCAACTGTCTATATTCCTTCTCAACTCCAAAATACTTTTATAACTTTCTAGCTAACCCAAAAGCATTGTTATTAAATATTTACAGTAATCTCATGTTTTAAAGATGTTAAACATCCCTGGTAATTATTCCTTTGTTTCTAGTCTCTGGGCATTTCAGTATCTCTTAATGTGGCTGCCTCCTCACATAATTCTCCCCTTTGCTGTCTAGCCAGGAAGGACTGCTTCTCTTTTCAAACCAATAGAGCATCACTAAACTGCCTAGCTCTTACCTGCAGGGCTAAGGAAATCTGTAAGGACACTGATTGGAGAGGAAAAGCCATTGAAAAGGTAGGAGCAAGAGGGAGAAAGCAAAGCTCAGAACTTTCTGGAAAACATAAGTTTGCATCTATCTGATTACTGGTATTTTTCTTTAGATGTTGAAAATCTTAAATAAAGACAAAATATTTTGTTGGTTAAACGATTTCTTAGGTAAACATAGCAAATATTCTCAGTCCTGGTGTAGGTTATATTTTTCTACACAATAGAGTAGACACTTGAAATTTCTCTGTGGAAGAAAACCTGGAAACAAATTAGCTTTTAATCATGGGCTTTTTGAAATCATCAATTTTGTTATTAGACCTTTTCTCCCTCCTACTCTTCCTTTATCTTTTTTCTGCCCCATCACATCCCTGCTTTAAATGCTGTCTTAGGATCATATAATGGGACCCCTCCTAAGATATGTGTAAGCCAAACACATGAATTTGGAATAGGAGTTTATTCTTTCAGTGTCCCATTGTAAACAGAAAGGAGATGGGGGGAGAAAAAAAAAAAGCAAACCAAAAAAGGTATTGCTCTTCTTCTGACTTCAGTGAACACACAGATTTCTGGAAGGCAAAGGGAAGGGCAAAAGTAGCCACACAAAGGCCTAACAAACTGTTTTCTATTTACAACTGATATTAAATATTTGATTTTGTAAAAAGCAGGAATCAATGAAGAAGTTAATAAATTTCCAAACTTTTTTTTTTAATGTAAAGGCAAGGTTAGCAAAGGCAATTTGCATTTAAGTCAACACTTACTTGTCACATGTACTTTTCCCAACTCGAATAACCTGTGACATGAGAAAGATGAAAGCCATAGGATGTGTATAATCATCTTTAAAAGGTAATTGGCCGACACTTGCAATAAATATTTATTAAGGAAAGAAATGTCCTTTTCTGTTTTTCTGCCACTATGATTCCTGCTTCATCTCTGTCGCGTTCCCACTTCCTCATTAACTATGACTTCTCTTTTTATGATAGGGTTCAGACCACATCCTGATGGCAGAGAGAGGATGAAGGAGCCTTGAAAAGAAGTCTTGCTTCGTGTGTGTGTGTGTGTGTGTGTGTGTGTGTGTGTGGTGTGTGCGCATGTGTGTGTGTTTTAACCCAATACGCTGCTTTTCGAAGCTGTAGGAAAAGAGTCTGGGACAGAGCTAGATGCCTGGATGTTTGGAAAGGAAAAAAGAGAAAAGAGCATCAATTAGAAGATGGGCTAACATCAGATTGGCTTTGCTGCTCCTCACTTCCCACCTCTATCTATCTATCTATCTATCTATCTATCTATCTATCTATCTATCTATCTATCTATCTAGAGACAGGGTCTGGCTCTGTCACCCACGCTGGAGTACAGTGGTGGGATCTTGGCTCACTGCAACTTCTGCTTTCTGGGTTCAAACGATTTTCATGCCTCAGCCTCCAAGTACCTGAGATTACAGGCAAGCACCACCATACCTGGCTAATTTTTTTGTGTTTTTGATAGAGATGAAGGTTTTACCATGTTGGCCAGGCCAGTCTGGAACTCCTGGCCTCAAGTGATCCGCTGTCCTCGGCCTCACAAAGTGGGGGGACTACAGTGTGAGGCACCATGTGCAGCTCCTATCACCTTTTAAATCATTCCCACGTTATATGTTCTGCTTTAGCTCTTTACACTGTAACAGTCCGTCTTTGAAAATTGTGAAAAATCATTACATCAAGAGGGAAATCAGGCATTTGTCCAGTGGCCTTTCAGAACACTTAATGTGAAACAGAAAGCAAAGTTTAAGATCACCCTTTTTCCATTTGGCTTGTTGTGTTGTCCAGCCATTAACATTTCAATGACCCACTGAAATACAAGCCCCACCCAAATCCTATAAGCCCTTGCAAAGTTGCCTTGAAAAACATTGTTTTGTCCCTAGCCATTAATTACCTTTTTATATCCTTTTCCTCTCTCATTCCATTAGCTGCTTTTTGTCATGACATCCCTTGTCATGACTAATCTTTGCCATGGTTTTAAAAAATGCTGTTATATTTAATAATTACTTTATTTTAAGTAGATCTATTCTAAAATCTCTCCTCACCTCATTCATAAAGTATCTTTCAACCATTAAAATGGGAAGAGAAGTTTCTTCCTATAAACCAGCACTTTATCTTGTGGCATATAAATGCCACATCTCTCTCTCCATTCTCAATCCACATAAAATGGAATTTGGGTTCAATATGATTTCTAAGTGTAACTGATAACCCTGCCTTCCCCCCACCCTCAGTATCTATGCAATAAAGAGCAAAATTTTAGAAGATGCCTTATTATATAGTTTCATTTATTTCAAACTTCATATTATGCTTTAAAAGCCATAGGGTACATTTTAGGTGAATTGAAAAGTATTGTGACTGAGACTATTCAGGCATCTCTGGAGATTATTGGAAATGCACTGAAATATCACAGAAGCAAGGCTGTAAATATCTGATGTAAATAATGTAGAAGAACTGCTCAAAAATGATTAGGGTACACCTTCTATTTAACACCTGATATTTAAGTGCCAATTATGTAAAACATCTTGACTGTATTAATTTGATCTAATACAAGTCTGCAATGCTACAAAACAATGACTTTAATGTTTCTTGGAACTGGTCATCTTCCATTTAAGTAATTAAATTATATTGTTCATATCAGAGTTGCCCATATCAGGCCTATATAAATCCCAAAGGGCCTGGGTTGATCTCCTTTGGAAAAGTACCACCTACTGAGTCTCAGTGTGCTTTAATGAGGTATTTACAAGGAACCCTTTCCCCTCTCCCAGGCTTAAAGTACACACTTCTTACAAATAGAGTCCATTTCAATTGCTATCTGAATGTTTACCTTTAATATCTCTATAAGGATTAAAACAAACATTTCTGATTAAATGTTAACTTACTTTAGGCATTTACTGTAGGCATATCAGACATCCCCATTATGGTTTGTATGTGAACAGTACTTAATGTGAAAATTACTTTTTAAAAAATTGACAAGGAGATGGAATAACTCATTTCAACATTTCTGCAGGTCTCACCTTTTGGAAAGCTCATTACTGAATCAGGGAATGTTAAATTATATGTTCAAAACTCTAAGCTGCCAAGAATACAGTGTTGCACTTTAGAATACTAAAAGATTTCACTTACTTTATAAAATATTGCATAATTTATAAAATGTAAATTAAAGTCCTATTGGAAGTGGCGTTGTGAAAGGATGCTATCAAGTAATTCTTAATAGATTTTCCACCATTCCACTGTATCACTGGACACTTGAACAGTCATAAGTGTCACCAGCAGCTGAATCTTTCCATTTTCAGTTAACTTTAATTTGTTTTTTGTATGTCTTTTAAACCTATGGCTTATAGTACTTTGGCTTTATTTAGTTTGGCTATAGGTTCCTTAACTCAGGTGATGCGAAAGAGAGCAAGTTAACAAACCTTGTTATTCCCAAAGTCAGTCCTTTCAGCTGAGTCTTTTGATTTTGTCCACTTTGATTTTTCCACCTCCCTCTGTCCCACTGCCACTACCTATTTCAGGCCACCATCATCTATCACCTGGGTTACTGTAATTGTATCCCATCTGGATTCTCTATGCCTAGTCTTTTCTTTCTCCATCTATTCTCCACACTTAAGACAAAGACATCTAAAAGCAAATTTAATCATCTTGTTATTTATCTCTCAAAGCCCTCAAAGTAGCTCCTCTTTAAGGTCCCACCTCCCCAATATTACTGGAGTTGATTGCAAAAATAATATAATAAAGAAAGAAAAAGAAAACGACCATTTCTTTTATCTTGTACGCATGTGTCTTAGCCATGTGGCTGCTACTCCACCCATCAAAATGTAGATTCTATTTCTCTCCCTCTTGAATCTTAGCAGAACATGTGAGAAGCTTTGACCCAGAGATCGTAGGGAAGTAATTAGTAAAAGTTCTTAGCTTAGTCATCAGGAAGGCTTCCACTTTTGTTTTGGTTGTCTTGGAATGCTGCCCCGGGACTGCCATAGGAAGAAGCCTAGTCTGGCCAACTGAAAGATGGGAGGCCTCGAGGGACAGAGACAACCTTTCTCAGCTGAAGCTCCATAGACCCAACAGCCAGCACCAACTACTGTGCTAAGCACAGTGTGCATAGTGCACATCTTACCATAGTTTTAAAGGCAAGGAAACCAAGGGAGGTTGCAAACAGCCACCCTAAGATTAGGCATGAAATGTTGGAGCGAGATTCTAAATCCAGACACTTAACACCCACGACACCAACTCTTAACCACCATGCTACATAAACATTAACTTTAAATACATCCCATGTTGCAGACTGTTTTCCCCCACTTAATTATGTCTAACTGTGTGACCTTTTTATTGATCCTTAACCCAACCATATCAAAGTTTCCTCATGGCTTAAGACACATAATAGATCATATACCTATAGCACTTACCACAGTTCCCAGAATATGTTAAGTGCTGAATAATGATGGCTGCTATTTTTAGGCAGGTAGCAAATCTCTACACTTTGGGTATGAATTTTATTTTTCCAAACAGTCAAAAGCAATTTTGGTACTAAGAAAAGTGAGTAGAATGGGTAATTCCAACTTTAATTTCATTTTGCTTCAATAACAAAATATACTGATAAAGGAGAAAACAACCTATCTTGTCTGTGTTAGAACCTGGGTTTGACAGCCATTCCCTGAAGGTTTTGACAATAGATAGTATCACCAGTAAAGTGCAAGATAATACCCATAAAGTGACCCACTCACATGGAGGTATAAGTTCTGGAATGCTTATGAAAATATCAGTCTTTCTTATGGACAAACCTTACATAAGTTTATATGAACTTTATTTTAATAATAAACAAAAATATGGATAATACCTGGTTTTGAATATTCAGTATATTGATAAGTGCATAAGATGTGCTTGAGTTGGCTGAGTTCAGCTGTGCTACTGACAGTAGCCACGGAGTCATTCGAAGATGAAGCAACTTGAAGGTCAAAAGATTTTTACCATCTTCAAACTGTTTACTCGAGAACCTTTTTTTTTTTTTCTTCTTCTTCTTTTTCTTTTCTTTTTTTTTTTTTTTTTTTATTGATCATTCTTGGGTGTTTCTCGCAGAGGGGGATTTGGCAGGGTCACAGGACAATAGTGGAGGGAAGGTCAGCAGATAAACAAGTGAACAGAGGTCTCTGGTTTTCCTAGGCAGAGGACCCTGCGGCCTTCTGCAGTGTTTGTGTCCCTGGGTACTTGAGATTAGGGAGTGGTGATGACTCTTAACGAGCATGCTGCCTTCAAGCATCTGTTTAACAAAGCACATCTTGCACCACCCTTAATCCATTCAACCCTGAGTGGACACAGCACATGTTTCAGAGAGCACAGGGTTGGGGGCAAGGTCACAGATCAACAGGATCCCAAGGAAGAAGAATTTTTCTTAGTACAGAACAAAATGAAAAGTCTCCCATGTCTACCTCTTTCTACACAGACACGGCAACCATCCGATTTCTCAATCTTTTCCCCACCTTTCCCCCCTTTCTATTCCACAAAACCGCCATTGTCATCATGGCCCGTTCTCAATGAGCTGTTGGGTACACCTCCCAGACGGGGTGGAGGCCGGGCAGAGGGGCTCCTCACTTCCCAGTAGGGGCGGCTGGGCAGAGGCGCCCCTCACCTCCCAGACGGGGCGGCTGGCCGGGCGGGGGGCTGACCCCCCCACCTCCCTCCCGGACGGGGCGGCTGGCCGGGCGGGGGGCTGACCCCCCCACCTCCCTCCCGGACGGGGCGGCTGGCCGGGCGGGGGGCTGACCCCCACCTCCCTCCCGGACGGGGTGGCTGCCGGGCGGAGACGCTCCTCACTTCCCAGACGGGGTGGCTGCCGGGCGGAGGGACTCCTCACTTCTCAGATGGTGCGGCTGCCGGGCGGAGGGGCTCCTCACCTCTCAGACGGGGCGGCCGGGCAGAGACGCTCCTCACATCCCAGACGGGGCGGCAGGGCAGAGGCGCTCCCCACATCTCAGATGATGGGCGGCCGGGCAGAGACGCTCCTCACTTCCTAGATGGGATGGCGGCCAGGCAGAGACGCTCCTCACTTCCCAGACGGGGTGGCGGCCGGGTAGAGGCTGCAATCTCTGCACTTTGGGAGGCCAAGGCAGGCGGCTGGGAGGTGGAGGTTGTAGCGAGCTGAGATCACGCCACTGCACTCCAGCCTGGGCACCATTGAGCACTGAGTGAACGAGACTCGGTCTGCAATCCTGGCACCTCGGGAGGCCGAGGCTGGCGGATCACTCGTGGTTAGGAGCTGGAGACCAGCCCGGCCAACACAGCGAAACCCCGTCTCCACCAAAAAAATACGAAAACCAGTCAGGCGTGGCGGCGCGCGCCTGCAATCGCAGGCACTCGGCAGGCTGAGGCAGGAGAATCAGGCAGTGAGGTTGCAGTGAGCCGAGATGGCAGCAGTACAGTCCAGCTTTGGCTCTGCATCAGAGGGAGACCATGGAAAGAGAGGGAGAGGGAGACCGTGGGGAGAGGGAGACGAGGGAGAGGAGGGAGAGGGAGAGGGAGTTTTTTTTTTTTTTTTTTTTTTTTTTTAGTTTTCCATAGGTTATTGGGGTACAGGTGGTGTTTGGTTACATGAGTAAGTTCTTCAGTGGTGATTTGTGAGATTGTGTTGCACTCATCACCCAAGCAGTATACACTGCATGCTATTTGTAGTCTTTTATCCCTCGCCCCCCTCCTACCCTTCCCCCCAAGTCCCCAAAGTCCATTGTATCATTCTTATGCCTTTGCGTCCTCATAGCTTAGCTCCCACATATCAGTAAGAATTTCCAAGAAGGATGGATCTAACTTAGGTGTGACGTGGTGGCCAGCTAAGTGTCTTTTCTCTTATTTTACATATTAAGGGAGAAATTATTCTGTCCCTAAGAGACCTTTTGTTTCTTTAGAGAATAAAACCCAAAGTCCTCAACATGGCATCCCAGCTCTTGGTGACTGATTTTCTTTCTGCTTTATGGATGCCTTCTCAGTGCATCTTGCCTTTCCTGACTTCTGTGCTTTATTCATGTTTAGCTCTACTGGGATGTGCATTTCACTTTCCCATTCTTCCCCACTGTATTTAATCTTTCCTTATTTAAAAATTTCAACATCTGTCAAATTATATGACATTTTCCCCAGGAAGTCTTCTCTATGCCCTTAGTAAAAACAATCTTTTCTCTTAAATTTTTCAATAAAATTCTGTTGTGAGAGAATCTCTGCTCAAAATATAACAGAGATTATTTTAATAGCATTTGGAATTAATAATAGTAACTACATGATACGCTTGTTGGGGGATGCTGTGGTTCAGTATATGTGCCTTTGCAAATTCATATGTTAAACTTATTTTTCATAAGTTTAGTTTACATACATTGAAATGTATTATACGTAAGCTTACTTATGAATAAGTATATCTATAAACTTATTATTTATAAGTTTATGAGTAATATGTTTCAACACTGCATTATTATTCATAAGTTTCAACATATGAATTTGCAGGAGATAGATA
This sequence comes from Homo sapiens, assembly GCF_000001405.40. NCBI lineage: Eukaryota > Metazoa > Chordata > Mammalia > Primates > Hominidae > Homo > Homo sapiens. Next base: position 117,049,031 of record NC_000003.12, on the reverse strand, counting down.
AATTTCTTTTTTCTTTCTTTTTTTTTTTTTTTAGACAGGGTCTCACTTTGTCACCCAGGCTGGTGTTCAGTGGTACAATCAGCTCACTGCAGCCTCCACCTCCCAGGCTCAAGCAATCCTCCCACCTCAGCCCCCCAAATAGCTAGGAACACAGATGTGTGCCCCCACACTAAGCTAATTTTTTGCATTTTTTGTAGAGATGGGGTTTTGCCATGTTTCCCAGACTGATCTCGAACTTCTGGGCTTAAGTGATCTGCCCACCTCAGCCTCCCAAAATGCTAGGATTACAGGCGTGAGCCACTGCACTCAGCCTAGATTCATAAGTTTCAAGTATGTTAAAACTTATGAATAACAATGCAATAATATTAAGAAGCAGGGCCTATGGGAGTTGATTAGATCATGAGAGTGGAGCCCTGATGAATGGGATTAATCACCTTATTAAAAAAAACCTGAGGGAACTTGTTCCTCACTTCCACCATATGAGGACACATAGAAGGCACCATCTCTGAAGCAGAGAGCAAAACCTCATCAGACACTGACTCTGCTGGCAACTTGACCTTGTTCATTTCTGCTTCCAGAACTGTGACTAATATATTTCTGTCCTTTATAAATTACTCAGTGTAAGGTATTTTGCTATAGTAGCCTAAACAGACTAAGACAGGAGATTAAATGAGTTATTCCATGTTAAGGATTTAGAATAGTGCCAGGTATATAATAAACACTATATAAATGTTGGCTATTATTATTTTCAAGTGTTAAAAAATAATGTATAATTTAATTGTAGGGATAGTTGCACAATTTTGTAAGTTAAGCATGACAATGATATTGGATTATCAGTAAATCTACATAGGTAAGTAGTGAAAGTGAAAAGAGAATGGTATACAGAGTAGTCACACACTGGATTTGCATATGTATTGAGTGGTCTGAAAAAGCAAGATCTAAGAAGACAACAAAATCATGAAGTGTATATAATCAAGATTAAAATGGAGCTGCCAGAACTCAGATGACCTTATAGAGTTGTCACTCAGGAATTTAAAAAATATATATTACATTGCAAGATGGGGAAAATTATCTCACTTCCTAGGACTTTGTCTTGTCAATTAATTGGATAAATTACTTAATTGATTAAAACCCCTCTTCTCAAAATCAAACTCAATGCCAAAGTTAAGGTTGTTAAAACAAAAACTGATGACCAAAAAAGAAGGAGAAAAGATATGGGGCAATCAGAGAGGCTAGAGTTGCTGAGAAACAGACCTACTGACATATGGAATTCTTTGGGGATTTTTATCCATACCAACACAAAGAGGAAGCAGCAGTCCTCTTCATAGCCATCAGAGGTAAACCCTATGAATATTTAACTATGAATTCTCTGCAGACACATATGTATTATGTGTGTATGGATATGTAAATATATGATTAATTCATCTACAGAATATTGGATTTTCCTGAGCAATAGTACTTTGTAATAAGCCTAAAATCTCAAAATTTAAGAAAGAAATTTCCCTGTCCTATGATCTGTAATAAATTACATATTCTATAGGTAGGAGCTATGTTTTATTATCAGTTGCAATCCCACAAGCATCAGCATACCTTATCCATAGTAGGCTTTCCACAATTATATGACAGGCACAATGGGACAATTTTATTTCTTGATCTAGTAAACTTTATGCTCTCCTACACAGTCTTTGAATTTCTTATAGAGATTGTCACAATGCCAAGCATATAATAGACAACCCATTTGGTAGACTTAGTGAATTATTATATCAGTGTATTCCAAGAAGATAATAGTGTTTTTTTTTTAATGATAATACAGCACTATTATTTCCTTTTGTCATGTAGTCAACAAAATCAGCCATTTTTTTTCAAAGAAAATATATTAAATCAAGTTTTTCCCCATTCTATAAGTTAAATCTAAAAACTTAATGCAAGATTTTACATTAATCCATACTTAATCACGTCATACTAATTTGAACCCATTTGCCAGGCTGTCAAAAATTTTTTGAATCCTCTATGATGGTTTTTGCCTCCTACTTTATCATCTGTAAATGTCATCTGTCCTTTTTCTGTACACTGGCCTAAAATGTTAATCAAACATACAATAGTATAAACAATATATGAATCCAGAGTGCACATCTCTGCAGCCCTTGCTCTAGGCTGACATAAGGAAGGCAGTAAAAAGAATGTATGGTTTATTCTCTTTGGAAAATAGTGCCAAGGCATGCTCTGCTAATTGTATCAGAAACTTGTTTTTCCTGTTCAAAGCCCAGTACATCACGTTGCTATCTTATCAATTTTGTACACAGCCTGAAGTTTGTAAATAAATAGCTTTACTTTAAATTTAAATTGTCCTTAGCAAACAAGTTTTCTAGAACATACATTTATCATGAAAACATAAGAAAAGGGGGTCTGGTGTGAAAATAGATAATATAATTTAATTGGACATAATTAAATGATACTAGCATATTAAATTTGTATGGCACTTGTAAATACAAATCATTTCTTAGAACATATCTGGAAGGTTCATGGGTACTTTATTCAGATTTATGAATTCTAGAGTCACCCTTTCTTTATAAGTAGTGGGACATTTGTGTATTCATTGTTCTAAATCTTTCTTTGTTTTGCTATGCTTTTAAATGTTGATAAATCTGTCTCATGTAGAGCCAATTTGTTGATCTTTTCAAGTTTTACTTTCATCTGTTCAGGATGACAAAAGTAATAAGAACAGATTCCATTTGTTTTGGATTTATTACATATCACGTGCTTTACAGCCCTTTTTTTCATTTTATCTTCCAACAAGCCTATGATGTAGGTACTAAGAATAAGAGAAGTAAGCAACTTTTCCCAGAGTAAGCACCTTGCAAATGACAAAGCTGGTCTTAAACTCAGGCTTAGTTCAACCCAGGCTGCTTAGCTCTAGCAGGTCCTTACTAGAAATTTCCAATATGCATGCATTTATTTTCACATACGATTTTTCCAGAGTTTTGGAAAATAATAATAAAGAAAGAAGTCACCCTGATTATCACTTGACCCATAACTTGCTGAACCATGTTTTCTTTTTCAAGTATTACTATTCCGGACTCACTAGTAACTCACAGTATTTTTCTTCTAACAAGTGTTACTCCAATTATGTCTGCACCTTTGGTCAGCTACTGTGTGAAATAAATATTCGGTACAAGCTACATTTACTCATTTGTATTCTTAGTGCCACTACCCTTACCTTATCTCTTTCATGTTCTACCTGCCCCAGGCCTTGGATCATTCAAATTCATAGCAGGCCAAGCGATTATCAAAACTGAAAATCTGACCTGACTCTCCTCCTGAAAACCCCTCCATGTAGGTCCTCATTGACCTTAACATTTTAGGCTATGGTTTTAACCACTTAGTAAATAATACAGAGAGGGCTCTTTGGGATTTGAGCCTTGTTTACCTTTTACTATGACACCCATCCTGCATGGCAAGCTGCAGTCAGGGTTAGTCTGCCATCCTCTACCTCAAACCATTCCTACCCTCAACTCACCTTGCCTGCCTGACTAACATCAGAAATAGGTGTCCTGGAATTTGTTCAGAGACTCAACAATGCTACCAGAACTCAGGTTGTACTGTGCTGCTACTGAGATCCCTCCCTTCAAGGAAGTACTTACAAACCAACTGTGAGGCATGCATTGGGTAGAAAGCCTGCAGCTGTGAGCTGCTGCAGTGTCAGCCTCGGCTGCAGGGAGCCACCCTGCCCCCAGGCATACTCTTAGGGAAGCTGCCCTCTGGTGACTGAGCAAGGCTGACCCTAGTGTTTAAAGGTGTGGCCCACAACAGGACACTATAATTGGAAATTCTTTGCTCAAGAGCTCACTGTATTTTAGTTGAGGATTTATTGGGTCTGAATTAGTTTGTCTTCTTCCTCTGCCCAATCCTGCTCCCTCCACTTGTCTATCACATATGTTCATCCCCAAACTCTGTCTTAGTTCTGCTTCTACAGAATATAATCTCAAACTTTTTCTGGCATCCTTAGACAATGGTTCTCTCTTTTCACTGGATGGCTGCAGCAGTTTCTAGCATCGTGTCCTCATATGATATTACACAAAGGCCACGAAGGAGACAGGGGTGTAGGAGTCAGTGAGGGCATCAAGACAGCACTTTATTATTATTATTATTTTATTATTTTATTTGGGGGACAGAGTCTTGCTCTGTTGCCCAGGCTGGAGTGCAGTGGCACGATTTCGGCTTACTGAAACCTCCGCCTTCCGGGTTCAAGCAATTCTCTGCCTCAGCCTCCCAAGTAGCTGGGACTGCAGGCACATGCCACCACACCTGGCTAATTTTTGTATTTTTAGTAGAGACGGGGTTTCACCATCTTGGCCAGGCTGGTCTCGAACTCCTGACCTCGTGATCCACTCGCCTCGGCCTCCCAAAGTGTATTTTGTTTTGTTATAGAAGAAAATATTTCCCAGAATGCCCCAGCAAAATTAGCTCTTCATTTTACAGATAAAAGCTGAGTGGATTTTTTTTTTTTTTTAATCTCTATCTTGAGATGTTGACTCAGTCGGCAAGAAGGGTCATGTATCTAGAAAGAAGTTATCTAGGGCAAGTCTTCGAAGTTTTATGCTCATGAACCCCTAAAAAGAATTTTTAAAATTATATAGTTCCTTGCACATTAATTTCACATCAAAACCTGTTTTGTTATAAATTTAAATAGTTGTTAAAGTATGATTTCTAACATTTGTAAATATTTTAAAATAAAAATGTTTCATTATTCTTTAAGTGTATCCAGTGGAATCTGATTACAAGAGAAGTGATTTTTGTTTGTTTTGTTTTTGTTTTTTTTTGAGATGGAGTCTCACCCTATTGACCAGGCTGGAGTGCAATGGCGAGATCTCGCCTCACTGCAACCTCCACCTCCTGGGTTCAAACAATTCTCCTGCCTCAGCCTCCCAAGTAGCTGGGATTACAGGCGTCTGCCACCATGCCCTGCTAATCTTTGTATTTTTAGTAGAGACAGGGTTTCACCATGTTGGCCAGGCTGGTCTCGAACTGCTGACCTTGTGATCCACCTGCCTCGGCCTCCCAAAGTGCTGGGATTACAGGCGTGAGCCACCATACCTGGCCGAGAAGTTTTTATTTTATTTTAATTTTTTTTTAGAGACTGGGTCTCACTTTGTAACCCAGGCTGGAGTGCACTGACGTGATCACGATCACGGCTCACTGCAGCCTTGACAGCCTGGGCTCAAGCGATCCTCTCACTTCAGTTTCCCAAGTCGCTGGGACTACAGGTGCACCAACATGCCTAGCTATTTTTTTTTTTTTTTTAGCTTTTTGGAGATGAGGATCTCACTATGTTCCCAGGCTGGTCTTGAACTCCTGAACTCAAGCAGTCCTCCCACCTTGGCCTCTCAAGGTTCTGGGATTAGAGGTGTGAGGCACTGCGCCCAGCCAAGATTTTTTTTTAAATATGTTTTTAAAAACCCTCTTTATTATGAATTTTTAAGAATGTACAAAAGTAGAATAGTATAACAAACGTCCATTTACCAATTACCTAACTTAAAGTCACCATTCTGCCATTCTTAGGCATTTTCCCCCTATTTGTTACAGTATTTCAAAGTAAATTGCATACATCATACTACTTCATTCACAAATATTTTTAAATGTATATCTGACTGCAAAAACCACAAAACTGTTATGTCACAATCAGCATAATTTATAATATTCCCTTAATAGTGTCTAATATTCAATATATGCTCAATTTTTTCTGCTTCTTTTTTTTCTGCTGGCTTATGTGAATTAGGATCCAAAAAAGGTCCATGTGTTATATTTGATTGATTCCTTTTGAGTCTCTTTTACTCTGTAACATTTCTTTTTTTAAGTTTTCCATGGCACTTATTTGTGGGAGAAGTTGCATCTTTTGTCTTAGATATGATTGTGTTGTCACAACTGTGTCTTCATGGTGTTGTTTAACATGTTTTTCTTTCCCCTACATATCCCATAAACTGAAAGTTAGATCTAGTGAATTGATAGAATTAAGGATTATTTTGTTTTGTTTGCAAGAATACTTCATGGGTGATGCTTAGTATTTTCTGTCATATCATATCATGAGGCACTTTGCCGTATTATTAGTGATGTTAAGATTGATCAGTGGTTCAGGTGCTGTCAGCCTGATCCATCCATTTAAAATTCATCATCAGTCAGTTAAATAGTTTCAGCAGCTGCCTGTGATCAGATCCAATATTCCATTAAGGTTGCAAAATAGTGACTTTCTATCATTCTGCATTTATTATTCCTGCTTTCCTATAAAAATTTTTTCCTTATCAACTATTTGGTTACTTTGAAAAACAGGTCAGTAGAAAAGACAAGACAAGTACTTGATGTGTTCCCTTAATCAGTTTTCAGAATAATGAGTTGTTGCCCTGGCAACCTTCCATGGTTATAAATGAATTTTTTTTTGGTCACTGTGAACTTCTAGACTTTATATGTGTTTCAATCGATTGTGGTCATTATTCTTTTTGGTGCTCAGATTTTTCCATTTTTGACCATAGAAATTTCTTTCTGTTAGCTTTTGTCTTCTTTTGATGTGACCCTAGTGGTCTTTAATATCACCTTTCTTTCAGGCATGGCAAGCCTCACCTTATAAATGCTCTGCTGCAGACCCAGAATCAGCCATTTTTCCAACAGACAAGTTTTTTGTTTTGTTTTGTTCTGTTAGTCAAAACATAAATGGCATTTAGAACAAACAATCTAAGCACACCATACGATTTGCATCTTCACTGAATAAAAGCTTTTTAAACTGTCACCAATCTTACATTGTTCTTTTTTCTCTTGCACTTTTGTTCCCATTTCATTTTCCTCATGATTTTTATTCTAATGAAATATGTTTGAAATTATGTTATTGATCATCTTATCAGAACTCACTATGACAAAATTTATACATTTAACTTTTTCGTTATTTCATGTAATCATGTCTCCAAGTCTTAAATGGGTTCATAGCCTACATAAACTTCATAAAAGTTAATGAACTTCATACAAGTTAACCTCATAGAAATGACTTCATAAAAGTTATTTTTCTCCTAAGGATCTAAATAAATGTTCAAAAAATAAAAACACGTTTCATAAAAGTTGTGTTTTCTTTTGTTTTACTTAACAATGTAGTGTTCATCTGTGAGAAGTAAAGATGGAACTTTTTTCCTTCTTTTTTCTTGAAATCATGCAAAATATGCAACAGAGATAGAGAAGGGTGATTGAAAGTACAGGTACTCCCCTAGCCCTTTCTCACAACGGAACGGTGACAAGGGAGTCTTTCATAACAGATTAAGATTATCCTGCGTGCTTCTTACAAGTTTCAAACAATATAATTCTAAAACAGGTAGAAAAGGCACAGAGTCTTTCTTTTTGAGTCCTGTATTTACCTCGATGAAGTAAGGTACCCTCATCTTTCTTAGCAACGCTTTACTAGTTTTGCTTCCTCAAAACCTATGCGTTCTTTGTCAGTAGTCAAGGGTGGAAGAAATGAAGACGTAGAAAGAGCTATAACTTCACTCCTTTTGCTACACTGTTTGACACATTTGAATTCAGAATGCTCTAACATTGACCAAACTTTCCTGCTTCTGATGTCACATATCACCCTGCAGACTTCACATTGTCTCTTTGTTTGAATCAGGGATTCAGGCGTTTGAATCCTGGAACAATGTAAGATTTTGGACAGGTAAATGGTAGGCCTTTCTTCTTAAAGTGAAGGAAGAGAAATAATGAAAGAAAGAGTGGGAAACAAGAAAGCCAACCAATTAATTTAAGAATGTAAGAAATCTGAGGATTGGAAAATTGATTCAGTAGAAACTATTTGTGCTTGCATACCTCCTTGAATAGATTTTGTGTACAAGTACCTCATTTGGAAGACTGCTGTGCTAACGTATATATCCAGTAGTGGCACTGAAATTTCCTAGATTAGACACATGAATAATTGTACTAAGTCCTGGGAGATTGTCCTTTAGTTTTGTAGATCTATATTACACATTTCTACCAGTAAACATCCCATTTCCTTAGACTCTTATCAATACTTATTATTCAACTTTTTATTTTTTGCCAGTCAAGTAGGTACAAATTCGTATCTCGAGGTAGTTTTATTTTCTGATTGTATTTTCCTGATTAATTGTATTCCTGTCATACTTCAAGGTTTCTCATTCTGTGAACCTTATTTGTGAATTCTCTGTCCATTTTTTATTTTCTTTCCTTTGGGTAGTTGATTTTCTGGAATTTCTTGAATGTTCTTTATATTAATCTTTTCAAGATTTTAAATGTCAGAACTATCTTCTCAAAGCATATCACCTTTCAATTTTACAAATAGTAACATATGGTGAACATAAATACTTAATTTACATATAGTCAAAGCCAACAATTATTTTATGATTTTCTTTGTAGTTTGTGCTTTCGGAGTCTTGTTTAACCATTATGTACTCACTCCAAGGTAACCAGTGTATTTCCTTAGTTTATTGTATTAGCATTACTCCTTTAGTTTCCACATGTTTGAAATTCACCTTTGTGTATAGTATATGGTAGGGGGTTCAACCTTGTCGTTCTCCATAAATGAATCTATCTCTCCCAAATATTTTTTACATAATTATTCCTTTATAGATTTCATTACTGTTTTGTTATGTCTATAGCTCCTCTATGGATTATAGAACTCTTTATAAATATTCTATCTCCTTTGGTCTATTTGTTTATTTCTGTGGCAGTTTCATGTTGTTTTTATTATTATAGTTTTATAATGTGTCTTAATACTGTCAGGTTTTCTTTGGTCTACTTTTTGAAAATGAACTTAGTAATCTACGATTTTAATTTTTGTATACATTCTTGAATAAATTTGTTGAATTTCTTTAAAATACTTCTGCTGATCCTCCTGGTATTTTTCTTGAGAATTATGTTTAACTTTGAAATTAGTTTATCGATAGTACACACCTTTACAATATTAAGGTATCTAATTCATGAACAAGGTATCAACTGGTATTTCAGTTTATGTTTATGACATATAATAGAGTTTAAAATTTCTCTTTGTGAATACTTTGTGCCCTTTTGATCAAGATAATTTTTAGGTACTTTCTTTTATGGTTATTATGAGGGGTTCTTAATTTCTATTATATTTCTAAATTGGCTATTAGTGGTTTAGATGAATGCTATTAGGATGTGCAAGTTGATCTTACTCATCAGTATTTCAGAAGTTTATTTTGAGTTCTGGTTTATGTAAAAAATCTGTTGATTGTCCTATGTAAATGAGCATACATTTGCAAATACTTACAGGTTTGTGCTATTTTTTTCTCACTTTTCTCACTTTTTTTTTTTTCATGTGCTTTTGTATTTGCTAGCAGTTCTAGTACTATATCAAACATGGACAGGGTTAATGGGCATATTTATCTTTTTTCCAGATCTCTGAGAAAATGCATACAATGAATTTTCTTTTAGCAGAATATTTACTATAGATTTGGCATATACTCTTTATAAAGTTCTAGAAGTGCCTTAGTAGTCCAAATATTTGAGAGATTTTTGGTTTGTTTAGTTTTGCTTATAAGTGTGTATTAAACTAAATCAAAAGTCATTTTTCTACATTTATTGAAAAAATATATATGACTCTTTGTTTCCTCCTTTAGGCCACTAATAGGATGCCTTATGTTGATGGATGTTCTGAGGTTAAACAATCGTTTCTGTCTCAGGATCAATATTGCTTGATGAATTTATTTTCTTAGCAGTCTCTCCAATTTTGTCAGATAACTATTATTTAGGATTTGCTCATCTATGCTCTTAAGTGAAATTGTTAATATTTTGTACTGCCTTTACTTTTTTTTTTTTTTTTCTGAGATAGAGTCTTACTGTGTCGCCCAGGATGGAGTGCAGTGTCACAGTGGCATGACCTTGGCTGACTGCAACCTCTGCCTCCCGGGTTCAAGTGATTCTCCTGCCTCAGCCTCCTGAGTAGCTGGGATTACAGGCATGAGCCACTATGCCCAGCTAATTTTTGTATTTTTAGTAGAGACCAGGTTTTGCCATGTTGGCCAGGCAGGTCTCGAACTCCTGACCTCAAGTGATCTGCTCACCTCGGCCTCCCAAAGTGCTGGGATTAGGCGTGAGCAACCACACCTTACCCTAGTTTT